>NC_000005.10:105109807-105734807 GCF_000001405.40 Homo sapiens | reverse complement strand
CCCGAAATGTCTTTGGAAATTTTATGCCGAATTTAAGAACATCTAAGTCCTCAGCAGGGTAAATCTACTGTACCTGCCTTTGATGCTCACACATGATGCTTTTTCCCATTTTTTTTCTAGTCTATAGACATGAGTATTTTAACACATCCCCTCAACTAACATTTATTAAGTGTCTATCTTATATGGTACTCTGCTTGATTATAGGCTTAGATTAATAAGGTATGACAATACCAATTGATTAGTAGAGTAGAAAGTCATTTCAAATATTGGCTTATAAAAATTCAAATGCTATAGTAGAGGTCTGTACATGGTAATGCTATGGCAATCTAGAAAAGGTAGTACAAACTTACCTTGTAGATTTTAATAAATAATGTTAACCAAAAACAAACCAAACAAAAAAAAAATACTTGTGTGATAGCTTGGAGCAGTATTTTAAGTGATCATATAATAACCATTTATTTTTTAAAAGGTTATCTGAACATAACTAAGTGATCTTAAAAATAATTTGAGAGTTAGATATCTTTTTAATTGAAACACCACTAATTTTTCCTATTAATTGCAAGCTATTTTCGCAAGCATCAAAAAGCATCTCTATGTTTATATATATATTAGTATCTTTCTTGTCATTCAGATTAAAACACTTTATCATGTCTATTTTGATACCCTTTCTGGCTCACAGATTATTACAATTTTTATTTAATTCTATGTGGTAGTCTTTTTGCTAGTTATTTTTTGTTGTTGGTATCTTGGTTAATTTTATCACTGTCAGAGGTTATATTCTGAATTACTGACATTTTTAAGGTTGTTTAAAAAATCCGATAGTTTTAAAATATATTACATGTGCACTTGAAATTAAGGTAAATTTTGCCACTTATAAGTGAAGTCATTCTAAAGTTACAAATTAGGTAAAATTTGTCAATATTATTGTTCCAGTCTTTTATATTTGTATTAGAGGAATGTGTGCTTATTCTATCATCTATTGAAAGAGATACATACTTAACTTTTTTTTTTTTTTGAGATAGAGTCTCACTCTGTCACCCAGGCTGGAGTGCAGTGGTGTGATCTCAACTCACTGCAACCTCCACCTCCTGGGTTCAAGTGATTCTCCTGCCTCAGCCTCCCAAGTAGCTGGGATTACAGGGGCCTGCCACCATGCCTGGCTAATTTTTGTATTTTAGTAGAGTCAGGGTTCACCATGTTGACCAGGCTGGTCTCGAACTCCTGACTTCAAGCAATCTACCCTCCTCGGCCTCCCAAAGTTCTGAGATTACAGGTGTGAGCCACCACGCCCGGCCCAAGATATACTTAACTTTCTAATCGGATTCTGAATTTGTAGATTTCTCCTTATTTCATTAACTATTTTCCATATGTTAAGTCCTCACAATTTTAGTATTATTATATTACACTCTGGATTTACCCTTGTATCATCATCAAATATTCTTTTAATAATGCTTCTTGTCTTAAAGTAGGCTTATTGTCTAATATTAGTGTGGCTGCACTAACTTTTCTTAGTGTTTGCACAGTAGCCAATATCATTTAAAATCGGTTTGAAACACATCAAATATCTCAAAATAAATCTAACTTAAAAGTTATAAGGTCTCCACAATAAATTTTTTGATTGCCCAGGGAAATTAAAAAAGACTGAAATAAATGCAAGAATATACCATATTCATGAACTGTCAGACTCTATATTATAAAGATGAAAATTCTCCTCACTTTAATACATTAATATATAATATGTAGATTCAATATGATCCCATTCACACCCCTAAATTTTCATTTTCTTTTGCATTGTTTATCAGATTATAAACTTTACATAGTCATGCAGATACTCTAGAATATTCAAGTGAGTCTTTCAGAAAAAGAACAAAGCTGTAAGACTTATACGACCACGTAGTAAGATATATTATAAAACTATAGTAATTACAGCAGTGTACCATTTATTTAATTTATCCAACCAAATGGAATCACATCAATATTCTGTAAGTAATACCATATTAATTTGACAGGCACAAAACATTAAAGCCACTGATATCACTAACATTTTTTAAAAGTTTATATAATTTCTTCTTAACAAATGAGAAATATTTTTAGTGGCATGCTTGAGCTCTTTTAAATAGTGCTCTTTAAACAGTTTTTACTCCATCATACATTCTTAGAAAATAAAATAATTATAAATTGAAATCTGAAAAACCAGTTAGCAATCTAGTAAACATACACTGAACAGATAATATAAAAACGAATATTCATTAGGAAGTGTAATGAGTGTTTTCATGGTATCTCATGAAATAAACTATCAATGTAATTCACCAAATTCACCAGGTAAATTGCTTAGCGAAAAATGCCGTGAAAGCATGAAAATATGCTCCACAAAAATTTTGGTAAAATTTAATAGCCATTAATATCAAAAGAAAAAACCTCAATAATATAAGAATATAAATAAAAATTTATCAGCCTAGCAAAAAGTATTTCTCAGAAACCTAGAGTTAGCAAGGATGCACAGAATGAGGTGTATATAACCTGTGACTGGAAGTATAAATTGCATATTTCTCTCTGGAAGAAAAATGTTCTATATATGCTGATCTAGAGGAATCAATGAGACTTATGCAAATGGCCACATCCAACTGTCTGTCAACATTATTTTTGACAGTTCTCAGTTGCTATATTTATTCCTTCATTAACCTCTTGTCATTGTTTCAAGGAATACTTAGCAAGAATTAATTTTTTGCAATATATTGCAATAAATATGGGTGCAGACAAAAGACAAGTCAGATATAGAGCTTGCTTTCAAATAGGTTGTAAATCGTTTGGTCTGTATATCTGTGTTTCATAAGTACATATTTTTGTCTACATTATCTGTATTCATACATAGTTATATCAGGTTGTTTATGATAATTTGGTACTTTTATGGGTGTGTGTGTCTGTGTGCATGCATAGGCAGATAGAGAGGGAGCAAGTAGGAATAACTTAATTGAATTGACATACAAAGGCTAAAATTAAAGTGACCCATCTAAAGCCATAAATGTAGGTGTTTATCTTAAAAAAGAATTTACTAAGTAATTAATCTCATATGTTAATTACTAATTAAATTCATTAAGAGTATATAAAAATATGTTGCAAAACACAGTAAGCATGTAAACTTTATTGTAATAATAAACTGAAGCAGACACTTGGCTTCTGAAGTTGAATAACGTAATTTAATATTTTCTCATTATGGCAATAAAGATAATATGTATGTGAAATGTAATGGTACTTCCGGAATGCACAAAGTATAAAATTTCTTAGAATCATCATATACTTATAATTATTATTTTATCAATCTGTCCCTTTGGGTGAATATTTTAACTTAATTTTGACCAAATTAAATGCCAGAAATAACATATTATATTTCATATGCTACTACCTACTAAAATCATAATGCTGATTTATTGCTGTGCTCTCCTATTTAAAGCATGAACAAGAACTATTAAACTCTCATTCCAGAAAGCAAATTTTTATTATTAACAGATGCAGTCTAACTGGGGAGTCTCACACTGCCATGAAATATGAGTCTTACTTCAAGATGCATTTATTCATTATGTGTGTGTAGGGACCAAAAGGTGGGGCAGCTCCAGGCCCAGGCTGTAGTCTTGGCTCCTGTTGTCATCAGCTCCCTAAGTGATTCTACTTCCTTTATCCCCAGTGGCCTGCCCATTGTTATATTTCTTCCTGAGTAAACATTGTTCTACAGGAGCAGATGAGCACTCTCTCCTCCTCCCTACTTTGCTCTAATAAAATCTCCATTTTTCACAAACAGGAGGACATTCATTTTTCCCGCCTCATTTTTCAAATACCAAATCATGGCATTTCAAATTTTAAGTAAACAAAAAGTCCAATTTTTCATAGTGACAGCAACTGCATTGATGTATGAACCTGAAACACTAAATGACTTATTCTTGATGATATTTGAAGAAGCCTCTTATATTTTTAAATCATGTCAGAATGATTTGTTTTGGCATTGCATTATAGCTCTTGTTTATTTAAGTTCATAATAGGCTATGTTTCATTATCCAGGGTGTAGGCCCTTCTTATAAATTAGATTCTATCTGCTAAAATCTCCTAATTAGAGGTTCAAAGGACAGGTAATGCCATTTACTCTTTACACAAATAAATCTCATAAGCTTGCAGGTTGCCTGATTGACTTACAGAGATCTTGGAAGCAGTAGCAATAATGACAAACATGAAACTTCTTTTTTTTTTTTTTTTTAACTTTTAGAGTGAACTGCAGTACAAGTATGTCTAACCAATCTCCAAGATGGACAGAACCTTTTTGCTTGTCTGGATATCCTGAGAGAGAAAAATAAGTGTCACAGCAACTGTCTTTTCATTTTTGTTCCCATCACAGAACCATAGGGATGTTTATTGAGAAGAAAATACTTGTAGCCGTCAACATAATGCTATGCCCATACCCTGTACTGCCCCATGTGAGTGGACAGTGATGAATGGTAAGGGCTATGAGAAGCAAGTGCTGACTTACATCTGAGGCTTCTATGTTTCAAAAGTGATTTTCAGTGGTTTATGGAGTGCCAAAAAATACTTATTATTGTTCTTTCCCATGACTGTAGTGGACTATAACGATATAGTTCAGTGGTTAAGAGGTTAAGAGTTAGAATGCAAGAATGTGAAGTCTTCCTTCTCTATCTTTTACTCTTGCAGTTGGTGGAGGGGTGTCTCTTGACCCCTAATTTCATTTTTATGCTGATGTGTAGTTGACATGAAAAAACAGCACAGGGCAAGTGCGGTGGCTCAGACCTGTAATCCCAGCACTCTGAGAGGCTGAGGCCAGCAGATTGCTTGAGCCCAGTAGTTCAAGACCAGCCTGGGCAGCATGGTGAATCCCCATCTCTATAAAAAATACAATAAATAAATAAACAAATAAATAACAGCACATATTCAATGTGCAGTTATTTAAAGTGTGGAATTTGTCATGTTTTGATATATTTAGACACCTATGAAGCCATCACCAGGGTGAGATAATGAACATATCAATAACCCCCCAAAGTTTCCCTTTGCTTTTTTGTACTTTCTCCTCCCTGCCCCTCTATGACTCTCCCTTATTGTCCTAGGCAACCACGTGTTTGATTTCTGTTACTATAGATTAGTTTGTATTTTGGAAGCTCTAAATAAGTAGAATTAGACTAAAATACAAAAAATGTGCAAAAGATACAATACATGTACAGACACCCGCACATGCAGTCCCCAGTTTATGATAGTTTGACTTACAATTTTTCAACTTATGTTGTTGCAAAACCATTGCAATTTGAAAGTAATATACAGTATTCAATACAGTACATAAGATATTCAACACTTTATTATGAAATACTCTCTGTGTTAGAAGATTTTGCCCAATTGTAGGCTACTATAAGTGTTCTGAGCACATTTAAATAAAGCTAGGCTAAGCTATGATGTTTGGTAGGTTAGGTGTATTAAATGAATTTTTTACAATAATATTTTAAGCTTGTGATGGCTTTGTTGAGATGTAACCCCATCTTAAACTAAAGAGAAGGGGTGCTCCATCTTAAGCCAAGAAGACCCCACTTTCCAGCACTGTTTCATTGAGGATTAAGTTTCCAATACATATTTTGGGGGGACACATTCAAACTGTAGTAGGCTGTTAATGTTTTTCTTCTTATTATTATGTTTAAACATTAAATATTCTAGATCCATTGTTAGATACACTCAGCAAATACTTTTTCCAGTTTGTGCCTTGACATTTCATTTGTTTAACAGCATCTATCAAAGAATTTTTAATTTTAATAAATTAAAATTCACCTCATTTTATGCATTCTGGTTTTAGAATCATATCTAAGACAGCTTTGCCTAATCCAAACTTTATGTAGAATTATACTGATTTAGTTTTACATTTAGGTCTTTGATTTATTTTGACTAAATATTTTTAGATGGTGTCAGAATGAATAAAAGTTCATTTTTTAATATATGGATATTGCATTTTTTGGCATAACTTGTGGAAAATAATAGCCATTCTCCACTAAATTACCCTTATAACTTTGTTGAAAGTTATAAACTGACAATTGTCCATATATGCCATACATGTGCAGATTCATTTCTATATTCTCCATTCAGGTACATTGATGTAATTTGACTATCTCTAAGACAATATGATATGTTAGATTAAATTTGATAAAAAGTAAAGCGTTATAATATAGCTGTATAAGAAGTCTTAAAATCAGATGTCTTTGGGCCTCTTACTTTGTTCTTTTTTCAAGTATGCTTTGAGGTTTTCTAGGTCTTTTATATTTCAATATAGTTTTCACCTGGGAATTAAAAAAATTGCTGAGATTTTTGTTGAGATTGTATAGAATATATAGATTATTTATAGGAGAATCTTAAAGCAGTTGAGTCTTTAGTCCCATAAATCAGTTACGTATCTCTATTTACTTAGGTCTTTAGTTTCCTTCAGTGATGTTTTGTCATTTTCTCTCAACAGGTCTTACGTATCTTCTGTCAAATCTATCGTTAAATACTTCATACTCTGTATTATAAAATCAAATTGTAATGATTTTTGAAATGTTTGTATCTGATTATTTTTTTCTACATGTTGATCTTATATTCTACCACCTTGCCCAACTCATTTATTAGTTCTGGTTAGACTTTCTATACACTCCATCAGATTTTTTATATAGATGCTCATATTATCTGTGCATAAAGACAGTTTCACTTTTTTTCCCCAATCTGCATCCATTTTATTTGTTTGTTTGCTGTTGTTTTGGTACTGTGTAGAACCATGAGGACAATGTTAAATACAATTGTGAACGTAGATAGTCATGCCTTATTCCTGATTTTAGAAAGAATGTATTCAGCATTCTACAATTAAGTATAATAATATCTGTAGATTTTTGGTATATACTTTTATCAGGTTGACAAAATTAGCTTCTACTCCTAGTTTGCTGAGAATTTTTATTAGAAATAAATATTGGATTATATTAATTGTTTTCTCTCAGTCTATTGAGATGATCATATATTTTATATGTAGTTTTTAGTCTATTAATATTGTGAATTATGTAACTTTTTAATGTTAAACCATCCTTAATATCCTGAGATAAATGCCACTAGGTTATTATAATTTACCCTTGTCATATATTGCTGGATCGGAAGTGCTAACATTTGTTCAGGAATTTTTTAACTAAGTTTATGAGGGAGAGTGGTTTATAGTTTTATTGATTTTTTTCCTATGATATGTTTATATAATTTTAATATCAGGATATTGGCTGCATAAAATTCTTCAACTTCCTGAAAAATCTTGAGCAGAATTGGTATTTTTTTTTTCTGAAATGTTTTTAGAATTTACCAAAGAATTCATTTGAGCCTGTCGTTATTTTTGCGGAATAGTTTCTAACTATATATTTAATTTATTTAAAATATATCATGTTATTCAGGTTATCTATGTCTTCTTGAGTGAGCTTAGGTAGTTTATTTCAATGAATTTTCCCATTTCACCTACATTGTTAAGTTTATTAGCATAAGGTTGTTCATAATATTTTTTAATTTTCCTTTTATTATTTGTGTATTTATAGTGGTATCAACACTCCCATTCCTGATTTTGTTACTAATTGCTCTCTCTCAGTTTTTCTTGATGAGTCTGACTAGAGTACAGGTTCACATTTTTGTGCAAAGAATCAGTAAATATTTGGGGCTGTGGCCCACATCAGGTCTCTGCTCTACATCCTTCTTCACTTTTACTTTTTTCGTAAACCCACGGAACTGAGTTGAACTTTCTTTGTGTTTTTGTTTTTATTTTTTTAACAACCCTTTAAAATATATGCCTGGAGAGAGGACAAGATGGACGACTAGCTACAGGCAGGAAGCACCACTCCTACTGAGAGAGACCAGAATATTGAGTAAACCAATACACTTTGAACAGACCTTTGAAGAGAAAACACTAAGAGTTGATAGATAGGCAACACAGACACCAAGGCCAAAGAGGGAGGAAACTGGGAACTCTGTGCAGGGTTACCAAGTGTTAACCCCCTGAAGGGCTCCTAAGGAAGGGGTGATTGAAGGGGCAGCAGGGCAGCCCAGTATTGCTGCTGGCCCCTGGGATCCCAGCTATAAGAGATCTCATGACCCCTATAGATATTTGAACTAGCCGGGGGATCTTCCTAGAGAGTAGACAGAGACAGACCTCCAGCCTGTACAGAACCAAGGGAATTTTTGCACACAGGAAAGTTGAAGAAGAACATAGCCACAAGGACCCATTCCCAAGGCTCTCCATCTTCCTTCCAGTTGTTCTAACCCCAGCTTATTGCAGGGCCAAGAGTATCTTTCCCATGGAACTGGGGCACATCTGATTTGCAGGTCCTCTGTCTGCAGCCTATCCCAAGGCTTCTGCTTTGTTCCTTTTGCAGAAGTGTGTGTACAGCATAGCCTCCACTGCCCAGCCTGGATGCCAGTAGCCCTGCGTGAGTACTTCCCAGAGGCCTACGGGCATTTCAGATCCCCCAGCACAGCTGGTGCCTGACCCCAAGGGACTGGAAGATGGAGTCCCAGGGCTGCAGCATCCGGCTCAGCACTGCCAAGCAGAAATCTGTGTCTGGCACTCACACAGAGGAGGAACCTGCATTCTCAGAACACTGAGAAGCGTGAGACCCATGGGCTTATGGGCTGACATGGGAGCAGGGCATGCCTCCCTCCACAGGGCCAGTCTGGGAAGACTATGGCCTGTCTGCCAGTCATGGACTCTGCCCAAGGGAGCCCTATGGCTGGGAACAACTAATAGAGATAAAGTGGGTATGGTGGCACTGAACAAAGGAGCTCCCCCAAGGCCCAGGAGCAGACCTGGTGAGGGGGTCATCTCTACTCCTACCCCCTACTAGAGAGCACTGCTGTGAACACACAGAAATACAAAAGAGCCACATGACTAAGCAAGAGCCTATCTACCGGTCATTGCTATTTAGTGCTGTCTGCTGCTTCACAACCCAAATTACAACACCAAAAATATTCTGCCAATATACATAACCTGTAAAATCCAGGGCAAGGACTTCTAATTCTATGTTGAATAGAAGTGGTGAGAGAGGGCATCCCTGTCTTGTACCAGTTTTCAAAGGGAATGCTTTCAGCTTTTGCCCATTCAGTATAATGTTGGCTGTGGGTTGTTACTGATGGCTCTTGTGTTTTGAGGTATGTTCCTTCAATACCTAGTTTATTGAGAGTTTTCAACATGAAGGATGTTGAATTTTATCAAAAGCCTTTTCTGCATCTATTGAGATAATCATGTGGTTTTTGTCTTTAGTTCTGTTTAAGTGATAAATCACATTTATTGATTTTCATATGTTGAAACAACCTTGCATCCCAGGGATGAAGCCTACTTGATTGTGGTAGATTAGCTTTTTCATGTGCTGCTGGATTGTTTACAAGTATTTTGTTGAGGATTTTTGCATCAATGTTCATCAAGGATATTGATCTGAAGTTTTCTATTTTGTGTGTGTCTCTGCAAGGTTTTGGTATGAAGATAATGCTGGCCTCACAGAATGAGTTGGGGAGAAGTTCCTACCCCTTAATTTTTTGCAATAGTTCTGTAGGAATGGTACCAGCCCTTCTTTGTCCGTCTGGTAGAATTCAGCTGTGAATTCATCAGGTTCTGGGCTTTTTTGTTGTTGTTGTTCGTAGGCTACTTATTACTGATTCAGTTTTGGAACTCATTATTGGTCTGTTTAGAGAATCAATTTCTTCCTGGCTCAGTCTTGGGAGGGTGTACATGCTCATGAATTTATCCATCCCTTCTAGGTTTTCTAGTTTATGTGTATAGAGGTGTTAATCATAGTTTCTGATAGTTGTTTTTATTCCTGTGGGGTCAGTAGTAACATTCCCTTTGTCAATTGTAATTGTGTTTATTTGGATCTTCTCTCTTTTCTTCTTAATTAGTCTAGCTAGTGGCCTCTCTATTTTATAATTTTTTTCAAAAACCAACTCCTGGATTTGTTGATCTTTGGAATGTTTTTCTTGTGTCTTTATTTCAGCTCCGGTTTTTGTTATTTCTTGTCTCCTGCTAACTTTGGAGTTGCTTTGTTCTTGCTTCTCTAATTGTTTCAGTTGTGAAGGTAGGTTGTTAATTTGAGATATTTCTAACTTTTTGACGTGGACATTTAGTGCTATGAATTTCCCTATTAACAGTTCCTTATCTGTGTCCCAGAGATTCTGGTGTGTTGTAACTTTGTTCTCATTATTTTCAAAGAACTCCTTGATTTCTGCCTTAATTTCATTATTTACCCAAAATTCATTCAGGAGAATGTTGTTTAATTTCTATGTAATTGTATGTTTTTGAGCGATTTTCATTGTGTTGACTTTAATTTTTATTGCAGTGTAGTCCAAGAGTGTGTTTGGTATGATTTTGGTTATTTTACATTTGTCGAGGATTGTTTTATGTCAAATTATGTGGTTGATTTTAGAGAATATGTTTCATGTGGCAATGAGAAAAATGTGTATTCTGTTGTTTTTGGGTGGAGACTTCTGGAAAGGGCTATCAGATCCATTTGTTCCAATGCTGAGTTTAGGTCCTGAATATCTTTGTTAATTTTCTGCCTTGATGATCTGTCTAATGCTGTCAGTGAAGTGTTGAAGTCTCCCATTGTTATTCTGTGGGAGTCAATGTCTCCTTGTAGGTCTCTAAGAACTTGTTTATGAATCTGGGTGCTCCTGTGTTGAACACATATATATTTAGGATAGTTAGGTCTTTTTGTTAAATTGAACCCTTTACCATTATGTTATGCCCTTCTTTGTCTTTTTTTGATCTTTCTTGGTTGAAATCTGTTTTGGTTGAAACTAGGATTGCAATCTCTGCTTTTTTCTGTTATCCATTTGCATGGAGACTTTTCGCCATCCCTTAATTTGAGCCTATGAGTGTCATTATGCATGAGATGAGTTGCTTGAAGACAGAATACCATTGGGTCTTGCTTTATTATCCAGCTTGCCATTCCATGTCTTTTAAGTGGGGCATTTAGCTTGCTTATATTCCAGGTTAGTATTGATATGTGTGGATTTGATCCTGTCATTGTGCTGTTAGCTGGTTATTATGTTGGCTCATTTGTGTGGTTGCTTTACAGTGGGTTTAAATCGTTTTTGTATTAGCTGGCGGTGGACTGTCCTTTCTATATTTAGTGCTCCTTTCAAGATCAATCATAAGGCAGGTCCAGTGATAATGAAGTTCCTCAGCATTTGCTTATCTGAAAAGGATCTTATTTCTCCTTCACTTAGGAAATTTAGTTTAGCTGGATATGAAATTCTTGGTTGAATATTTTTTTAAAATGTTGAATATAGCACCCCCACCCCGTCAGTCTCTTCTGGCTTGTAGGTTTGCAGCTGAGAGGTCTGTTGTTAACCTGATGGGGTTCCCTTTGTAGGTGACATGCCTTTGTCTCTAGCTGTCTTTAACATTATTTCTTTCATTTTGACCTTGGAAAATCTGATGATTATGTCTCTTGGGGATGATTATCTTTTGTAAAATCTTGCAGGAGTTCTCTGTATTTCCTGAATTTGACTGTTGGAGTTTCTAGCAAGGTTGGGGATGTTTTTATGGACAATATCCTGAAATATATTTTCCAAATTGTTTGCTTTCTCCCCCCTTTCATGGATGCCAGTGATTCATAGATTTGGGGTCTTTACACAATCCCATACTTCTTGAAGGTTTTGTTCACACATTTTTATTCTTTTCTTTTTGTCTGACTATCTTATTTCAGAGAACCAGTCTTCAAGTTTTGAGGTTCTTTCCTCAGCTTGGTGTATTTTGCTGTTAATACTTGTGATTGCACTGTGAAGTTTTTGTATTGTGTTATTCAGCTCTGTCAGACTTGTTAGGTTCTTTTATACTGGCTATTTTATTCTTCAGCTCCTGTCTCACTTTATTGTCATGCTTATTTTCCTTCGATTGGATTTTGCAATCCTTCTGAATCTCAGTGATCTTTGTTCCTTTGAATATTTTGAATTCTATTTCTGTTATTCCAGCCAGTTCAGCCTGGTTAAGAACTCTCGTTGGAGAACTATTGTGGCTGTTTGAAGGACATCTGACACCCTGGCCATTTGAGTTACCGGAATTCTTGTATGTTGGTTCTTTCTGCTTGTGGGTGTTCCTCTAACTGCACTGTAGATTGAGTACAGTTAGCAGACCTCTTTTCTAGATTTTTCACCGGGCTGAGGCCTTCACAGTTGCAGCCATGTTCTCTCTCACTGCTCTGAAAGTATGATTTCTTCTTCTGTTTGAGTGCTGGCTGTACTTGAAGACTTGACACTCCTGGTCTGCCCACTGCAGTTCCGGAACGACCTCGGTGTTTGTGTTCCTTCCCTAGTTTAGAGGCAGCAGAGGAAGAGATCTCAGTAGTGGTTGTGGTCATGGCTCATTTCTTGACTCCTGAGGCTCTACTGCTGAGAGATGCAGGTCAGTGCAAGCCCAAGATGGAGAGTTTGTGCTGTGGGGCCAAGCCAGAGCTTCCTCATCTGGTGATGAGCTATTGGGGGTGTGTGGGACCCATGGGAGATGGACAGGCTTCCTCTCCTTGGATCAACTGCAGCTTGATGGAGGTGTGAATAAGGTACTTAGGGTCTTTGCTTCTTTTTTAGTCTGAGGGTGGCAAGTACAGTTCCACTGCAGAGGCAGTGGTAGAGAGGCTTTCCATTGCCGCTGGAGGCTCTGCCCAGGGAGTTGCTGAGTTGGTACTGGTTTGATAGTTCTGGCAGGAGGTGGTTGGAGACCCAGGCCTGAAGAACCTGCCTGGTGAGCAGATATGGGAATAGGCACCCACATAACAGTCTGGCCACTTTTCCATAGGGCTGCTACGGTATGGTTGGGGCCCACTCCAGTCCCTAGGCACCTTGGATTTTCCAGAACCTGAAGGAGTCTTCAGTGAAGGCTGCAAAACAGCACAGATTGCAGCCTGTCCTTCCTGGGAGCTTTGTCCTGGGAAGGTATGGACCTGTTGCTGGCCAAAGGAAGTGGCTGGAGACCCTAGTTGGGATGTCCTGCCTGATAAGGAAGAATAGGATTGACACCTGCTTAAAAAAAGCAGTCTGGCTACATTGTGGTAGAGCAGCTGTGCTGTGCTGGCGACTCACTTCACCCCCCAGCTGCCTCAGACACTTCAAAGCCCAAAAGCTAGAATGGCTAAGTCACCCAAACAACAAAGATGGTGTCCTGCCCTTCCCCCTGGGAGTGCCATTCCAGGGAGAATTCAGAACTCTGTTGGCTAGAGCACTTGAGCATGTATGGCTGGAGGTGCCAGTTGGAAAGCCCCATCCAGTGAAGAGGAACGGAATTGGGCATTGGGCACCCTCTTAAAACAGCAGTTTGGCCACGTTTTTTGTAGAGCAATTGTGCTGTGCTGGGGTATTCCTTCCACCCTTGTTCAGCTCAGACTCTTCAAAGCCTGAAGGGTAGAATGGCTAAGGTATCTGAACAGCAAAGATGGTGGCCCACCCCTCCTCCCAGGAGCTCCTTCTTAGAGAGGTGCAATGCTACCACTGGGAGCTAGCTGGAATTCTAAGCCAGTGTGTCTTATCTTTTGAAGTGTCATGGAAGTGGCGCCTGCAGGCTGTTGCTGCTCATCCCCCTGGATTCAGCCTCTTCCCTAAGAGTATTTACAGGACTCTAAACTCCCACTTTGCCAAAGCTGAAGCTACTTTTGCTGGAAAGCCCAGGTATCCAGGACTGCGGAGTCTCTACACATGCCTGAGTGGCTGCTCTGCCAAGACTCCATGTCGTTCTGTCTGTCAGACTGAAAACTGAAGGCCCTGGTGGAGTGGGTTCACAAGGAGATCTCCTGACCCAAGGGTTGCAAAGATCTATGAGAGAAGCATGGTTTCCCAGGGTTGCTCATTTACTCACCACTTCCCTGGGCGGAGGAAGATGGACTCTCTGTTGCTCCCAGGTGGGCTGTTGTCCTGTTTTGCTTTTCTTCATTCTCTCTGGGGCAAGTTGTTTCCTTGATTAGTTCCAATGCACATACCTGGATGTTTCAGTTGAAGGTGTTGCATTTACTTGCTCCTTCTGTTCCTTTCTGTGAGAGCTATGAACACTAGCTGCTTCTAGTTGGCCATGTTAGCCACTCCCCCTAACTCTGCCTTTTAATTGGGAGTGGTTTGGCCATTTATTTTCTTGTGATTATTAATCTGTGTAGCCTTGAATCTACAATATTGCTATTTGTTTTTTTATTTGTACCTCTATTTTTTGTTCTTTTTTTGTTTTCTTGCCTTTTTGTAAACTGAGTATTTTTTATAGGCCAATTTTCCTCTTTTTATAGATAACTATTATTTTACAGGTAAATAAACATAACTATTCGTTTTGTTATTTTAGCTGTTGCTTTAGGGCATATATTGTACATCTTGAACATCACTTTTTACCTTTAAGTGACATTATATTACTTCGTATATTGCATAGAAATCTTTAAATATTATACTTCTGTTTTTCCACTTGCTGTCTTTTAAATATTGTCCTCACATATTTTAATTATACATTTTTAAATTCACACAATACAGTGCTATTATTTTTGTTTAAGCAGTTGTCTTTTAAGAAGACAAGTAATTTTTGTAAAAATATTATATATTTACCAATGTGGTTTCTATTCTGATACTCTTTGTGGCTTTGTGTGTACCCACATTTCTATCTGCTCTTATTTTCTTTCTGCCTGAGGAGCTTCCTTTAACTTTCTTGTAGTTTAGGTCTGCTTGTGATGAATACTTTCAGGCATGTCCCAAACTAATTTGAGGCAAGCATGACTCCCAAGGTGAAAACTTTAGGAGGCATTCCATCTCTGGCTAATACAACTGCAGGTTCAGCCCTGAAAGTGGATGCCTCCCTGCATTTTGTGTCCTGTGTGACTTGCTTGCCTTACTCTAATCCCAGAGCTGCTTTGAGATTTTCAGGTCCGAAAATGTCTTTATTTTGCCTTCTTTAAAAAATGCATTTAACTAGTTTACTTTCCCACCAGCAGTGTTAAATTGTTCCCTTTTCACCACATCCCTGCCAACATGTATTATTATTATTATTATTTTATTGCCATTCTTGCAGGATTAAGGTGGTATGACATTGCAGTTTTAGTTTGCATTTCCCTCATAATTAGTGATATTGATCATTTTTTCATATGTTTGTTGGCCATTTGTATGTCTTCTTTTGAGAATCGTCTATTCACGTCCTTAGTCCGCTATTCGATGAGATTGTTTATCTTTACTAATTTGTTTGAGTTCCTTATAGATTCTGGATATAAGTCCTTTGTCAGATGTATAGATTGAGAAGATTTTCTCCCATTCTGCAGGTTGTCTCTTTACTCTGCAGATTGTTTCTTTTGCTGGGTAGAAGCTTTTTCACTTAATTAAGTCTCATCTATGTATCTTTGTTTTTGTTGCATTTGCTTTTGGGTTCTTGGTCATGAAGTCTTTGGCTAAGCCAATGTCTAGAAGGGTTTTTCCAATGTTATATTCTAGAATTTTTATGGTTTCAGGTCTTAGATTTAAGTACTTGATCCACCTTGAGTTGACTTTTGTATAAGGTAAGAGATGAGGATCCAGTTTCATTCTTCTACATGTGACTTGCCAATTATTCCAGCACTATTTGTTAAATAGGGTGTCCTTTCTCCACTTCATGTTTTTGATTGCTTTGTTGAAGATCAGTTGACTATAAGCATTTGGCTTTATTTCTGGGTTCTCTGTTCTGTTCCATTGGTCTATGTGCCTGTTTTTATACCAGTACCATGCTGTTTTGATGACTATGGCCTTATTGTATAGTTTCAAGTCAGGTAATGTGATGCCTCCAGATTTGTTATTTTTGCTTAGTCTTGCTTTGGCTATGCAGGCTCTTTTCTGTTTCCATATGAATCTTAGGATGGTTTTTTTCTAGTTCTGTGAAGAATGATGGTGGTATTTTGATGGGAATTGCATGGAATTTGTAAATTGCTTTTGTCAGTATGGACATTTTTACAATATTGAGTCTACCCATCCATGAGCAGGAGAGGTGTTTCCATTTGTTTGTGTCTTCTGTGACTTCTTTCAGGAGTGTTTTGTAGTTTTCCTTGAAGAGGTCTTTCACCTCCTTAGTTACGTATATTTCTAAGTATATATATTTTTTACAGCTGTTGTAAAGGGGGTTGAGTTCTTGATTTGATTCTCAGCTTGGTTGCTTTTGGCATATAGCAGAACTACTAATTTGTGTACATTAGTTTTGTATTCTGAAACTTTCCTGAATTCATTTATCAGTTCTAGGGGCTTTTTGGAGGAGTCTTTAGGTTTTTCTTGGAATACAATCATATCATCAGCAAACAGTAACAGTTTGACTTCCTTTTTACCTATTTTGAGGCCCTTTATTTCTTTCTCTTGTCTGATTGCTCTGGCTAGGACTTTCAGTACTATTTTGAATAGAAGTGGTGAGAGTGAGCATGCTTGTCTTGTTCCAGTTCTCAGGAAAAATTCAACCACTATGAAAAACAGTGTGGAGATTTCTTAAAGAACTAAAAGTAGAGCTACCATTTGGTCCAGCAATCCCACTACTGGGTATCTACCCAGAGGAAAAGAAGTCATTATACAATAAAGATACTTGGACATGCCTGTTTATAGCAGCACAATTTGCAATTGCAAAAATATGGAACCAGCCCAAATGGCCATCAATCAATGAGAAGATAAAGAAATTGTGATATATATATATATATATGCATACATATATATAAGTATACATATATATGTATGCATATGTATATACATATATACACATATATGTATACATATATACGTATATACGTACATACGTATATACGTATATATGTATATATGTATATATAAACATGTATACATATGGCATTTACAACAACCTGGATGGAACTGGAAATGATTATTCTAAGTGAAATAACCCAGGAATGAAAAACCAAACACCGTATGTTCTCACTCATAAGTGGGAGCTAAGCTATGAGGATGCAAAGGCATAAGAATGATACAATGGACTCTGGAGACTCAGGGGAAAGGGTTGGAGGGGAGTGAGAGATGAAAGACTACACATTGGATACAGTGTACACTGCTTGGGTTATGGGTCCATCCAAATCTCAGAGCTCACCGCTGAAAACTTATCCATATAACCAAACACCACCTGTTCCCCAAAAACCTGTAGAAATAAAAAATAAAAACAAAACAAAAAAGACATTGAAATAATTGTAGATTCACATGTATTTGTAAGAAATAATACAGAGAAATCCCATGTACCATTCACTCCGGTTTTCCCAGTGGTAACATCTTGCATAATGCAATGTCAAAACTAAAAAATTAACATTGATGCTATCCAAAGAAAGTATTCAGTGTGCATTTACATGTACTCTGTATTTGTGTGTGTACTTATGTCTCTGCAGTTTTATCTCAACTATAGGTTACTCTGAACTTCACTATATGGAATCAAGATTCACAACATTTTCTTCACAAGTATCCCTCATGTTACAATTCCTCTCCCTACTGCCAAATAACTTATGACAAAAGTAAATATAATCTAATAATTTTGTCACTTCAATAATGTTATATAAATGGGATTATAAAGTATATAACCTCTTGAGATTGCCTATTTTTACTAAGGATAATACTCTTGAGGTTCATTCAAGTTGTTTTATGCATCAATTCTTTGTTCATTTTCATTGCTGAGAAGGATTTCATGGTACAGATGTACCACAGTGTGTTGAGTTATTCATCCATTAAACGACATTTAGATTGTTGCCAATTTTTAGCTATTATGAACAAAGATGCTAGAAACTTTAATGAAGATTTTGTGTGCAGAGAAGTTTTTGTTTCTCAGGATGAATGTCAAAGTGCAATTGCTAGGTTGTATGAAAAGCACATAATTAGCTTTGTGAGAAACTGCCATGCTCTTTTCCAGAGTGGCTGTAGCATTTTCATTCCACCAGCAATGTATAAGTAATCGAGTTACTCTGTATCCTCATCAGTATTTGGTTTCATCACTATATTTTTATTTTAAGTATACTAAGAGTTAGTGATATCTCCTTTGTATTAATTTGTATTTCTCTGATAGCTGATGATAATATATTTTATGTGCTCATAGTCAAATATCTATCTATTAATGTATTTTGTCCATCGTCTAATTACAATGTTTTGTTTTGAATTTTCACTATTATGTTTTGACAATTCTTTATGTAATCAAAATAAATGGTTTTAATTGGATAGCTAATGTGCAAATATTTCCTCTCACTCTGTGGCTTGTCTTTTTATCTCCTTTATGTGGTCTCTCACAGAGCAATTTTTAAAATTTGAATGAAGTTCTAATTTACTCATTTTTCCTGTTAAGAATAATGATTATGGTATCAAATATGAGCACTCTTTACCTAGACCTAGGCCTCAAAATATTCCTTATATATTTTTTCTAAACATTGTACAGGTTTACATTTTATCTCTATGATCTATTTTGGTTAATTTTTATATGAAGTTCAAGGTTTATTTTTGGCCTATGAAGGCCCAATTGTTTTAGCACTCTGTGTCTAAAAGGCGATTTTTTCTTCCATTGTATTGCTTTTATATATTTGTCAAGAATAGGTTCAGCATGTATGTGTCTATTAGTGGGTTCTATATTCAATTCAGTTGATCTCCTGTGTCCTAATTACTACAGCTATGTAATAAATTTTAACATGCAGTAATGATTCCTCCCACTTCACTCTTGTTTTCAAACTACTTTTAACTATTGTAGGCCCTGTGCTTTTCCATACACATTTTAGAATTAATTTATCTCTACACAAATCTTGCTGAGATTTTGATTGGAACTGCATTAAATCTACAGATCAGTTTGAAGGGAAATGATATATTTATAGGTTGGTTCTTTCAATCTATGAACACAGTGTGTCTCCCCATTTAATAAGGTCTTTTCCAATTTTATTCATTAGAACACTTTAATTTTCAGTATGCAGATCATGTTCATATTGTGTAAGATTTATACCTAAATCTTTTTATTTTCTTTGGAGCAATTTTAAATGGTGTTTTGTTTTTAACTTCATTATCCATACATTTCGTTTAAGTGTGTAGTAATACAGTTTATTTTTCTATATTATCTTGTATCATGCCACCTTGCTCAATTCATTAATTCTTGTGTGTGTGTGTGTGTGTGTGTGTGTGTGTGTGTGTGTGTGTGTGTGTGTGTTTATTCCTTGGGATTGTCTATGTAGATAACCATGTCATCCACAATGTCATCTTCTATCTCTATCTTGATGTATTTTATTTCTTCTTGCCTTAGTGTACAGGTTAGAACTTTCAATACTTAGTTGAAAAAACAATAAAACAGAGGACGCTTTTGCTTTTTTTCCCAATCTTAAGAGAAAGCATTCAGTCTTTAAGCATTATATTAGCTGTAGTTTTTGTTTTATATATGCTTTTATTTAGTTAAGAAAGTTCTCTATACCTAGTGTGCTGAGATTTTTTGTATCATAAATGATGTTGGATTTTATCAAATGCTCTTCTTATGTCAATTGATCATATTATTGTATGAATTGATCATTTTATTTTTCTTTGAACCACTTTATTAAGGTAAGATTGACATGTAAAAAACTGTACATGTTTAATGTATACAACTCAAAATGTTTGGAGATAAGTATATATATCCATAAAACCATCATCCATCATTTTTTAACCTGTTGCTATTGTAGATTGATTGCCAAATGTTGAACTAGCCTTGCACACTGGGAATAAATTCCACTTGCCCAAGCTGTGAAATTACTTTTATACATTGATATATTTGACTTACTAATAATATATTTTTAAAAGATTTTTGCATCTAAGTTCACAAAAGCTATTAGCCCACTTTTTTTAATTCTCTGATATCTCTCTATGGCTTTCTTAATTTTGAAAAATATTAAAGTTTCTAAAGAATGCTAGGTTGATAGGCTTTTTTGCTTTTGTTCTTTTAGTACTTTGAAGATCTTACTCCACAGTCTTTTTTGCTTACATTGTTTTCTGATTTTAAAAAATCTGCTGTCACCATCTTTGTTACCTTGTATGAAAATTTTTCTTCTCTCTGGAGACTTTTAAGACTACATCTTTATTAGTAATTTTGAGCAATTCAATTATGATACACCTTAGTTTACTCTGTTTGCTTCTTGTGCTGGAGTTCTTTGACCTTCTTGAATCTGTAGGTTTATATTTTTCAGCAAATTGGGCAAATATCAACCATTATTTCTTCAATTATTAGTTTTTCTTGCTTCTCTTTATCTCTTATCGTTTGGATAGATTTTAGACATTTTTATACATTTTTAGACTACTCACACTACTCACTCTTCATTTTTTAAATTCTTTTTTCCCCTCTTTTTATTTTCAAGAGTTTATCCGGCTATGTGTCCAAGTTCCTTTCTTCTGCCATATCAAATCTGCCATTAATTACATTCAACATACGTTTCACCTCAGACATTGTACTTTTAATTTCTTGAAGTTTAGTTTGGATTTTTTTTCTATCTTTCTATCTCTACATAAATGTTTAAATATGTGTAGTGCAGTTATAATAACTGTTTTTATGTTCTTGTTTTCTAATGCTAACATCTGCGTTTATTCTGAATCCATTACAATCAATTTTCCACCTCATAATGGGCATATTTTCTTCCTTCTCTATGTAGCTGGTAATATTTTGTTGACTGTGAAGCATTATTAATTTTAATTTACTGGGCCCTGGTTATCTTTTTATTTCTACAAAAATTCTTGAGCTTTCTTAAGGTAAATAATTGTTATTTGGAAAAAGTTTGGTAATCTTTGGTCTCTTTTTTAATGTGTTTAATGGAATCACAACATTTACCTTCCAAACTGATGTAAGATGCTTCTGAGTAATCTATTATGAATTACGACTATTCCACTCTGGCTGGAAAATAGCATTAGGTATAATTTTCTCTAACCCTTTTGGTGTTTTTTTTCCTCAGCCTTAGGTAGTTTCTTCACGCATATGCACTCCACTGGGTACTCAAAGACATTTTTTTCCAGCTCTTCAACAGTTTTTCTATATGCAGCTCTATTTTTTTTTCTAATTCTCTGTCCTTTAAACACTAGTTACCTTAGTCTCCTTAGATTATTCTATAAATTTTAAATCATTCTTTAGGACTTCCTTTGTGTTCTGACTTGGCTCCTCTCCTGGCATCACAGTTGGTATACTCTCTCAAGTAAGTAATACAGAGCAATTTTTGGGGTTGCGTCATTTGCTTTCATTTCTAGGGACCACTGTTCTTGCCTGATGTTTAATCTTGAAAACTATTATTTCATATATTTTGTCTGCTTCTTTTGGTTGTTTCAGAAGCAGGGGGGAGCATAAATTCAATCCTTGTTACTTCATTTATGGAAGAAAACTTCCTTCTTTACTTTTTAATATCTATGTGCCCTCATATAAGTCACATCACTTTCAGCATAACAGTTTCTGTTTCGCAGCTATAAAGAACAATACAAGCAAGAATCTTACATATTAAATATATGTTACACAGAACATAAAATAGAAATATAAACTCATTCTTAATACTACTATTTCCTTAAATCAGAAATTTCTGGAAAGTGTTAATATTTCTCTTTACACAATATTAACAAAGCGTTAGTCAGAATTGAGAATTATTAAACATAATTACAATATGTAAGTATCTAAATAATCTCAAAACATTGGTGAGAATTAAAACAACTCTATGCTATAAGGCAAGTAAATTTAATAAAATTATTATGGAGACCAATAAATACTATATCAGCTTAAAATGTTTATAAATTTTGAGCCAGAAATTTTAAGTTCAGGATATTTTCCTAAAGGAATAATCAGAAATTACCAGAAAGATGAATCTATAAGGATGTTAGGCATTGCTCTTTACAATAAAATGTGTTTACTTTCCACTAAGTATCTGAAGTAGGAGTCTGTGTAAATAAATACTGGCCCATTAATTGGATGAATAAGATGAACTGGATTTCAATATTCTATAGCCATTAAAGATCGTACTCAGTGGCATAGAACTTCAGCTTATTATTAGCTAAGTTCCAAAATTGTTATTGTATGCCTTGAATTGTTCCAGAAGTTGCATACTAAAATATTGAGTGTGATTATCTCTGAATGGTCTAATTATGATTAGATTGTTTTTTCTTCACTAAATTTCATACTTTGTAATATTTCAAAAATTTACGTATATTATTTCTATAACCAGAAACCAAGTATATAAGACAAATGGGCAAGCAGTTTTTCACCTATAGTTTGAAAATGAATAAAAATTTATTATTAAAAATTGAGCCCTTCAGATATGAAGCAAATAATCCATTGATGTTTGAAGACCATGCTCTGGAAGAGAAAGTCCTAATGTCAAGCCTCAACCCTGGCTCTTGAATTTTGTACTTAGCTTCACTCAACCTCTGCTTGCTCATTTGTACCTTGGGATATAATGGCTTCATTATACATTACTGGTGTGGATGAAGATAATATAACAAACATTTGACTTAGAGAGCATTCTCAAAACATAGTACATACTATTATTGAAAGATTCAAACCATCACCAGGATTTGGCTTGAGTCAACATCTTTTCAGACCATTTGTACAAGTAGGAGTTTCCAAAGAAAAAGAATCCATTATATATGTACATGTATGTCTACCTGTATATATAAATATATGTGTATATATGTATATGTATACATATGTAAATATATATACATACATATCTATTTATATGTGTACCTATAGTTAGAGAGAGGAGAGAGATATTGGTTTATTGTAGCAAATTGGTTCATGTGATTATGGAGGCTGGCAGGTCTGAAATCTGTATAGCAGTTTTTTAGGCTGTATACTTAGGCAGGATTTTAAGATACAGTATTGAATCAGATTTTTTTCTTCTCTAAGAAAGCGCAGTATTTTCTCTTAACACTAAACTGATTGTATCCAACTGATTGATGAGTCCTACCCACATTATCAAGGGCAATCTCCTTTATTTAAAGTCCACTGATCATACACGATTGCTAACTAAATCTACAAAATACTGTCACAGCAACACCTAGATTGGCATTTGATTAAATAACTGGCACTATAGCCTAGCCAAGTTGACACATAAGAATAGCATCTCATCTTTCATTATGAATCTTCTCAGGAGAGGAAGGTCTGGAAGAACAGTTTCTGCACTATCTCTTTAAAAAATAAGCACTTATTAAAAGTGTTATTTTAATTCAAACTTCTGTCTTAATTTTTTCTTTAAAAAGAGTCTAATATCTCAAAGGTAATTAGAAAAATTAGTTTGAGATTTTTCCTAAAGCAGATTAAAACTTATTCAGAACCCAGAGAATACTACATTAGAATACACAAGTGATTACCATATACAAAGGAAATAGGAGGAAAAGGAAGTTTCAAGTCAAATATGATGAAGAAATCTGAGGTAAATTAATAAAATTTCATTCAACTATGGCTGTTGTAACAAATTGCCACAGACTTGATGGCTTAAAAATAATCAGTTGATTTTATCACAGTTCTGAAGGCCAGAAGTCAAAAATCAGTATCACTAGGCTGAAATTAAGGTGTTGACAGGAGCAGTTTTCCTCGAAAAGCTCTAGGGGACAATCTATTTTTTGCCTCTTCCAGCTTCTGCTGACTGCTGGCATTCCTTGGCTTGTGGCCACATCATTCCAATCTCTGCCTCTCTGTTCAATAATCTTAATCTTTTTTTTTTCTTTTCTTCTATTTTTTTTTTTTTTTTTGAGGCAGGGCAGAGTGTCTCACTCTGTTGCCCAGGCTGGAGTGCAGTGGTGTGAACATGGCTCACTGTAGCCTCAACTTCCTGGGCTCAGGTGATTCTCCCACCTCAGCCAAATAACTGGGACTACAGGCATGGACCACCACAACCAGCTACTTTTTTGTGTTTTTTGTAGGGATAGAGCTTCACTGGGTTACCCAGACTGGTCTCAGCAATCCTCCAGCCTCAGCCTCCCAAAGTGCTGGGATTACAGGTGTGAGCCACCATCCTGGCTACCTTTTTTTTTTCCTTTTGTATATAATCTTCCTCTGCTTCTCTTTTGCAAAGATACTTTTGATTGTATCTAGGACCCACCTGGATAGTCCAGAATAGTTTCCCTATCTCAAGATTCTTAACTTAGTCACATCTGCAAAGATCCTTTTTCTAATATAAGGAAACATGTATAGATTCTGTCATTAGGACTTCATATCTTTGGTAACCATTATTTCATCTACTGCGTAGTTTTATTCATTAGTTACTGCAATAAAAGTATTGTAACACAAATAGAATCAAAATCTCAGTTATTGTGTTTCAACTAATTTCCACATAACCTGGCCAGGTTAGACTGATGCTAGACTTCATTGCCTTCAGTGTGTATGCTGCATCATGAGTCTACCTAATAAATGCCAAGAATCCCCAGGCTTCTTTTCCAGCACAGCTATGAAAAAAAACTTCTTGTGTTTGAACCCAGGTAGAACACATTTCTGAAGAAATTGAACTACACTGTAGAAAAGACATATGGAAAATAACATTTTTGTGTTTCCAATGAAAAACCCAGTTGTTAACTAATTATTTGTTAAACCAATCAGTTAACATACACTACTCACACAGAATTTCTAATCAGTATTTTAGAACTTTACTCTTTAAAACATGGGCACATTGATTGTAACAAATATATCATTGTGGTGCAGGATGTTGATCGTGAGGAAGGCTGTGCGTGCATGAGACGGGGGTAGATGGGAACTCTGTACTTTTTGTGCAATATTGCTGTGAACCTAAAACTGCTTTAAAAATTAAAGATATTATTTTTTAAGTGAACAGTCAGCCAAAACTCTCTAGTCATTAGAATAAAGACTTGATGAAAGATAGACCTTAAGGAAGAATTAAGATCAAGTAAAATGAAGACAATTTAAAATAATCAATTAATATCCTCATAGAGATGTTTAATATTCCATGAAAGATCTTTCATATTCCATGAAAGAATAAATGTATGTTAAAATAAGAACAACTAGAAATCTAGTAAGATAGTCATGGAAATTAAAAATAATATAATTGAGTTTAATAAAAATAACCAAATTTTAGAAGATAAAGGGAAACAAATTTTTCACAATGTAGAATATAAATATAAACTGAGTGTTAATAGACAAAGCTCTATATTCTCTAGAGTATGTCTATGATGAGAGAAGAGAAAAAATGTAGCAAAGAAACTAGTGAAGAGGAAATGTCTCACTAAAGAAGACATTATTTTTTTAGGTTAAAAAGACCTATCAAGTGCCTCACAAAAGGAAAAAAAAAAAGGCCTGATAGGCTTATTGAATGCATACCCAGAAATTGAGGGCTAAGGAAAGAATATGTCTTGTCAATTGAGAAGGAAGAAAGATCTTAGATAACGTGTCTCAATCTTTCTGAAGAGCTAGATGTTTTGTTCTGCGAAAAGTGCTTTGTTCCTTGAACTTGGATTAGAACATATTCTTAGGAAAAAAAAAAAACAAAAAACTTCTGACATTCAGCCTCTCAATGTCAAGGCAGCAATAAACCCTGTTCCAGTAAGTAGAAAAATGAATGAAATTTCTTGTCCCTTATGTAACACAAAGGCATATATATAATAACAATAATTCTTGCTGAGAGGCTGTGAGGCAGGGGAAAGTTTCTCACAGAGAGGAGGACTTCCCTTGTTATTCAAATCAGTGTATAACAATATGGGGGAGACCACCAAAAATGATGTTATTAAGAGTAATAAATTGAACTCCATTTTTAGTGAAATACTTCAAAATATCAAACCAGTGTTTTGCTATGTATCTTTCAACACCCCCCCTTTTCACTACATGAATGCTTTTCTTGTTTGTCTTTTTAAATATCTTTTATTTTCTTAAATTGACAGATATAATTGTTTTACTGTGTACAACATGATGTGTTGAAGTACATATACAATGTGGAATGGTTAAATCTAAGTTACTCTTAAATGAATTACCTTACCTTGTTATCATTTATGTGGTAAAAGCATGTAATTTATATTCATTGTCTTTACACTTTTTAAGAATATATCATCATTAACTCTAGTCTCCTTGCTGTAATACAGCTATCTTGAAAATTTTTCCTCCTCTCTAACTGTAATTATGTATCCTTTAACTAACATTTTCCAATGTTTGCATTCCCCCTAACCACCCAGCCTCTGGCAACTACCTTTCTACTCTACTTCTGTGTAATCAACTTTATTAGATTCCAATAAGAGTGAGATCATATGGTAGTTGTCTTTCTGTGTCTGGCTTATGTCACTTAACACAATATTCTCCAGGTTCATTCATGTTGTCACAAATTGCAGGTTTTCGTTCATTTTGGGGGCTAAACAATATTCCATTTTGTATATATATCACATTTTTTTTGTCTATTCATTCACTAATAGACACCTTGATTGATTCTATATCTTTGTTATTTTGAATAGTACTGCAACAAACATGGAAGTACAGATATGTCTTCAATGTACTGATTTCAATTCCTTAGGATATATATTTAGTAGTGGGATTGCTGGATCATATGCTGGTTCTATTTTTGATTTTTTTTTTTGAGAAATCTTCATGCTGTTTTCCATAATGAGTGTATTAATTTACATTCCTACCAATAGTATATAAGGATTTCACTTCCTTCACATTCTCACCAGTACTTATCTTTTGTCTTTTTGAGAATGGCCATTCTAACAGATGTGAGATGATCATTGTGGTTTTAATTTGCATTTCCCTGGCCATTAATGATGTTGAACGTTTTTCTATATACCTGTTGGCCTTTTGTATATTTCATTTTGAGAAATGTTTGTTCAAATCTTTTGCCCATTTTTAATTGTGTTATTTCTTTTTCTCTTTTTTCTTTTTTTTCTTATTGAGTAGTCTGAGTTTCTTAGACATTTTTTATATTAACCCTTTGTCAGACTTGTAATTTGCAAATATTCTCTCTTATTCAGTAGGTTCTTTTCATTCTGTTGATTGCTTCCCTTGCTGTGCAGAAGCTTTTAAGTTTACTGTAATCCCATTTGTCTAATTTTGCTTTTGTTTATTGTGCTTTTGATGTCATATCCAAAATTTCCTTGTCCAAACTAATGTGATAAAGCATTTCTCTATTTTTTTATTAGTTTCAAAATTTGGTGTCTTATATTTGAGTCCTTAATCTATTTTGAGTAAATTTTTGTATATGGTGAGAGATACGAGTTCAATTTGATGGGTGCTGCAAACCACTGTGACACATGTATACCTATGTAATAAAGTTGCGCGTTCTGCACATGTACCCCAGAACCTAAAGTATAATTAAAAAAAAAATTTAAATCATCCCTCTAGGGCTGGGCCAATGGCTCATGCCTGTAATCCCAGCACTTTGGGAGGCTGAGGCAAACTGCTTGAGGCCAGCCTGGGCAACATAGTGAGATGCTGTCTCTACAAAAGATTTAAAAATTAGCCAGGCCTGGTGGTTTGTACCTGTAGTCCCAGCTACTCAGGAGGCTGGATCAGGGAGATCACTTGAGCCCAGGAGTTTGAGGCTGCAGGGAGCTGTGATCATGCCACTGCACTCCAGCCAGGGAAACAGAGTGAGATCCTGTCTCAAGGAAAAAAAAAAAAAAAAAAAAAAAAAAAGCATCCCTGTAGGAAGACAGTCTGGTCAACGCTCTTTCCTTGGCACTGTATTTTTTCCAAGTGGAAACCCAGTGTATGTGTATTCATTTCCTGTTGTTGTTGCAACAAATTAACTAGTATACCAACTCAGTGGCTTATGACAGCAAAAGTTGATTATCTTAACGGTTCTGGAGGTCAGAAGTCCAAAATGGGTCTCGCTGGGCTAAGTTCAAGGTGTCAGTGGGGCTCTGTTCCTTCCAGAGGCTCTAGAGGAGAATGTGTTTCCTTGCATTTTTCCAGTGTTGAGAGAGGCTGCCTGTCTTCCTTGATGCCCTTCCTCCATCTTAAAAAAAAAAAAAAAAAGAGTTCAGTTTGATTCTTCTGCATGTGAATATCCAGTTTTCACGTTTCCATTTATTTATTTATTTTTATTTATTTATTTATTATTATTTTATAGAGACAGGGTCTCCTTGTGTTGTCCAGGCTGGTCTCAGCAATCCTCCCATATCTGCCTCCCAAAGTACTGGGATTACAGGTGTGAGCCACCATGCCCAGACACATCTCTATTTATTGAAGAGACTGTTATTTCCCCGTTGTGAGTTTTTGGCACCTTTGTCAAAAATCAATTGGCTCTAAGTACATGGATTTATTTCTGGGCTCTCTATTCTGTTTCACTGATCTAAGTGTCTGTTTTTATGTTGATATTATGTTGTTTTGGTTACTATAGCTTTGTAGGATACAGTGAGTCCTCACTTAATGTTATAGATAGGTTCTTGGTAACTGTGACTTCAAGCTAAACAATGTAGAACAAAACTAATTTACCATAGGCTAATTGGTATACACAGTTATGTTCTTACAATATATTTCCCATTACAAAAACATCACCAAACTTCTAAATAAGGATCGAAAACACTTCTAATATTAAACATTAAAGTAAGTGTGAGTTATATGTACACTTATGAAAGAATAATAAAAATAAGTAAAATAATTATTTACCCAATTTTTGGTGAGTCAGTGAGTGATGGCAGTGATAGTGGTGATGGATTAAATCAAGGAGTAAGTGTTTGCAAAGTGAAAATTCTAAGGAGTACCTCCTCCCATCACAGTTTGAAAACGAATAATAGCAAATATGGCAAGATCACTGAGTCCTTTCATGCCACATCATTTATTGTCATGCAGTTGGATGATGACTGTATGCTTTACGGATTTTATTTTACAATAATTTTTATTTATTCACTTATTCATTTTCTAACCTGCTTATTCCCATTCAGGGTCACAGGTGGCCAAACCCTGTCTTGGAAGCTCAGGGCCAAGGCAGAAACCATCCCTGAACCGGACACCATTCCATCACAGCGTGTATTCACAAGCCCATAATTACTCATAATGGCACAATTTAGATATGCCAATTAACCTAACATGCACATTTTGGGGATATGGGAGGAGACTAGTGTACCTTGAGAAAACTCATGCAGACATAAAGAGAACATGTAAAGTTTACATAAACAGTGTAGAGTTCTGGCATCAGCTGGAAATATAGATTTTTTCCTCATTAACATTATAATGCAATAACATTAAATGAAATGATGTTATTCAAGGACCTACTGTACTTTAAAGTCAGACAGTGTGATGCCTTCAGCTTTGTTCTTTATATTCAAAATTGCTTTGAATATTTAGGGTCTGGTAATTTTGAACAGATTTTAGGATAGTTATTTCTATTTCTATGAATAATATCATTGGTATTTTGATAGATATTGCATTGAATTTGTAGATAGCTTTGGGAGGTATGGACCATTTTAATTATATCAATTCATTCAATAAATGAATATGGAATATCTTTTCATTTATTTTGTCTTTTCAATTTATTTCATTAATGTTTTACAGTTTTAATTATACAAACCTTTTACCTTTTTTGTTAAATTTATTTTTAGGTATCTGACTTTTTTTGTAACTATTGTAAATGATTTTGTTTATTTCTCTTTCAGATAGTTTGTTATTAGCACAGAGAAATGAGTTTCAAATGTTAATTTTGTAATCTGCAAAATTACTGAAATTGTGTATTAGTTTCAACAGCTTTATAGTGGAATGTTCAGGGTTCTCTATATATAATATCATGCCATCAGACATAATGGCAGTTTAACAACGTCTATACCAATTTGGATGCCTTTTATTTCTTTTTCTAGCTTAATTATTCTGACTAGGACTTCCCATATTAAGTTGACTAGAAGTGGGGAAAGTGGACATCCTTTTCTTATCCCAGATGTTAGAGGAAAAGTTTTCAAATGTTCCCTCTTCAGTATGATGTTGGCTGTGGGTTTGTCATCTATGGCCTTTATTGTGTTGAGATACATTTTTTTCTGTAACTACTTTGGTGAGAGTTTTTGCCGTGAAGCAATTTTGAGTTTTGTCAAATGCTATTTCTGCTACGATTGTAATGATTATATGGCTTTTGTCCTTCATTCTGTTAATGTAATGTATCACATTTACTGATTGACATATATTGAACCATCCTTGCATCCCTGTTATAAATCCCACTTGGTAAATAATCCTTTTATCATGGATTGAAATAATCCTTTTAATGTGTTATTAAATTCACTTTGCTAGCATTTTCTTGAGAATTTTTGCTCCTGTGATTATCAGGAATATTTGAGTGTAGTTTTATTTCTGTTGTTGTTGTTTCCTTTTCTGATTTTGGTATCAGGGAGATGCTGGCCTCATAGAATGAGTTTGGAAAAACTCCCTACTTTTCAGTTTTTTGGAATAGTTTGTAAAGAATTGGGATTATTTCTTCCATAAATCTTTGGTAGAATCCAGCAGTGAAACCATCAGGTACTAGGCTTTTCTTTTTTGTTTTGTTTTGTTTTATGGGGGACTTTTTATTACCAGTTTCATCTTATTTCTGGTTATTGGTTACAGATCTGTTCAAGTTTTCTATTTCTTCATAGTTCAATCTTGTTGGGTTGTATGTGTCCAAATATTTATCCATTTTCTTTATGTGTTCTAAATTGTTGGCATGTAATTGTTCATAATAATCTCCTATGATCATTGTATTTCTTTGGTATCAGCTGTAATATCTCCTTCTTTATCTCGGATTTTATTTAGATCTTCTCTCATTTTTTCTCAGTCTAGCTAAAGTTACGTTGATTTTGTGCAGTTTTACTCAAATGTTGCTTTGCTGTTTCTCTGTCTGGATGATTTGTCTATTACTGAAAGTGGGGTGTCAAAGATTTCTACTATTATTGTACTGCAATATATCTCTCCCATTAGATCCATTAACATATGCTTTAAATATTTTAGGTGCTTTGGTGTTGGGTGTTTATATATTTACATTGCTTTATCCTTTTGTAAATGGACACCTTTATCATATAATGACTTTTGAAGTCTTAATACAGTTTTTGGCAAAGTTATTTTATCTGATATAACTATAGTTACTCCTGTGCTCATTTAGTTTCCATTTGAAAATAATGTATTTTTACATCCCTTTACTTTCAGTTTACATGTGTTCTTTACAGGTAAAGTGACTCTCTTTTAGGCAGTATATATAACTGGCTTATTTATTTTTTAAATCCATTCAGCCACCGTATGTCTTAGTTGAAAAATTTAATCTACTTACATTCAAATTATTGATAGGTAAGGACTTGCTACTCTAATTTTGTTATTGGTTTTCTAATTGTCTTGCATATGATTCTCTCTTTGTTTCTTCCTTACTGTCTTCCATTATGGTTAAGTGATTTTCTCTAGTAGTATGATTTGATTCCTTGCTTTTTATTTTCAGTGCATTTATTTCATGTTTTGGTTTTGTGGTTACAATGAGGATTGCAAAAAGTTTAGTTATAAAAGGTTATTTCAAACGAATGACAACTCTGATTGCAACTTTTTTTAAGTGAGAGTAAGCTCTACTTTTTAACTCCACTTCCTGAGTCCTGCATTTTTCATGTCGTAATTTCTATCTTTTTATGCTACATACCTCTCAGCAAATTGTTGCAGTTATTATTTTTAAAAGTTTTGTCTTTCAGTTTTCATGCTAAAGATATAAGTGATTTACACACAACAATGAGATTATTAGTATATTCATAATTTGACTAAGTACTTTCACCAGTAAGTTACATACTTTCAGATGTTATGTTACTTACTAGCATCCTTTTCTTTCGTCTTGAAGAATTTCCTTTAGCATTTCTTATAATACAGGTTTAGAGGTGATTAACTCCTTCAGATTTTGTTTATTCAAGTCTTTACCTCTCCTTTATTTCTGAAGAACAGTTTGAGTATATTATCCCATTGTTTCCTGGACTGTGAAGTTTTGACTAAGAAGCCTGCTACTGGGCATACTGGGACTCCCTAGTATGTTTGCTTTTTTTCTTTTGCTTCTTTCAAAATTCTGTCTTTGCCTGGGATCTGTGATATTTTGATTATAATGTCATGAGGTAGTCTTATTTGGATTGAATCTTATTGGAGGCCCTTGACCTTTCTGTACCTGGATATTTATATATCTATCTATATTTGAAAAGTTTTCTAATACTATTTCTTTAAATAAATATCCTACCCATTTCTTTTCTCTACTCCCCTTTAATCAGATTGATCCATAAATTTGCTCTTTTTATGTTTTGCATAAATCCCATAAGCTTTTTTATTCCTTTAAATTATTTTCTCTGTTTTCTCCTCTGACTGTGTATTTTCAATCAACCTGTCTCTGAGTTTAAAAATTATTTCCTCCATTTAATCAGTTCTGCCATTGATGCTGTCTAGTGTAATTTTCACTTTGCTCACTGTAATTTTTAGCTCTAGCATTTCTGTTTTTATTATGTATATTTCTTTGTTACATTTTTTTCTGAAAAATTACTGTTTCTTTTTGTTCTTTTGAAGTCCACTGAGCATCCCTAAAACAACTACTTTGAATTACTTGTCAGGCAGTTCATCTATGTCCATCTCTTTAGGGTGAGTGACTGGCACTTTATCACATGAACTTGTTGACATTGTCTTTCACTGATTGGTCTTGATCCTTGTATCCAGGTGCCAATTTTTGTGCATTGATGTAGGTATCTAATCAAGTCTTGACAATCTGGCTTTATTTGGAAGACTCTTTTAGCAGTCAGCTTGACCAGAATTTCAGGGCACATTGACTGGTGACGTCTTTAAGCACGTTACTACTTCTTCTGGTGCCAGTGTTGATGGCTGTTGTGAAACCTTGGTTCTTATCTTCTTAATTTAAAAGAATTTAAAGAAGAGTCACACAGCAAAGGAGATACAGCATAAAGCAATTTATTGCAAAGGAGAAGGAATATTTTGAAAGCTAGGTGCAGAATAGATAGTATACCCTGAGAGAGGATTCAGGGTTTGTTGCTCATAAGGATGAGACACCAAAAAATGGCACTGGGGAGACTCCCTTCATGGGAGCCTTACATGATTATTCATAAGTGGGTGGGAAGAGGTGATACTACTAAGCATGTGCTGGGTGATCCTCTGGGTGCACACACACAGCAGCTGTACATGTTTGTTTGCATATAGCATCTCAGTAGCACCTTTGCTCTCCACCCAGGGGTGTGTTTTTTACTATTATAATGACCAAAGGGTCAGACTAAGGACAGGTAAAATCAAAATGTGCATTCTCTCTACCGGGGAAATTCTCTCTGGAGATAGCTTTGCTTGAATGAGATTAACTATAATGCAAATGCTGAGGCTTAGTGTGTTGATTATACAGTCACCATGGTTGCCACATCCCTAGCACATGGTTACTTCCTTGACTATGTATCCTGCCTCACCAGGGTCATGAGTCCTGTTTGGCACCAGGAAGGATATAGTGGCTTCTTTTACATGTAATGGCCTAGTATAAGGAGCTATAGGATTCTGCCCAGTGCTGAGTTTTTCAGTGGCTGGCCCAATGTTGGGGTCCAAGCCAAAGGCCTATGGTTACTTTCCTTCCCCCAAGTTGATGGTGTATCTCTCTATGCTGTGCTGCCTAAAATTGGGGCAGGGATGTTGTGGATAATGCAGAACTGTACTTTCTACCCTGCTTAATGCATCTCATCTTATTATTATGCTAAGACCAGATACTTTGATCTTTCACCTAGTTTCCTTAACTCTTATGAATTTATTTGTGTGTGTGGATAGTTGTCATACTGATGTTTCTGTTAAGAAGCAATAACTGGAGAGTTCTCCTGTGACTTCTCGGTCTGTTCCTCTTTGAATGAATGCTTTTAAAGTAAAGATGAGTATATTTTACATCTGTCATAAAATATCTTTACCTTTCAATATAATGATACAAATTTATACTTACTATATTGACCCGATTGATAACTAGAGAGCTTCTCTCTAGATTTCTTCCTGGAGAGAGATAGGAATAGCCTATTTTTAGCAGACAAGATATGAATGGGCTTTTCTTTTCTTTTTCTTTTTACTCTTTACACACCTAATACTTGAAGAAACTAAATAGGCAACATAAAATGATACACTACAAACAAATAATCATATCACTTGTTATGAGAATTTCACATTTAGCACATATTCTCTTAAAAGGAAATAGGTAAAAGCCAACATTTCCAACTACAGGGAAAGATATATATTTAAAAGCATCTGCTCTTTGAGAATTTTACATCGGATTATATTTTAAATAGCAAGTAACGACAATTTAAAAAAGTTACTCCAATGTGGTAAATAGTAGGGTGTTTACTTGACGACTTATTTATTCACAATCTTTATTAATCTTCTTTGAGGTGCTAATTACTTTGCCATGGATTGTATGCTTTTTTTTTTTTTTTGCACTTTCACAAAACTCTTAAAATACTGAAGAATCGAAAAAGATAGCTGTACTTTTTATAAATCAAAACAGTAAATTCAGTGATCATTTGCTCTTTGATAAAATGAAAGTCAAATATAATAGCTTGGGGTTTCAGTAGAACAATAAACCTGTACTATTCAACAAAGTCAGTAAACAGTATTATACTTAAATGAAGGATTCATATCATTCCTATTGCATTTTTACTTTGGCTTTGAGATGAGATAACTTTTAATGATTTTTCAAAAAATTTACAGAAAGTGAGGTAGTAGAAGAGAATAATAAAGATTTACGGAAGTTAAAGTTCAAAGCTATAAAAACATTACTTTTACCAGTTTACTTTCTTTTTTAGAATAATGTTTCAAAAGCAAAATCAGTGGGTTAGAGGTCAGCTTTGTTTTGAATAGTCAAATGCATGGCCACATAATTTCTTAAAAATCTAGTACAGATTCTATTGAAGGTAACATAGAAGTTAGTGAGTGATACATATTTAAAATCTGAGATTAGACTTTTGTTTCAAGAGAAAAAAATAGGCAGAGACATTTTTCCTCATACAGAAATTAAAAAGAAATAAGTAAATTGAGTGAGAAAAGTAAGAAAACAACATGAATTTAATTAACTGGGGAAAAGGCAACCCTTAGTTTTTTCAAAATTTTGGATTTCTAAGTCAGTGTGGAATTAAGGACCCATGAATTACTTTATATATTGCAGAATGAAGAGTATTTGTTTACTATAATAATTTAAGGTATTGAAAGAAGAAGAAGAATATATAATGGGACAAAATGTCTTAATAATTTAATTTGCATTTGAGACATTGAATTTACTCTTTTCTTTACATCTCTTTCTGCCATATATGCCTTTATGTGCTCTGAAACAGTAAGGGGTATTAACACAATAAAGTAAATAATGTGAATGAACATAGGAGAAAAGATTAGACTGGTTATATATGTGAGTTCTGATTTAAAAAATTTCTAAAGTCATACACACATTGTTAACTATATATGTTTTGTCTTATTCTTGTAAAAAATAGTATTTTGTAAAGAAGGTTTTCTGTACTTTTTAGTTTAAGAATTGATGACAATACATAAGAATATGTTCCGTTTAGGCACATAGTCTTAGTTTCTTAGATTTCTTTAAATGATGAAGGGTAGCATTGATATTGTTTGGCTGTGTCCCTACTCAAATCTCATCTTGAATTGTATTCCCAAAATTCCCATGTGTTACAAGAGGGACCCGAAGGGAGATAATTTGAATCATGGGGGATGTTTCCTGCAGACTCTTCTCATGATAGTGAATAAGTCTCATGGGATCTTATGGTTTTATCAGTGGTTTCCCTTTTGCATCTTTCTCATTTTCTCTTGCTGCCACCATTTAAGAAGTCCCTTTTACCTCCCGCCATGATTCTGAGGCCTCTCCAGCCATGTGGAACTGTAATTCCAATTAAACCTTATTTTCTTCCCAGTCTCGAGTATGTCTTTATCAGCCAGCAGCATGAAAATTGACTAATACAGTAAATTGGTACCAGTAGAGTGGGGCACTGCTGAACAGATATCTGAAAATATGGAAGTGACTTTGGAACTGGGTAACAGGCAGAGGCTGGAACAGTTTGGAGGACTCAGATGAATACAGGAAAATGTGGAAAAGTTTGAAACTTCCTAAGACTTGTTGAATGACTTTGCCCTAAATGCTGATAGTAATATGGACAATAAAGTCCAGGTAGAGGTGGTCTCAGATGAAAATGAGAAACTTGTTGGGAACTGGAGCAAAGGTGACTCTTGTTAAGTTTTAGCAGAGAGACTGGCAGCATTCTGCCCCTGCCCTATAGATTTGTGGACTTTTGAACTTGAGAGAGATGATTTAGGATATCTGGCAGAAGAAATTTCTAAGTAGCAAAGCATTCAAGAGGTGAGTTGGGTGCTGTTAACAGCATTCAGTTTTATAAGGGAAGCAGAGCACAAAAGTTCAGAAAATTTGCAGCTGGACAATGTGATAAAAAAGCAAATCCCATTTTCTGTGGAGAAATTCAACCCTGCTGCACAAATTTCCATAAGTAACAAGGAGCCAAATGTTAATCCCCAAGACACAGGGGGAAAATGTCTCCAGAGCATGTCAAAGATCTTCACGGCAGCCTCTCCCATCACAGGCCCTAAGGCCTAGGAGGAAAACGTGGTTTCGTGGGCTGGGCCTAGAGTCCTCATGCTGTGCGCAGCCTAGGGACTTGATGCCCTGCATCTCAGCTGCTCCAGCCATGGTTGAAAGTGGCCAACGTAGAGCTTGGACCATGGCTTCAGAGGGTGCAAGCCTCAAGCCTTGGCAGCTTCCACATCGTGTTGCAACTCCCAGTGCACAGAAGTCAGGAATTGGGTTTTGGGAACCTCCGCCTAGATTTCAGAAGATGTATGGGAATGCCTAGATACTCAGGCAGAAGTTTTCTTCAGGGGCCGGGCTCTCATAGAGAACCTCTGATAGGGCAGTGCAGAAGGGAAATGTGGGGTTGGAGCCCCCACACAGAGTGCCTACTGGGGCACCGCCTAGTGGAGCTGTGACAAGGCCACCGTCCTCCAGAACCGAGAGTGATAGATCCACCTACGGTTTGCAGTGTGTGCCCGGAAAAGCCACAGACAATGCCAGCCCACAAAAGCAGCCGTGAGGGAGGCTGTACCCTGCAAAGCCACAGGGGTGGAACTGCCCAAGACCATGGAAACCCACTTCTCGTGTTAGCAGGACATGGACGTGAGACCTGGAGTCAAAGGAGATTATTTTGGATTAAGGCTTGACTGCCCCGCTGAATTTTGGACTTGCATGGGGTCTGTAGCCCCTTTGTTTTGGCCAACTTCGCCCATTTCGAATGGCTGTATTTATCCAATACCGGTACCACCATTGTATCTAGGACGTAACTAGCTTTCTTTTGATTTTACAGGCTCATAGGCAGAAGGGACTTGCCTTGTCTTAGATGAGACTCTGGACTATGGACTTTTGGGTTAGTGCTGAAATGAGTTAAGACTTTGGGGAATTGTTGGGAAGGTATGATTGGTTTTCAAATGTGAGGACATGAGATTTGGAGGGACTAGGGATGGAATGATATGGTTTAGCTCTTTGTCCCCACCCAAATCTCATCTTGAATTGTAACTCCCACAGTTCCCACATGTTGCTGGAGGGACCTGGTGGGAGATAATTTGAATCACGGGGGCAGTTTCCCCCCAATTTTTCTTGTGGTAGTTAATAAGTCTCATGGGTTTTTTGTTGTTTTTTTTTTTTTTTTTTGAGACGGAGTCTGGCTCTGTTGCCAGGCCGGAGTGCCGTGGCGCGATCTAGGCTCACTGCAACCTCTGCCTCCCAGGTTCAAGTCATTCTCCTGCCTTAGCCTCCTGAGTAGCTGGGATTACAGGCACATGCCACCACACCTGGCTAATTTCTGTATTTTTTATTAGCGACGGAGTTTCACCATGTTGGTCAGGCTGGTCTCAAACTCCTGACCTTATGTCCGCCCGCCTTGGCCTCCCAAATTGCTGGGATTACAGGCGTCAGCCACTGCACCCAGCTGATCTGGTGGTTTTATTAGGGGTTTGTGCTTTTGCATCTTCCTCAGTTTCTCTTGCTGCCACCATGTAAGAAGTGTCTTTCACTTCCCTCCATGATTCTGAGGCCTCTCCAGCCATGTGGGACTGTAAGTACAATTAAACCTCTTTTTCTTCCCAGTCATGGGTATGTCTTTTTCAGCAGTATGAAAATGGACTAACACAAACATCTTAAAAATGGTGAGTCAGAATTAAATATATATGATTTTACTTTAAAAATTACGCTAAAAGCTAGATGTGCTGGCATATGCCTGTAGTCCTAGCTACTCATGAATCAGAGGTGGGAGGATTGCTTGAGCCCAGCAGTTCAAGTCTGCAGTGATTGCTTCATTGAACTCTAGTCTGGGTGACAGAGCAAGACCTCCTCTCTAAAAATAAGTAAATAAATAAATATTTTTAAAAATACCACTATCAAAATGTGTAACACCTCAAATATGTCTTTATTGCCAACGGCAAATTACCAAACCTATACCTTTTGTAATCTTACTTTCCTAATAATTTAAACTGAATTCTAGCATATTTTATTGATATGATTACCTGAAAAACTGGTGTTTGTTGGCCTGCTGAGTAACAATAACACTCCACAAGAATTGCAGGTTTTGAACAAAAGGACTCTTATTGCTTGGCACAAGTAAGGAGAGCACTGGGAGTATTCTCCAAAGCAGTGTCTCTCCAAGCAAAAGTGACAGGAGGGTTTAATGGACAATGGAGAGGGAAAAGCATTCATCACAGCATGTAGTGGAGGGGTCCCAGTTGTATAGATGCAGTGAGTCATTGTGCCAGCACACAGGTCACATGTTACGGTAATGAAGCTATAGCTCCTCCTGGGGTGAAAACCTTAACATGGTAATACAGAAAGTTCACTCAGGTTCATCTGTAGGTGGCTCGGGTTTGTCAGGAACTGATTTCAACTGACTAGGTGACTGCATTTCACATAGGATTTGGGAAAAACAGCCTACAGGGTAAAACAGGGTAAAACAGGTTGATTGCTGAGATTAAATTCTTTCAATCCCTGGAGACCTTCCCTGTCTGTTTAAAGTATACCAAAATAGCAAGTAATCTATTCATTTATTCAATAATGATTGAAAACAAGTTATTTACTAGTCCAGGCACTGGGCAAAATATAGCTCTTCTTTTCAAAAATGTATCACATACTGGGTAAGACAGATAACTACATTTTGAGTTGATAATTACTATGATGATTATAATCAAATATGCATAAGAAAGAGAGCAATAAGAATAAACACTGATAACTATCTGATTTTTTACAAAAGTGTTACTTTTAATGAGTTTGACTGAAAGTTTTTTCTTTTAAACTGGAGTTTCAGCAAAGAGAGGAAGAGAAAAATAGCTCCAAATGAGTTCATCTATTACGAAAATCAACTGTAGAAACAATTCTCCAGAAACCAAAGCTATATTATTGCAAGGGGATAATTTATCATATTTTTTTCAATGGCTTTTTAAGGTCCTTATCAAAATTACATTGTTGTTTGGATTTTTCAAGCTTCTAACTCTGGGCTTATATTCAGGTCAGAACTGAATAACAGTAAGTTATCATCCTTTTAACTGAAGATTATTTTAAAAAATTAAAATGACAAGAAATGTTCTCTTTTCTCTCTCCCTCCTCTTCCCGTCACTGCTTTACTTTATTTTTTCCTTCTCATTTTTTTCTTCTTCTTCTCCTTGTTTTCCCCCTGGAAGGGTAAAGTACATACAAAAGGGTCAAACAAAGTAATTAAAAAATTAAAAAATAAATTCATCTGGAAAAAGTAGAACAACATAAAATTACCACTATAAAGATAATTATTGTTTCCAAATATTAAATATTTACTTTGCTGGCTGTGTCCAGATTTTTTTAAATTATGGATATCTCATGTTTCGTTTATATTTTAAAAGCTAGAGTATTAGAAACTAATGTAAGTCCCTCGTTTTATAAATGAGAAAAAAAAAGAGGCTCCAAAAATATAAATGGTTTATAATGTCAAAGCAAGGCCCAGTTTTCCAAAATTTCACCTACATAGGTCAAGCCTCTTTATTAAAGCCGACTTAGGGCTAGGTGTGGTGGCTCATGACTGTAATTCCAGCACTTTGGGAGGCCGAGGCAGGTGGACTACTTGAGCTCAGGAGTTAGAGTCCTGCCTAGAAAACATGATGAAAGCCAATCTCTACAAAAAAATACAAAAATTAGTGGGCATAGTGGGTGGCATGCACCTGTCATCCCAGCTACTTGGAGAGTTGAGGCTGGAGGATTACTTAAACATGGAAAGTTGAGGTGGCAGTGAGCTGAGATGGCACCACTGCACTCCAGCCTGGGCAACAGAGCAAGACCCTGTCTCAAACAAATTAATAAAAATAAAATAAAATAAAATAAAATAAAAATAATAAAGAGGACTTAGATGACAAAAAGGCAGGAGACATCTGACAAGTCCAGAAAAGGCCATTAGTAGAGCCACATCCTGCTATATATTTATTTAAATATTGTTTTGTTTACCTATATGATGATGTATACAAAATTGAACAGCTAAATAGTTGAAATCATTTGGAATTATGGAAGCCAAACATTCATATTACTAAGTAAATTTTCAGTTTCTCTTTGTGCCTCCAGCTCTTCTTATTCAGTATCTCATATATCATAAGTATGACTTTGCATTAATACATTTTCTGAACTTGATCAACTTCATATTGTAGATAATTCTAAAAATCTATATTCCCAAACCAATCCTTTTTCTCTGTATTTTCCTTCTAGAGACATGTTTTATGGCGGCTGCGCTTTCCTGTCTAAAAAGTACAAAACCAAAGTGAAACAAAATAAAACACAAATGCAAACACAAAACCACCAAAAGCATTTACCTATTCTTATTTTCAGCAGAGTGTGTATGTGTGTGTATATATATATATATATAACATTCAGATAGGTCACCTCTATTTCAACCAATTTCTTCACAAGTCTTTCTCATGAGATCCATTTTTACTACGACTTTAATTTGAGTGTTTTTCTAAGATTGGAAATAAGGTAAGTGATCAGGACAGAAGCAGAAGAGAAATTTGCCAGCATGGGTGTCAGTGTGACTTATTAAGGATATAGCAGAAATCTTCTTCAGTCCCAAGTTCTATTCTACTATAAACACAGTAAAGGCAATTTTCACATTTGCCTTTAGAAATAGATTGTGTAGGAAAGGGGGAAACAAAACCTTTTCATCTACTTGCCCAGGTAGGTTCCCTGACTGGGGTCCTGTGAAATAGACTGACAAAATGCAGATTAACAATAGAGAAAAAAAACAAAACAAAACAGAGTTTATTAACACATGTGGTGCGTACACATGGAAAAAAAATCAGTGATGAGTAACTCAAAGTTATGGTTAGAACTTGGGCTAATATATTGTCTTAACAAAAGCTATGACTTTGTAGAAACATGACCAGACAAAGGAAAGAGGTTTAAGCTCCCAAGGATGGTGAACTGTGGGAAGGTATATAAATATAAGTAATAGAGTAAGGTTTATTTAAATCCATCTCAGCACTCACTTCCCATCTTCTTCATGGCCATAAAACTTCCCTGGGAGATGGGATTTATGGTAGTCCACATTTCTCAGAAGTTTCTGCTTTTAGTCAGTTAAGGGAAGCTCCAAGAAAGGCTTCTTTCTGCCATCTGGTAAATCGCAAATATCTTCAGCTCAAAATAATCCTTATGCCAAAATGGCTTACTTTGGGGTGGCATATGCTGGTCTTCTACAGTGAAAAAAAAAATGGATACAACATGACAACTCAGAATGGCTGTCATGGAGCTTGAAGAAGTAAATAGGCAGAACAGGGTTGGGAATGGTGGCTCACGCCTGTATTCCTAGCACTTGGGGAGGCTGAGGTGAGCGAATCACCTGAGGTCAGGAGTTTGGGACCAGTCTGGTCAACATGCTGAAACCCTGTCTCTACTAAAAATACAAAAATTAGCAAGGCGTGGTGGCAGGTGCCTGTAATCGAAGCTACTCAGGAGGCTGAGGCAGGGAGAATCGCTTAAACCCAGGAGAAAGAGGTTGCAGTGAGCCAAGATTGTGCCACTGCACTCCAGCTTAGGTGACAGAGCAAGACTCTGTCTCAAAAAAAAAAAAAAAAAGAGTAAATAGGTAGAATACCCACAGAGATGAGCATCCTATGGCCAGTTGGCTAACATGACATCAGCCAAGACAGTAGCCCCCTTCTTTAACCGGTATCAGCAATTATAACCTCAGCTTTGCATGCTGAAAAGGTGGCACATGATTAAGATAACCAATTCAACCCTTCTTTAAGGAACTTTTCTTCCTCTTGTAGTTCGATTGAATGCATACACATAGTTGCTTTCTATTTTATAAAAAGAAAAGTTTTAATAGCTTCTATAGAATAAGAGCTATTTAAATGGAGACAGAAGGTATAAGAACTTTGTTTCTTCTTTTCTCTTAACTACAAGCATTTACATAAAAGGATAGATTCAAGTTTTGCAGGCCTGAAATTCATATATTTGGCAACCCTCTTTAAGAAGAAGGAGACAAAATTAAGACTATAGAATTCAACAGGGAACAATATTTATTTAGAATGAGAGAAATGGAGACTTGAGATTCGTGAAAGAAAGAGGCCAAGAAGTTGAATTTTCATGAGCTACATAGTATACCTTCCTCTATTTGGCTGATTCTGCTGTCCCTCAGCAAAAAGCCATGAATGTTAGGTATATTTTATCATATTGTTTCATACTTCTGAACTATTTATTTAACTAAAATACTCTTTTCTAAATCTTGAAAGATATTAGTATCTGGCCGGGCACGGTGGCTCACGCCTGCAATCCCAGCACTTTGGCAGGCCAAGGCGGGCGGATCACAAGGTCAGGAGATCAAGACCATCCTGGCTAACACGGTGAAACCCCGTCTCTATTAAAAATACAAAAAAAATAGCCAGGTGTAGTGGTGGATGCCTGTAGTCCCAGCTACTTGGGAGGCTGAGGCAGGAGAATGGCATGAACCCGGGAGGTGGAGCTTGCAGTGAGCCGAGATTGTGCCACTGCACTCCAGCCTGGGCAACAGAGTGAGACTCTGTCTCAAAAAAAAAAAAAAAAGATATTAGTATCTTCCAATGTATTCATTTTATAATACTCAATGAGATACCAGAGAGCCTAAATAGCTTTATTGATTTTCATATGTTCTCTACTATGGGAAAAACTTAAAGTAGTAATTAATTTCAACAAAAAATCAAGGAGTACTAATGGACTTATTTGTCAGATTTTGATAAAGAAAGGACACACAGTAGGGGTAATACTTTCCCAACACATATACTTCCTTTACATTTTTAGAATAAGTTAAAATTGAAAAATTATTTTACTTGTTAGCTGAACAAAATAAAGATGACTGCTTATGTTAAAAAAAAATCTGGAATACTTGATAGTTTCATGCTGCATGAAATTGAAAGTAAGATCATGTTTTTCCCTCTGATCACCATAATATATTATATACCAATGACAGATCAAAATTATTGATTATTTTGAGATTTTGGTTGTAGAGAAATGAATCATGCAGCCAAGTCTCTATAAATCATCTATATAGTACTATAGTCTAAAGTTTCCCTACTGAGTAGGCAAATGAATTAACCCTACTAATAAGGTAAACATTTAAACAAATAAATGCTGCATTTTAAGAATAGAGGTTTTTTAAAGCTTATCCTTTTTCTTAGATGACTAGTCTTACCTCCCCAAAAATAAATTATAAAATATTTCAAATAACATAAAAAGATATGAAGCTTACTAAAATGTTATCATAACACATATATTTCAGGCTTACAAGTTCGCAGGTAGGTTTTAGAAGATGCTTGCATGGCAGTGATTTTTCTTCCTCCAATTTTACTAAAATAATCACCGGCATTATAGTCACTGAATAACTTGCTAAAATAATGGTATAATAGGGTAAACTTGAATCTTCAAGGGTAGGTCTCACATAGCTCATTTTTTAAAGAAGATGTCCAGGGGATTCTTTTATTTTAATTTTTTATTTCTTCAAATTTATGTATTAATTATTTTTTAAATTGATGTAATAACTTGAATATATTTCCAGGGGATTCTTTTATATGCTTTATGAACCACCATAACAACTATAATCTTGTTGAATTTGATTAATAAACACTTAAAGGTAATTATTTAACTATTTTTTACATTTAGCTACAAATATTGAAATGTAAAATCAATCTTAGTTTAAAAAACAAAGTTTACCAAAGTGCTACAGATATTTGCCAAACCCTTATTTTTTATATTCTTATATACTCATTAGATTATTTTAAGATTCTTATCACTTATAGCTTTGGATATAGAACTCAATAATCAGATTAAAATGAGTTTTTTTCAGGAAGCATGAGAGATATTTAATAATAATGACTGAAAAATTATTATGAAGATCTTCTAATTCATATCATAGACAGCATGATTAAATTAATAATAGTACTGTAGGCAAGATACTATCATGATTTCTAAAAAAAGCAGAGGAAATAAATGATGTTTGACAAAATCTGCCAAGTTTTGATAACATAAACTTAACTATGTAATTTAGAAGGAAAATGGGTTAAGTTTGGAGTTGGCTCATATGAACCATTACTTTATATAGTCAATGGTTTAGCCACAAAGATATATTAGAATAGTATTGCAAACCTCTCTAGGCATATTCAAAGAAGCTATCTGCAAATAACTTACGATTCATAGAATTCAAGTAGAGATGTATTTCCTTACCCATCCATATATTTTTAATCTAACCATCTATTGTCTGTTTCCCATTTCTCCCTTGGCATTGTTAAAGTAAATATAGATGAAAAATAAAAGTTACCTAAAGGTTATTCAATCACAAATATACACAGATTTCCAACATGGAGAGATCAGTGACCTCTGGGTTGGTCTGTGGTCCGTGTCTCAGGATTGAGAAGCAGCACTGAATGCTTTTTGACAGTTTTAGCCCAGTGTAGTCTGTCCTATTCCAGACCCTGGACACCCTTCCTTTGCCAGAATGAGTGTTTCTAGAAAGTAATTTTGGATTGAATTAGAGCTTTCTGAGAGAGACAAAACATACTTTACAGTAGGCAAATTGAATTTCTCTGGTTCAGTGACTTGCTGTGCCACGGCGCCTCTCAAGAAGATTTTCGCATTATTGAGAGCTGGTAGATTTCCTTATAAAATAGCCATAGGCAGCACACACACACTACTCAGAGCATCCTTTGTCTGCCATTTCTCTCAGAAATATTTCTATCTCTCTTTCACATACATACAAAACTATTTAAATGAACCATACAAAGAGATGACATAAATTATTGTATCTTTCTTTGAAAAGAATATGTTTCAAGTGGTTACTAATTCATGCAGAGGTCTCCATGGAAAGGCTTAGCTTCAGTACTTGCTATTGTGGAAATTCAAAGTGTTTTTAATGAAGTGAAATGGAAGGAATATTTACTTATCTCACGTAAAACTATAAATGAAGAATTGGAAACATTTGCATTGACTTGATTAGCAATACTGTGTGGTACCAGCTGCGGGAGATATCTATTTATCTTAATAGTGTGCAAATAAATGGGCCTCTTCTTTTTCATTTTCCCTGTTGGGACATTGCTAAAAAGTATGGACTGATTTGACTTTTAAAAAGATGTTACTTTTAAAATATTTTCATTCATATAAGCCAGAAATTTCTGAGCCAGAATTTTCTTAAGTGTTCAAAGTTTACAGATATAGAAGTTACTTTGGTAGAAATCAGTATCAGAAGAACTGACAGCACTCATAAGAAACAACACCACACATTCCAAGTCTCATTGTTTACTCAAGCATATTTTTTATGACTATAATACTTCCTCATGAAGACAACAAGTTTTGTTTTGTTTCCACAGATAGGGCAAGTGTTTTTTTATTTATGTTTCTTTTATTTTTTTCTGTCAATATTGTCTTTTATTTCTTAAACACCTCATCTAGCTGGTAATTTTGTAGCCACATGACCCCAAGGAAAGCATGTCTTCATACCTTCCTGTCACTTCTACGTGGCATGAGGTTCCACAGTCTAACTTACACTGCTTTCTCCTACATACAATGACGCTTTATATATCTCAGGTAAAATTTCCTGCTAGAAAAAAAAACTGCCAAGGTCATTAGGCAATGAGGAGCATTCATTCTGACATAGGGAAGAGGATGGCATTTCACCAGAAAATACAGAGTTCTCTGTGGTGATTCTTCTCTCAGAGGTCCCCTTAGGCTGGGAGCCCTAGGAGCAGATGTGATCTCAGGCCTGGTTTAAAGAGAACAAAGCCATGGGCGGAAACACCTCCCCTCCATCAGTGAGGCAGCTCCTGCCAGAAGCAGCTTTCTCACCAGGAGGACCCTAGAATTATTGCCAAATTAGAATCTGCCTGGTGAGAAGTCACTGGGCATAAAATCTCCAGTGATTTGGTGCTGTTCACTGAGCAAACCAGAAAGCATATGTGAAGAATTCAGGACAGGGCTTGTGAGCCTGTGCCATAGCCACTAGGGGTGGGGGGCTTGTTGGCTTCCCTCCTAAAAGCGTTTTCTTGGAGTTGCTATATTGTTTGAAACCTCTGGCAAAACTCGGGTATCTGGAACATATGGGTTGGGAAGGTTGATATTATGCACTTTTTCTTTAATTCTGTTTGTCGCAATAGTTTTGTTTGATTGTGTTTTGTGAAGCAGGACAATAACAAAACCATCTGGTTTCTATTTTTCTTTTCCTTTTTTTAAATTTAAATAGGACCTTAAGAAGAAATTTGAAAACACACTCTAATACTTAATATGCCTAGCAAGATATAAAGGGGCTCTATAAATAAAATCACTGTATAAAATAGATTCATTATAGAAATATTTTAACCTTCACTTGAAAGAAGTAACATAACATTCAGGGGTTTTGCCTTAAATTATAAAACTTATTGGTGTAACCCCCGCAGACCCTCCACACACAGTGGCATAAAGAATTCAAAAGTGATAAATGTACTGATACATTGTACCACACAATGCTGTGATGAATATATTTTACATTTTAGCTACCTGGTTCCTTGGCATTTTAGACACTTCTGTCAGAAAGAATGCTTGGAACATTTTATTCTGTTTTGTTTCAGCGGCCTGGAGATCCTAGGCATTGGCCAATTTAACAGCAAAAGTTACATTCTTACTGCTTTGCATATTAATCAGTTATTTAGAACACCCCTGCTGAGAAATATCATCATAACAACAACACCGTTTTAATGGAGCAGTGCAAAGATACCCCGGAGAATCAATTACAATGAAGGCCTATGAAAAGCTGTTTTGCTTTTCATTATTTTATGGGGTTAGGAGGACAGTTGATGAGGTAATGAGACCTGAAGCATTTCCAATACTTCTAAAGGAAAATACAGTTAAATTCAGGTGGATCAGAAGTGTTAGCAAAGAGCTACTAAGTTGGAAATCTTGGCCTCTATGACTCTGAAAATGGAGAAGCAGTCCCCTGTTCTGCCATATTAATGAAACAATGCGATACACCTCCAGTAATGGTAATGGTGCAACAACCAAAGTAGTATTTGGTTCTGCTAGTTTGTTTGCAGAAAAGGAATTACTAAATAAAATACTGTATGATGTGAAGTTCTGAATTCTATACCAGGCAAACTTTCATCAGATCCAATCTGAAGAAAGTTGGTAAATAGTGATTTTAAAATCAGCTACTAGGAATTACTTACCTAATCAGAAGTCTTCAGTATATAGTTGAGAATTTTGTTTTAATGTTTTTTAGTTGGGGTGTATTTCTCAGTAGATGACCAAGACAATAAAACCCTAAAGATAGCAGTGAAGCCTCTTCCTGGAAAATTCTCCAGTGCAATTCACTTTAAGTAATAGGAAGGAATGAGATACCAAGTGTTTCCTGTAACAATTTTGCAAGACTAAATGAGAGATAGCTTTCTTTTAATCATATGTCAACTTACATTTTTAACCTTGCCAGAAATCCTTCTGTCCCCTACTCTTTCATATCATATACATCATTTCTGCTCCTGAACCACCCATTAAACCCTCTTTGACGTGGTATCTTTTCTCTGCCCCAGAGTAAAGTACCTTTCCCTTATTTTCACTTGCTCAATGCATGCTTAGTTTTCAAGTCTTAGGATTCCTTTTTCCTTAAGAATTCCCTAATCCTCCCAGCTGAAAGTAATTGGTAAAGGGCATAGACTGCTGTAACAGCAATTTGAAAAGCTCTCAAAATACTTAGCACACCCTGCTTTGTATTATAGAGATGTACCTCTCCTCAATTCGACTAGACTCTAAGCTCCTTGAGGATAAATATCACACTGTATCACCCATAATATGAAACACAAGAATCTTAAATTTAATAGGTGTTTAATGTAATTTTGTATTAACTAGGTTAGTAATTATTAAAACTATATCAAAAAGCACCCATTTATTTTAGTTTCTATATTTAACAAAACTTTCTTTGGAAAACTTACAAAATCTGGGAAAGTTCCTATTAGTGTCTAAAGCAAATGTAGAAAATGATGAAAATTGCAGAACTTTTTCCTCAAAAATCTACCTGGTCAGATGAATAAGAGTGTGTTCATATCAAGTACGAAGTATCAAATAGTGCAATTTCCTTTTGGCAAAAGGCACTGACCTCACTGATACAAGATGAATTATTATAGTGTAAATTAAACTACAAAGATTAAACTCTAATCTTTATTATGCTTTCTGAAAATAAAGTGAAAAGTAAAATGATACGGATAAAAATAGTCACTTATCCAAAATTTGACCAGATTACCAAATCTGGGACTCATTAATAAATTCTTAGCATAGTTGGGAATGATTTTTTTGAAAGGTGGATGGAATTAGAGCTGACAGATGCAATTTACGTAACGGCGAACCAGAAGACTATTTCTTTAGACTTTAAGGAGGTAATCCATGCCTGTTGATTTGCAAAAATATATCGAAACTATAGTTACATCTTGTTGAAATTTGTTTGCTTTGTAAAATACTTTGTAATATAATATTTTTATTGGCAAGGGATTTCATTGTGTGAATTCATCATCATTTATTACATATCTCTAAAAATTGGACACTTACTATATGCAGGAACATACTTCAGGTAGGCCTGAAGCCTGCGGTTCTTAAGGGCAGTAGCTCCAGGAAGACACGTCGAGAGACTGACCTTGTGTTTACCCTCACATAAGCACTCAGGAATGTGTTGACTTCCTCACCATTTATTTGAAGCAATGGGCTGGCAGACATATATCCAGGGACCCCATAATATTTCAATGAATATGAACCACTTTCCACTGTTCCCCTGGCCTCCACACAGTACCTTTACTGCTTGAAAGGATCTGAAAGAAAATGTAATCTGTGACAGGACATTTTGTGGTAACTTGAAAGACCAGGAAGGTTTCTTCCCTCCACTGAGGACAACACTGTGGAGTCGCCTTCTTTTACATTGTCATTGTACATATTATATATATTCACATATACATATGGTAGAAATTTATATGTATATTCTCTATTATGTATGGTACTAGGTGGGCACTATGGTTCTTTTGATTTATTTTATACATTCTCATAATTATTTTATTGGAATAAATTCTTAAATTTGGAGTAGGGACGTGAATAGGGGTGGGTGAAGGGGCATGTATGCATTGTTTGTTGTCCTATATATCTTCTAGTATGAATTTATTATTTAAATACACTATATATTCTGTAATTTTTTAAACAGTTGAGCAAAAATATTTTCTCGGTGTTTTTGAACTTATGTTTTCCAATTTTTTACTTTTGATTTGTATATTCTCTTTCTTCTTATTTGAGTATGCCAAAAATACTTTTGAAATGCATTTTTCAATACACAAGGCATATATTTTGTGGGATAAACTCCATAGCTCTCTGGTAGGGTTTGTTGGCATTCTCTTGGAGATATGTCAGATATAATTGTTGTTCTGGTTTCACAGAGGTAACCTCAGGAATGTTCTTGGATCAGGCTGCTTTCTCCAATAGTATAATGTTGATAAATCAGAGCATTGTTCACTCAAGAACTGTCGATTCCATAAAGTCTTACTTTGGGTTGTCTACTCTGAGATCGATGGAGTACATTTGACCCAAATAAGCTGTCCTGTCTTACATATCCAGACTATGCTAAGTTCAGAACTTCTCCAAATGCCTTGGAGAAGCTATAGTTTTTGCAAGGCTGGGCCTTAAGAGAGGATGTTGTGCTCCAGGTGTTGGTATTTAAACATCTGCACCCTTTGGAAATCTCTTTTTGTGTTGGTGAGTTGTTCTATAAATATGTTTGTCTATTGTCATTTGTAAATACTATTTACTCATTCATTGTTTTCTGATGAAGGAATTATTAAATTACTCCTAAGTATTTCTTTCATTTGAAACTTATTTTATTATTATGTTTCTAGCATTTTGTGCAATGGGTTACTTTATCTACTTTTTTTTTTTGAGACAGAGTCTCACTCTGTCACCCAGGCTGGAGTGCAGTGGCATGATTACAGCTCACTGCAGTCTAGGCCTCCTGGGCTTAAGCTCTTCATGCCTCAGCCTCCTGAGTAGTTGGGACCACAGGTGTATGCCATCATGCTGGACTAATTTTTTTTTTTTTCCCCATAGAGATGGTATCTGCCTATGTCGCCCAGGCTGGTCTCAAACTCCGGGGCTCAAGCAATCCTCCTGCCTCAGATCCCTAAATACTAGCATCATAGGCATGAGCCACTGCACCTTATCTTTTTAATTGGCTTGTTTATGAGAGTACCTTAGTTATAGATTTCTCCCAGTGCAGTTATAGATGTCCCGTAATTTATTAATTTTTATATTTTTGAATTTTCATTATATTCTAAATAAGTTTAAAATACCATTTGATTTCTTCCTTAACCCAGGCTATCAAGTGAGATGTTTAAAAAATTTTTCCTTAGTTTGTTTATTGTTTTATATTAAAATCTAACATAATTACATTATAGTCAGATAATATCTATGTGTAGTATTACTTTTTAATACATTGAAATATCATTGAACCTAATCCACAGTTTTTGTTACATTTCACAGACGTTTTGAAATAATGCATTTCTCTCTCCTCTCTATATAGAGTGACGCATCTCTAATTCTCACAAGTTGGTCTATGAATAAGTAACTGAGACTCACGTATTTAAACTTTTTGAAGTGAGCACCGCTCATCTTTAACAAAATTGGGACTAGATCTCCTGCCTGTCTCTAAGGGTTTGCTATCATTACTACTTCCTAGGATCTTCCTTTGGGATCCAGGAGATGAAAATACACAAACAGTTAAAGTGGATGAAAGAAGGAAGAAGATTGTAATAAAGTATCAGGACACATGAGCGAAACTAAAGAATAAACCAAAACACTGGCACGATATATATATCATATATATACACACACTATATATATATATGTATATATATGTGTATCAAGATGAAAATAACTAGCCGGGTGCGGTGGCTCATGCCTTTAATCTCAGCACTTTGGAAGGCCAAGATGGGCGGATCATGAGGTCAGGAGATGGAGACCATCCTGGCCAACATGGTGAAACCCTGTCTCTACTAAAAATACAAAAAAAAAAAAAAAAAAAAAAAGAATTAGCCTGGTGTGGTGGCATGCGCCTGTAGTCCCAGCTACTTCTGGAGCTCTTCTGGAGGCATGAAATTATAGGAGAAGAGGAAGACAGAGTTTAGCCATGCATAAGTATCTTACATCTTCTGTGCTTGGGAAAATGGTGATATATGGAAGTAAATAACAGTCCAAAAGAAATAAAAAAGCATTGAACATTTGGGGAAAAAAAAGTCGGCAGCATCTATATTATGTTCCATAAATATCTAACTATCTTCCTTTTAGAGTAGAGATGGAGAGCCAAAAGTTAAGTAGCAGAAGGATATGAAAATGTATTTCATCATGCAGAACCAGAACGTTTTAGTACAAATATGTGTATTTTGATTTAACAAAATTATTTTGATAAGAAATTTCACTTTCTATTTGCTTTTTTATTCTTAATTTATGACTTTTGTAAAAAAAAGAGTTTGAGTTTTATGAGTTTCTATACAATAGAGATTTTTAGATCACATGAATTCATGAGGCTGAGAAATTTTGAATGCTTAAATGTGACTTTAAAATAATCTACTTAAATAGTGAACACATGGGCATGGTAAAAAAAGAGTTAACTGGTATAGAAAAATATATAATAAGCAATAGTAGGCTCATTTTTTGTATCCTAACAATAAATAACTCCCTGTAGATAAACTTGTTATATTTAGAATTTTATTTTTAAATATCAACAAGCTATTTTTTATTTTTAATTATTAGGGATACATAATAGCTGCACACATCTATGGGGTACATGTGATATTCTGAAACAAGCATGCAATGTGTAATGATCAAATCTGGGTAGTTGGGATATTCATCACCTCAAACGTGTCTTTTTTTGTGTGTTGGGAACATTTCAAATACACTCTTATTATTTGGAAATATATGATAAATTATCATTAACTACAGTCACCCTATTGTGCTACTGAACACTAGAACTTATTCCTTTTAACTAACTGAATTTTTGTACCCACCAACAAGCTATTCTTACTATCCATTGTAGCGGACTCTTTTCTTATGCTTGTGGAAGGTGGACAAAATAGCCTCACCAAAACAAAACAAACAAAACAAGTGCTGTGTGTAAGAGAAATGTGGGTGAATGCCAGGATGAGGAACAGTGTAAAAGGGAAGACATCAGGGAGCACCATTTAAGTCACAGAAGCATCTCTCTACAGAGCTGCCAAGATCCCACACAGTTTTGGTTATTAAACCAAATTTGCTACTGCCCAATTTGTTGATTTGGGGATTACGGGGAACTTTGAAACTCAGGTGCAACTACACCAATCCACCAACCAGAACTATCTCACCTGATACAGGTGAGTACTATTCTATACATCTGTTGTTAGTAATTTTTAAGGGTCTTGTTTATCCACTGCTAATAAACTGTACCCTGGTTGCCTTCTAACATGAGAAGTCTTGTCCAACAGAATTTGATTGATTAGAGGCAGCAGTTCACAGGACAACATGAGTCTTTGTGCTCACGAGACATTTAACAATCATTCGTATAGTGCTTGCAATTCAGTTGCAGCTGAAGAATTTTTCAGGGATAATCATTGCAAATAAGACGCAGAGTCTTCCTGATCCCTTCAATTCTCTGACTTTAGCACAAGACTTCATTAATAATAAGCAGCTGTAATGATACATTTTTGAATTGATATCAATATGTATAATGTTGCAATTCTGAATACATAACTGAAGCATATTTCTGCCTCCCTGCATTTTGGTATGCTTGAATCAAGGAAGAGATACTTCTTGGCTTAGAAATGAATTTATGGGATAGCTTTTTTCAAATTCTACTGTAATGGGGTATTAGCTCCCAGATTGCTACTTTCCTGATGTTACACGCTGAGGCTATAGATGTATATATTGAAGAAATCCCTAGAGCCATATGTATTCTTCTGTTATGATAATGTTACCATTAGTCTTGATTACTTTGATAGTTTCTGGTTACAGAATTGCCCAAAGCAAGAAGTTTAGTTTGTTCACATTTTTCCCCTTAATTTGGGAGAGTGTTTTTATTTCACTTTTATTTGAAATGAGTTCCTGTGTTGTTATTATGGCATTTTATGTGGCTTGTCATTGTAGTAATCAATTTTATATTTTCTTCACGCCAGTTCAACATTCTGCTCTTGACGAGCATTTTGTCATATTTACTAGGGCTCTTGTCATACATAGGAAAACACTTCCTCTATTTGTCTCCTAAATTTTCTTTTTCCCTCGTTAGTAATTTTGCTATCTCTATATCAATGTTCTGGCTGGTTGCAATTACAAGTTTTCCCAGCTGGGAGCTTATAGCATTTTCTCAGTCTCTGCAACACGCTGATCTATGCTGATATGAGTTCCAGTTGTTTCACCTCCGTGTTCTGCATTTTTACCACGGTTTGTTGAAAAACAAAACTGTCGAAATTTGAGAGGGTAGCCATTTGCTTTTTGTGTTTTTCACCTGTAACAAACCTCATATTACTCAAATATCTTAGTTAGATGGAATCTACCTTTAGGTTAAGCTCTTAGAATTGCTGGCTAGGGATTACGATTCAAGTTTAATCTATACAATTGTCAAAGGCAAAAAACAATACAGTTCAAATCCTTAATGGGAAACTAATTGACCCTGTCTATGGCAACTAACAGAAAACGGTTCTTACTTTCTACTCAGTGATATTAAATATCTGTGTAGGTATGTGCATATATGTGTATAGGTATATATTCCCCTTGAGATCAAAGCCTTTATTTAACAATTGCCACAAATTGGTACCATTTTCTTATTTTGTTTTTTCAAAAGCATTCTGTTGATAGTAAAGATGTTCATTTAGTAGAGTGATTCTCAAACTATATGAGTCAGAATCACCTGGATAGCTGGTTAAAACACAGGGATTTAAAATCAGTAGGTCCTAAGTGGGGCCTGAGAAATTGCATTTCTAAGAAATTTCCATGTACTGATGAAGTTAGGGGACCCTACTGCTCTCAGCAATGAGGAATTTTAAATTAACTGGTCCTAAGTTTCTAAATCAATACCTCTCATAATTTTTAGAAGATATTTGAATACTTTAGGCATAATGGCAATCATGAGAAGGCCAACACCAGCCATCATTACTACTAAATTTAATATTTGAGTCCAAAACTTTAAGTTATACACCCACACATACACACATACTTCTATGCAAATTCTGTAAGTGTGGACACGTTATTGATTTGGCTCAAAAATTTACTTCTGATATAACATAGATTGAAATAAAGAAACACTTATCTGCAGTGCTCTAAACCATTATTTCAAATGCATACAAAAGAAAGCAAATGCACAACAGTGAAAGGAAATTTGATACTAATAATTTAATTTGAAATGACATCAAGGCAAGTTTTATTTACTACTGAAAGTCATTATTACTTTTCAAGCTATAAAAAATTGCCTGATAACACAGTTAACATATAAGCATTTTTTAAATTTGATTAGTGAAAGTCAGACAGAACAAACTCCACGTTAAAAGAGTAAAAAAGAAATAGAATTTTTCTATGTTAGAACACTTTGGAGGCTGAAAAGTTAGGGAAATAACGGCAAATTCACAGAATAATAGTAGATTCACAATTATTTATTTTATTTAAGAAATTCAAACTGGCTAAAACCAGTTATTAAAATAACTAAGATAACTGTTTTTAAAACATGGTTATAATGCTACTCTCATACCATTTTCTTAAATATTATTTTGGTGTTAAATAACCTGTATTTTGATCATGATATGAGAAGCAAAATCTTAGAGTTGTATGAACTGAAAGGACTGAAAACAGTGTTTGGAAAATAGAAGAACATCTTTTTTTTTTTTTTCTGGTTTGGACTGTATCACACATCTCAAAAGTTATGCACAAAAGTATTTGTTATAACTAGTTATCATTTTAATTGCTTTTAATCATTTATTATCTAAGGACTATTATTTTTAATAATTGAGATAAAACTGACACACAATAAACTGTATGTACTTAAAGTGTACAATTTGGTAAAGTATGCATATATGTTTATTCCTGTGACATTGGCAAAGCAATCAATATAGTAAACATACTCATCAGCCCTCAAATTTCTTTCTGTCTCTCTATAATCCCTTCCTCTCACCTTTCCTATATTTCTCCCTGTCCCCGGGAAACCAAAGATCTGCTTTCTGAAACTTTATATTAGATTGTATTTTCTAGAATTTTATATAAATTGAATTATACAGTATGAACATATTTTGTCTGGCTTTTAAAATTCACTTTAATGATTTGGAACTTCATCCATGTTGTAACATTCATTCAGAACTTTTTAGTGTGCCTTTCCATTCTCACATTCTCTCCTCTACCAGTAAGCATAGTGAAAAAAAGTAATGTTTGTCTGCTACAAAGCCACGTTTCAGGAGTGGCTACAAAAGTAATAAAACAGGAGCTGAATTATAAGATTTGTTTTCTCTCACCTCACAACTTGCTGGGAAAAAAAAAAATTCCCAGTTTTTACTTCATAACTCCACCCCACCTACAATCTCAGTTCTCTAATGGGACTTGGAGAAGAAAATAATGTGAGTTCTCAAAATACTTTCCCAAAACAAGTCCTAGCTGAAAGTCAAACATTCTGAGGGATCTTTCAAAAACAAGATAAAGTACATCTACAATACAATATGCTTATAGAAAAACTATTCAAAACAGGCATAAATCCCTCATCCATCCCAGCTTTTCCTGACTCTCCTTTTCCAAATCTTCTTGTTCCTCGGTGCCTTATCTAAATCTGGTCTCCAGACCCCATATACCTTGGCTTCCCCACAGTGGGTTTTCTTGCATCTTTGTTATGGAGAACTCTGATAAAGAATATTAAAATTGTAGCAGAGTTAAGTTGGAATATGGGAAAATTTCTGGATGACTTTCAGAGATAGAGTATACACTCCTGAACCAAGCCTATATAAGTTAGTCTAATATCTAGATCAATATGTAGCCAAAGAGTTCTATCTACTGAAAATGAAAATTTAACACCCCATTTTTAAAATTAAAAATGGTTAATTTTTTAAAAAGTTAAATGTTTACAAACAATTTTGCCTTTATATAAATATCAAAACATGCAGATAACATAAATGTTCAAATAAATGTTTGAGATATGAATATGACTGTTTTTAGAAAACCATTTTATATGGATTACAGGTTAGTCCCAGTTAAAAACATAATCAAATTTACATGTTAAGTGATTTGTGGACAATTACATAGCAAATCAAGAAAAGAAACCAAATTATGACTTCACAATTTTATATTTAGTTCATTGAGTAACCCTTTCAATCGTACTGCATGTCAAGTGGCTACTGATGGTGGGCACTGAGTACCTTTATTCTGTAAATAAATAAATCTCATCCTTCATTCTGGATCTGTCTATCTATCTATCTCCCCATCCATTTGTCATCTATCATCGCTACCTTTTTTTTTTTTTTAAGATTGGTTACCTATTCATTCCATTAGAAAAGTTTCAAAGTTTGTGAAGTTTTGAAATCAATTCCCTTTTATCCACAAATATAAGACTTTATTTCTGAAAGACTCTGGGACAAATACTTCAAAAAGTAAAATAAGATACTATTTTTTTTCTGGTTTTCCGTCAGAACACTTTATTATAACCTGGATCAAGAGCCCCTGAAGCACACGTAATTCCATGGCAGGAGGCACCTTCACATTTTAATTTATGTGGCAATGCCTCTAATAATTGAGCAACGCACCACCTGGGCAGGCCTATGTAACAGTCCTGTCCTGAATTATCTGTGACTCCATTAATAGCCACAATTTCAGTATTGTTTTTCATACTATTATCAGCAGTCATTACATTCTCTGACATGTTTAATCTAAATGACTCACTACTTCTCACAACTAAAGAATAACAGAACAATATGAAACATCATAAAACATAACGTCATCTCTTCCTATTTCATTATATATTCTCCTTGTAACAGGTTGGTCCAAACATCCCTTCAATATGATTAGATAAGTGAAGAAATTATATTAGATTCAGTTCCCTGAAAGACCATCTACAGTAAATACAGCTGTGGGTTTCAATTTAAATTAAAATTGAGTGCATGCTTATTGGTTCTTCTAAGCTTTGGAACTGGAAAATTAAAAATTCACACGTAGCAATTTTGATTTGCTCCTGAGAGAAAGTTCTTGATTTAGATACCCAGCAGGCTGCCAGTAGGTAAATATAAAAATGGGGAAGATATGAAAGTATTCTATTTGGGAGGTTATCATAATTGTATGAATAAAAGTGAAAGTGGAATCTACCTCTGGGCTTCTTAAACAATTATATCATATTGTACTAGTTATTGTTTTTACTGTTTAATACACGATAGGCTTAACATACCTCCTACTTTTCCTGATAGTCCCAGTTTACAACTGCTGTCCTAATGTAATTTTCCCAGTGTTCAAATTATCCAGGTTAGACAATAATTTATATTGTCATCATTCATACATTCGGATGAAGCTGCTTTTAACAACAACCTCAACAACTTGAGGCTGGGCTATTTCTCCTTTATTCAAAGGTAATTTTTTCCAGCAGTGTAGTGAGGTAAAACATCATCAAATTTAAGCCATTTAAAATCATATTTGGATTTCATAAAGACAGGTTACTGAATGGTATTTAAGACAATGAAGTTCTGTGATTCTAACAGAACAATTAAATTTGTATATAATTTTACATTAAGTGGGAATTGAAATAAAAGAAATGAAATTTGTCTTCAACACTAACACTGTTTAGTCATCCTTTCCTCTAATCTCTGTTTAAAACTAAGTTTTGGAAGACATAGATATGTATATAAGATAAAGATGATATATGAACTGCAGGAAAAATTAGAAGGAAAATAAGAAATCCACCTCAAAATATTGTCTATATAATTGAAAACAAAAGACTAGAATTAAGAACACTAATATAAAAAAGTGAGTGTGACACTCAATCCATCCACAGAAATCTAGAAGAATCTGGTAGAAAATGTTATAATTCTGGAAAATAATATTAAAAGCTATGCCTATTGAATACTTATATGCCAGGCACTGTTCTAATCTCACCAAAAAATGTACTAGGTACTTTTATTATTTTCACATTACAGGTGATGAAACTGAGGAACTAACAGTTCTATTGTTTATCGAAGATAATGTTTTTAGAAAACAATGAAGCAAGGACTTAAATTTGCATAGTCTGACTTCTTTAACTACCAATCTGCACTCAAAAGAATAATTGTGTCATATCTTCTGCAGGCTAATGAATACCTAGATGTATGAAAATAAATAATTATATAACTTTAAAAATATCAATTATATAAAAAGCCCACAAATCATTATTTATATAAACATTTCCATAATTTGGCCTTGATATTAGTACCAGATTTATTGGCATAAATTTAAGATATTTATATTTTTCCCTTAAAAATAACAATGTTAACCTACATTGTGACATAAAATATCTCACTTGTTTCTCATGATTCCACAGAAATTGTAGATAATGATTCATAAGACACGAAAGTGCCAATAAATAACACTTAGTGAGTCCTCACTGTGTTTGTGGTATTCCAAACACTTAACATATATTATATCATTCACTTTTACTTAAACCTCATGAAGTGGATACTATAGTTACCCCAATTTTTACAAATAAATCACTTGTGATTCTGAGACTCATTGAAAATGTCTAGATAACCTTTTTTATTATTGCAACTAATGTGAATGTTAAAACTCTTTTAAACTTTTCATGTATTACCTCATTTAAATATCAAAAGAAACATATTAGTTGGGTAGTATTTTATTTTATAGTCGATCATTTTTAATTTCTTCCAGCAACACAGTGCATATAAATTAGGGTCGCCTGAAGAACTGGAATATACTCTTTTTCAATATCAGCCCTTTCTTTTTAGTATTAGTTCTACAATTTACAGTGCAACAATTCCTATCATTCACAAAAATAATTAATATACACTGTGAGTTAAATTGCCTCACTGTAAGTTACATTATTTAATAACTATAACATTAGTCTTAAGCACCACGCCAATATACCTCCCCCACTTTTTTTGTTATTGTCATCTTACTTGTAACATAAATTTAAGAGCCAATTTTGATTTTTTTCAACATTTTTTCCCTTCAGAACTAACCATATTCCAAGCTTTATTTTTCCACTCAGTTTATTAATTTGTATCACTCCTATATTTCTCTGTTAATAAAAACAGTAACATTAATAAAAGCAATGGCTTCTTCAGTACTCACTCTAAGCCTGATGCTGACAAGAAATAGGGTGGAACAATCAAATTATTGGAGCTGACAATACAAACGAGGTCAAAATTCATCATTTAGAGCATCCCAATATATATTCCTCCTAGAGCAACCAAATGTGTCTTCTTCAACTAAGCTTACTTTAAAATGTTTCATTTAATTCACGTAACAATCTTACATACTAAGTATTTTAATCTCCATTGAGAGAAACATAATTCTTTGAGAATTAAGTAGCTTGCATAAGGCCACATCATGATGTGCTAGAGATCCAGGATTCAGACCCAGTTAGGCTGATTGCAGAACTTGTACTCACAAATATCACCATGTTGCCCATCTCTGCCTGGCTGGGTTCCCCTTCACTGCTCTTTTCTGCCTTCTTTTATCAGATTTCACTTTGTTTCTCTCCTCTTTCTCTCATATCCTGGACAAGAGGAGCACAGTATGTCACACCAGATAGGACAAAGAATTGAGAACACAGGTCTCATGTCCTCTCTCTCTCCCCCAACTATCTGTACATTTCTTCCTATTAAAAAAAAAAAACTCTGTGAAAAGATAACTTCTAAAAGCTGAAAATGAGTTAAATTTAATATCAGAAGGTTCTATTATTGCAGGGTATTGAGTGCCTTTAAGATTTTATTTTATAGATGGAAAAAATGAGACAGAGCAGTGAAGGGATTTGCCTCAAAATCACACATCTATTAAATGGCATAATAGAGCAGAAGACCTCGGTCTTCTGAGTCTTGTATCCACTCCACTGTTTCCCAAAATATGGGCTGTTGAATGAGTTACAACTCTCAAGGTAATTTTAGCTGTTACATGGCAACAGCATTAGATAGCAGTAAATCACGTACTGAAGAAGTTATTCCCATTTAAATTCCTTGCAATCCTTCAATGAGAAACTCACTTTAATGCTAGTATATCTTTTAACCTCACTTAAACAATCCTCAATCCTTGCTATACTGTATTGAAAGACATGAAAGGAATGGCACGCCAAACACCTGTGTCTTTCCACTGCCTTTGAGAAGCAAAATATTACTAGAGTTAAAGAATGTATGAGCTTTTCTCTTATTTTATCCTCTTCCCTTTCTACTGCATTTATGCATTACAATTTGGGGATTTCAAAGGAATTTAATCAAAGTTTGAAGGATAGCCCTATACTTAGTTTTACCATGTATCAATCTATTTTTAAATCATAAGGAACTATTTTGCATTTAAAAATACACTCAAATGCTATCAAATTATGAATATGCTTCTGAAACTCAAATTTTAACACAGTTATATTATCTTTCTGAGATTTATCCATGTTGATGCCTATGGCTTTCATTCACTTATTCATTTTTATTGCTGTATATTATTCCATCTGTCTCTTCTGTTACTATGCATTTAATTGTCTCCTCCCCCACAACTTGTTTTTTGATACAAGTAAAGTTACTTTGAGTATTCATATTTATGCTGGATTGTTAATAGGTGCACATGTTCCTATAATTTTTTGAAAATGGGAGATAAATGACTGAGTCTATATATTTTCTAGGTTGTGCTATTTTTTTTTTCTAAAGTGGTGATCCTAGTTTTATACTCCAACATAATCAATTGAGTATCACTAATCATTGTCATGCTCATAGTTTTTAAATTTTTACAATTCCGAAGTAATGAGTAATTGTGTCTTTAGATTGCGTTTCCCTAAATATTAGTGAAGTTAAGCATCTTTAATACGTTTCTTGTCCATTTTTATTTACTCTTGTGTCAACTGCATTTTCATGTTTACTTACTTCCCATCCACTTTTTACCTTAAATATTTATGTATTTGTGACTTTTAGATATTCTTTTTATATTCTAGACACTAATTTCCTGTTGGTTTTATATGTTTCTGCTATATTGTCTCAGGATAGACCTAGTATTCTTAATTTATTCTTGTTGTTTTAGATAAAGTAAAATTATTCATTTACCTGTAGACTATTTGTTTCAGATTTTTAAAAGTTAAGGGTTTAAGTTAGGAAATCCTTCCCTTTTGAAGATTTAAAATATATTCTGCTATATTTTATTCTAACACAGATATAATCTCCTATTAAACATATAGAGCTAGATACATAATCATATATGCAAATGATGATACTTTTAATTTTCTTCAAAAGTCATTTACCTATGTACTTGTTCATTCATTAAATTATTTATTTGTTCTTTAGTTTGCTTACAACCTAACAAAAGTTTAAAGACTAAACAGTCTGGCATTACAATCTTGATTTCAAAGTTTTTATATAGATTGTACAAATTGTACAAACAAATTACAATTTGCCCTTGGTTGAGATAAATTACTTTCATTAGATGAGAAGATTCTTTTTTAGTCTTAACTTGATAATATTTTATCATGAAGAATGTTAAAGGTTACTATATGTTCACACAATTATTGGTGTGATCATTGGCTGTTTCTCTTTATTAATATATGGAATTATGTTGATGGGATTTGTATCTTTATTCAACCTTACATTTATGGAACCAACCTAAATGCCCATCAGTGGTGAACTAGATAAAAAACTGTGGTATATATATATATATATATACCAGGTAATACTACATAACCATAAAAACGAACAAGATCATGTCCTTTGCAGCTATATGGATGCAGCTGGAAGCTGTTATCCTAAGTGAATTAATGCAGAAACAGAAACCAATTACCACATATTCTCACTTATAAGTGGGATCTAAATATTGAGTACACATGGACATAAAAATGGGAACAGCAGAAACGGGACTACTAGCAGGGAGAGGGTGGAGAGAGACAGGGGTTGAAAAGCTAACTATTGGGTACTATGCTCAGTACCTAGGTGATGGAATTATTCATACATAGAACTTTAGTGACACACAGTTTATCCATGTAACACATGTGCCCCCTGAACCTAAAATAAAAATTGAAAATCAAAGAAAAACTTGATTTTGACATGATTAAAATTATATATATATATAATTCTATAAACATGCAGTATATAAGTAAATTTACCATCCCACCACATATATATGTAAAGTGCTGTGAATAGTCTGAGATTTTATGGTACTTATAAGCAAAGGGTTAGCAAGTTTAACAGATACTAGCAGAAGACATGAAACTCTTGGGTCAAAGATAAAAGACTTTAATATGCATAGCAATCATTGTAATTAGAGTATCAGCATGGAGAATTCTCTCCCAATAATATCTCATCCTCATTTCTACACTGTCTTGCTTTTTGGCAAATTTTTCCACAATTACATCATTCAGTAGATCACACTGATTAATTTGACTGACAAGGCTGGAACTAAATTCATTCAATTTGGCTCACTCCATATTTAATTAAAAGTACTTATAAACAAAACTCCAAACAGCACTTGAGTCTAACCTTCAATATTGGGCTCAGCTGTGTCCACAGGGTTCTGGCGATAGCCAGGTAAACAATTCCATAAAATTTAAGGGTCTACCTTAAAAAGCCAAATGGCTTTCCACTTACGTTCCTGTCAAGCCTTTCTACTTGACCCAAGGCTTTAGTCAAGGCAGAGCACCACGCAGGCTATATATTGGCTTACAAGGAGGAAATCTGAATCTGTTCTATCATTTATGACCATTCTGGCTAGTGAGTTGCAATCCATCTGAATGCCAGGGATAAAGCAGTGTCATTAATCTCTTCATATAAATTCTGGAACCAATGTTGTATTAACTTCTGCAATTGGATGCGTCCAATGATGGGAATAACTGCCCACTGGTAACATAAAAGAATAAGTCAATTATCCCTACGGGAAGCTCCCCTAAGGAAACAAAGGTAGACACATTTTGGAGGGATCTCCAATTTATCTGAGGGATACATGTTGTACTGATTGAACTTCCATAAACCCATAAATAAAAGTCCACTTTGAACCAGAAGTTTTGATTTCGGTGACAAAGTAGAAGGATAATGAATGTTTCCCCAAAAGGGATAAGTGAATCTCTTTCAGGTAAAGTTGACGTGCTACTGGGGCCATCTTTTTTAAAAATGTGTTATTTCCATTTGACAATTAATGTTTATTAGGTCCTTCCGATCTTATTAGTCACTATATTCAAGTTTACTTACCTCAAAATGGCAAAACTTGACTGAAGAGTAACAAGCCTTCCATGGTAGAGACATTCAGTTTTGACAAAAATGCGGCCCCCACCCCTCCCGCCCAAAACCCCACCACCTCAGTAGCAAACAAATAATTGTTTTTTAAAATGGACATATCTCTATGCCAGGGAGATGATGAATCCGAAACACTAACATGTGCCTACCTTTGCTGGAGTCTCTGATAAACAAAATCATGAGTCATAGAGACTTCATAGTTCAAAAGGTCATTAGATTATTTGCCTTGAATGCAGAGAGCATGCTACAGCTTGCTAAACATCTCTTCCAACCCTGACTCTTCATTTGGGCCCCTCTCTAAGTATGATAATTTGTGGTCTATGTGATATATAGGTACAACTGTAATAAGAAAGTGAGGCACATTTCCAATACTCAAAGAAACCAGAGATAAGAGTCAAGATTCAAAGGTTCAAAGAGATAAGAGTCAAGGTTCAAAGAGATCAAAGATTCTTCTAGACTACTGAAGGGATTGAGCACTGTGAATCTCCACACACAGTCCAACAAAATCTTTCTTAGCAAGAGGGCCTCTGAAAAAATTTTCATAGGATAATAACACTGCATTCAGATCTATTGAGTCTAAGACTTCCGACCTGCCAGCCAACATGACATCATCTATATAACAAAAGCTCTGGACCTCAGAGAGTAAAGCCTCTCACATTAAATTCTGATCTGACTTCTGGCAAAAAGAAGGTATTGCAAACTTATATTGGAGAACTTGCCACATGAATGCTAATTAGTCTTGGTCATCAGATGCCAGTAGGATATAAAAGAGGTTGTTAGCAATGTCAGCAATGTCTAAGACAGCATACTCAGTGCCATCAGTCTAAGTAATGGATTCAGTGTCAATCACAGTGTCTGAAACAGTCAGGGCCACAGGAGCAACGACTACATGCATGTGGCAAAAATCCACTGTAAGTCTTTAGATCATATGAGCCTTTTTCACTAGCACACATTGCTGTTACATTGAAATATTTCATCTCTTACTATTCCTGCTGCCTTTAAGTCCTTAATCAAGGCGGTGTTTTTCATTTCTCCCTATGGGATTTTATCTTGCTTCTGTTGGACCATCAGAGAGGGTACACAAGCTTGTTCAACCTGACTTATTTTGGTTTTGGTTTTGTTGTTGTTCTATTTTGTCTCATTTTAGGATTTTAGCAGTCTGAAGCCATCGTTTTTATTTTGTCTCTAGTGACAGGCAGAAAAGAGGGATGAGAAACGGGCTTTACTGGCCCAACCAGAAACAGAAACTAAGAACCCATGACTGTATTCTCTCCCTTGGGCACCCCTATCAAGGAGGTGTTTAGAGAATGATTAACGTGTCCCACCAGCTCTTCTCTACATGCACCTCTTCCCAATCAGGTGGGTCCCCTTGGAACTCAAGAGCCCTCACATTACATGCATGTAAAACTGCAATCACAATGCTCAGATGCCAAATAACATCTACTATTAACACCATCAACACTATTCAGAAAACATGACCTCAATGAATGAATCAAACAAGGTACCAGGGACCAATCCCGGAGAAATAGAGATATGTGACCTTTCAGACAGATAATTCAAAATAGCTGTATTGAGAAAACTCAAAGAAATTCAAGATGTCACAGGAAATGAATTCAGAATTCTATCAGATAAATTTAACAAAGAGATTGAAATAATATAAAAAGAATCACACAGAAATTCTGGACTTGAAAAATGCAATTGGCCTACTGAAGAATGCATCAGAGTCCCTTAAATAGTGGAATGACTCAAGAAGAAGAAAGTATTAGTGAACATGAAGACAAGCTATTTGAAAATACACGGTCAGAGGAGACAAAAGAAAAAAAGAATAGAAAACAATGAAGCATGCCTATAAGATCCAGAAAATATTCCCAAAAGGGCAAATCTGAGAGTTATTGGCCTTAAAGAGGAGGTAGAGAAAGAAATAGGGGTAGAAAGTTTATTCAAAAGGATAATAACAGAGAACTTCCCAAACCTAGAGAAAGAAAGAAAGATGTCAATATCCAAGCACGAGGAAGTTATAGAACACCAGCAGATTTAATCCAAAGAAGCCCACCTCCAGGCATTTGATAATCAACCCCCCTAAAGCCAAGGATAAAGAAATGATCCTAAAGGAATCAAGAGAAAAGAAACAAATAACATACCACGGAGCTCTAATATGCTGGCAGCATGCATTTCATTGGAAATTTTACAGGCCAGGAGAGAGTGACATCACATATTTAAAGTGCTAAAGGAAAAAAAAAAAAAACCTAGAATAGTATATCCAGTGAAATTATCCTTCAAACATGAAGGGGAAATAAAGACTTTCCCAGAAGAATAAAAGATGAGGGATTTCAGCAACAGCAGACCCGTCCTACAAGAAATGCTAAAGGAAGTATTTCAATCAGAAAGAAAATAACATTAGTGAGTAATAAATAATGACCTGAAGGTACAAAACTTACTGGTAATAATCAGTACACAGAAAAACATAGAATATTATAGCACTGTAACTGTGGTGTGTAAACTACTCTTATCCTAAGCAGAAAGACCAAACAATGAATCAATCAAAAATAATAACTACAGCAACTTTTCAAGAGATAGTCAGTACGATAAAATATAAATACAAACAATAAAACATTTAAAAAGTGGGGGACAAAGTTAAGGTGAGTTTTTATTGGTTTTCTTTTTGCTTGTTTGTTTGTGCAGAGAGTATTAAGTTAGCAGGTTAAAATAATGGGTTGTAAGACAGTATTTGCAAGCCTTGTGGCAACCTCAACCCAAAAAACATACAATGGATACATAAAAAATAAAAAGCAAGAAACTAAATCATGTCACCAGAGAAAATCACCATCACAGAGGAAGACAGGATGAATGAAAGAAGGAAGAGAAGACCACAAAATCACCAGAAAACAAATAACAAAATGGCAAGAGTTAAGTCCTTACTTATCAATAATAACATTGAGTGTAAGTGAACTGAACTCTCCAATCAAATCAAAAGACACCAAAATCAAAAGACAAAGAAGGTCACCATAAGATAATAAAGGGGTCAATTCAGCGAGAGGATACAACAATTGGAAATATATATGGACCTAATACTGGAGCACTCAAATGTATAAAGGAATTATAGCTAAAACTAAAGAGAGAGCTAGGCCCCAATACAATAATAGCTGGCGACATTAACACCTCACTTTCAGCATTGGACGGTTCTTCCAGACAGTAAATCAACAAAGAAACATCAGACATAATCTGTACTATAGACCTAATGGATTTAATTGATATGTACGAACATTTCATCAACGAGCTGCAGAATACACATTCCTTTCCTCAGCATATGAATTATTGTCAAGGAAAGACAATATGTTAGGTCACAAAACAAGCCTTAAAACATTAAAAAAATGAAAAAAATCAAACATCTTCTCTGGCCACAATGGAATAAAACTAGAAATTAATAACAAGAGGAATTTAGGAAACTATGCAGATACATAGAAGTTAAACAATATGCTCCTGAATGACCAGTGGGTGAATAAAGAAATTAAGAAGAAAATTGAAAAAATTCTTGAAACAAATCAAATTGGAAACACAACATACCAAGACCTATGGGATACAACAAAAGCAGTACTAAGAGGAAAGTTTATAGCTATAGGTGCTTAAAAATGGACAAATTCCTAGATAAATAAAACCTACCAAGATTGAACTAGGACGGAATCCAAAACATGAACAGACGATTAACAAGTAATGAGATGGAAGCTGTAATAAAATGTCTTCCAGTAAAGAAAAGCCCAGAACATAATGGCTTCACTGCTGAATTCTACCAAACACTTAAAGAAGAACTAATACCAATCCTACTCAAACTATTCCAAAAAATAAATAAGGAGGGAATACTTCCAAACCCATTCTATGAGGCCAGTATTACCCTGATACCAAAACCAGACAAAGACACATAAAAAAAGAAAACTATAGGCCCATAAATATTGATGCAAAAATTCTCAACAAAACACTAGAAAACAAAATTCAACAATACATTAGAAAGATGATTCATCATGACTAAGTGGGATTTATCCCTGGGATACAAGGATGGTTCAACATACGCAAATCAATCAACATGATACATCAAATCAAGAGAATAAAGGATAAAAACAGTATGAGCAATGCAATTTATGCTGGGAAAGCATTTGATAAAATTTAACATACCTTCACAATAAAAAACCTAAAAGAACTGAGTACAGAAGAAACTCACCTCATTATAATAAAAGCCATAGATGACATTCCCACAGTTATTATCATGCTGAATGGGCAAAAAGTTAAAGACTTTTCTATAAGATCTGGAATGTTACAAGGATGCCCACTGTCATTGTCAGCACTGTTATTGAACATAGTACTGAAATTCTAACTAGAGCAATCAGACAAGAGAATGATATAAATGGCATCCAAATTGGAAAGGAAGAAGTTAAATTATCCTTGTTTGAGGATGATATAGTCTTATATTTGGAAAAACCTAATAGACTCCACAAGAAAACTACTAGAACTGATAATTACATTCAGTAAAGTTGAGCAATACAAAATCAATATACAAAAATCAGTAGCATGTCTACATGCCAACAATGAATAATATGAAATCAAAATTCAAAAAGTAATCCCATTTGCAATAGCCACACATAAAATTAAATACCTAGGAATTAACCTAACAGAAGAAGTGAAAGATCTCTATAATGGAAACTATAAAACACAGATGAAAGAAATTGAAGAGGACACACAAAAATGGAATATATTCTATGTTCATGGATTGGAAAAATAAGTATTGTTAAAATGTCCATACTACCCCAAGCAACCTACAGATTCAATGTAATCCCTATCAAAATAAAAATGACATTCTTCACAGGAATAAGAAAAGCATTTCTAAAATTTATGTGGAACCACAAGAGACCCAGAATAGCCAAAGCTATCCTAAGCAAAAAGAACAAACTGGAGGAATCACTTTACCTGACTTCAAATTATACTACAGAGCTATAGTAAGCAAAACAGCCTGGTATTGGCATAAAAACAGATACATAGACCAATGGAACCAAACAGAAATCCCAAATCCACATGCCTAAAGAGAACTCATTTTTGACAAAGGTGCCAAGAACATTCACTGGGGAGAAGACAGTATCTTCAAAAAATGATGCTGGGAAAACTGGGTGTCCATATGCAAAATAGTAAAACTAGATCCCTATCTCTTGCCATATACAAAATTAAATTAAAATGGATTAAAGATTTAAATCTAATACTTCAAGCTATGAAAATACTACAAGAAAACAATAAGTAACATCTCCAGGACATTGGTCTGGGCAAACATTTTTTGATTAATAGCCCACAAGCACAAGCGACCAAAGCAAAAATGGACAAAAATGATCACATCAAGTTAAAAAGTTTCTCAACAGCAAAGAAAACAATCAACAAAGTGAAGCGACAACTCACAGAATGTGAGAAAATATCTGCAAACTACTCATCTGACAAGGGATTAATAGCCAGAATATATGAGGAGTTCAAACAACTCTACAGGAAAAAATCTAATAACCCAATCAAAAGATGGGCAAAAGATTTGAACAGACATTTCTCAAAAGAAGACATATAAATGGCTACAGGCATATGAAAAGGTACTCAACAGTATTGATCATCAGAGAAATATAAATTAAAACTACAATGAAATATCATCTCACCTTCATTAAATGGCTTATATCCAAAAGACAGGCAATAACACACACTGGTAAGGATATGGAGAGAAGGAACTCTCATACACTGTTGGTAGAAATGTAAACTAGTACAATCACTGTGGAGAACAGATTGGAAGTTCCTCAAAAAATTAAAAGTAGAGCAACAATATGATCCAGCAACCCCATTGCTGGGTATATACCCAAAAGAAAAAAAAATCAGTATATCAGAGATATCTGCACTCCTAGGTTTGTTGTAGCACTATTTACAATAGCTGAGATTTAGAAGCAACCTAAGTATCCATCAACAGATGAGTGGAAAGAAAATGTAGTATAATGGAGTACTAGTCAGCCATTAAAAAGAATGAGATCCAGTCATTTGCAACAAAATGGATGAAACTAAAGATCAATATGTTAAGTGAAATAAGCCAGGCACAGAAATACAAACATCTCATGTTCTCACTTATTTGTGTCATCTAAAATTCAAAACATACGAACTTGTGGTCATAAAGAGTAGAAGGATGGTAACCAGAGGCTGGCAATGGTAGTGAGGAGTTATTGCGGAGGTGGAGGTGGTTAATAGGTAAAAAATATAGAAAGAATAAATAAGACCTAGTATTTGATAGCACAATAGGGTGACTACAGCCAATAATAACCTAATTGTATATTTTTAAATAACTTAAACAGTGTAATTGGATTGTTTGTAACTGAAAGGATAAGTGCTTGAGGGCATGGATACCCCATTTTCCATGATGTGCTTATCTCACATTGCATGCCTGTATCAAAACATCTCATGTATCCCATAAATACATACTACTATTATGTACCCACAACAATTTTAAAAAGTAATAAAAAATTAAAAATAATAAAAAATATTTTAAAAATTGCTACTGGAGAAGAGTTATGGGGAAGAAAAACAACAGTCTCAGAGGATGCATTAAAAAGATAACCAAATGAAATATTAATTTCATGTAGTGTTTTTTAGTTATTAAGACAGACTACTTATATCTGCATCCAAAGAATAAATTTGAGCATATAAACTATTTTAATAATTTTATTTATTTTTGTTTTGTTTTGTTTTGTTTGAGATGGAGTGTGGCTCTGTCGCCCAGGCTAGAGTGCAGTGGTACGATCTCGGCTCACTGCAACCTCTGCTATCTGGGTTCAAGTCATTTTCCTGCCTCAGCCTTCAGAGTGGCTGGGATTACAGGTGTGCACCACAAAACCCGACTTTATTTTTTATTATTATTTTTTAGTAGAGACAGGGTTTCACCATGTTAGCCAGGCTGGTCTCGAATTCCTGATCTCAAGTGATCCGCCCACCTCCCAAAGTGCTGGTATTACAGGCATGAGCCACTGCGCCTGGCCAATAATTTTATTTTATAAACAGAAGTATACATACAATAATCATTTTATATAAACATGGAGAAAATTGTCTAAGGATATGACCAGAATGATGACATCAGTTATATGGATATAAAATTACAGTTGGTGAGAGAATGATTATGTGGAACGTTGCATATATTTTATCATATGATAATAATATATGATAAATAAGACAGACTTTGTATTTCTATCTCATATATGAAAGTTAACACTAATATTTATAAATACAAATAATGTTTAGTATTATCTGACATGAAGTATACATATTTATATGCATTATACTTACACATAATTTTAAGTAACAAAATACTTCGTAATATATAATATGACAGTAACATATACAATAAGAATATGCAGAAATTAGCATGCTTGTATCTCTTTAAATACATATGATATATATGTATATATATGCACAGAAGATTAGAAATATGGAAACAAAAGTAATATCAGCTATTTGTGATAGAAATTCACTTTATTTTTCAAACTTTATGTATTCTTTGAGTTGTTAAAATAAAAATGCTTTTTTCTAATAAAAATACAGCAATTTATTAATTTCTTAAAAACACACAAACACAATTTTAAATTAGAAGTGCTTCTATACCTCTGTTCTATCATTTAATTAAATTTGTAGTTTCCATTCGTTTTCCTAGCTTGCAAAGACACAAACTCACTGCTAAATTTATCTTTTAAATGAGATATCTACAGTATTTGTGATGTTTACTTCTTTCCTCAATATAATAAATTTCAAGATCTTCCATTTCTAGTTATCTTTTTTTTAACTATATCACTTGACTTAGAAATCTGGAGCATATTATAAATAAATAGCTACACTTTCTCTAACAGTCTTTATTTTTCATTTTATTTTTTAAAAAATTATTATTTTTAAAATTTTTGTGGAGATGAGGTCTCACTATTTTGCCCAGGCTGGTCTCCAAATCCTAGGCTCAGGTGGTCTGCCTGCCTCACCTTCCCAAAGTGCTGGGATTACAGGTGTAAGCCACCACACCTGGCCTCTAACAGCCTTTATATAATGAAGATGCACTCACATTTTTCTCTAAAAATTGTCCTATAGAATTATTGTATTTGTAAACTGAATGCACATAATTATATAACTATAATACCAAAATAACTTACAGATAAAAACACAGAAGATCAAGAAAATGCAAAGGGTAATCATATTACCTGTTTGATTTAAGCACGAAATCATTTTAATAATTTAATAAGAGCCAATAGAGATTTGCTATATACATTCAAACTACAAACTAAACAAAAATTCTAAAATATTCTTTGCATTTAAAATAAAGCCATATATAAAAATCTTTTGTCATTTTATATTTAAACTGAAGTATATGTTAATCCTATTTCCAAAACTGAGCTTTACAAACAGTTTCCAGTGTATTTGGCAATAATAAACGTTTTATAAAACAGTGACATATTAGCATTCAAACAAATCTCACATAACACTTTCACCTTGATGATGTATTCTAAATATGAAGCATTTTGTTATAACAAAATAGCCTCCAAATCCTAAACATGGGATTCACTTTCATTCCTAAAAGTGTTTTGGAATAAAATTCTTAGACTTTTCTTATTGTCTTTGTCTTTAAAATTTTTTTACTAGTGGCTTACACTTTTTCTTTTTGACAAGTAGTCCAATTTAGGCATATTAACTGAGAACACTTTGTGTACCCAGCAGAGATTTGGCAATAAAACTAAGATATCTAATTTTGCAGAAATATGGGTGATAAAACTAAGATACCTTCAAAAGCTCATAAAATATTTAAAATAAAATATTTATATTTATGACATTATTACCAGATGGCATTATACAGTAAAGAGGCAATTAAAAGAATTACTTGAAATACTAATGAATACTAAAGAAGGAATGGGAAAGATAGATACACAGAGAGGACTTGAATTCATATGATTTTAATACGAAATATTGAGCTTTCACACTATTGATTTGTTTCACATAAAACTCTGACAGTTATAAGTAGAACTTCACTAAAGTAAATATGTAAATGTGTATCTTTTATTTTAAATACATCTCTTGAAAAAATAAAATACATTAAGCAAATATAATGGAATATAATTTCTGCATTCAGAAGATTTTTAAAAATAGGCTCTGAAACCTGATAATGAGATAAACATTAAAGGATAATGAGTATCTTTATGTTTCTGTCTAAATAGTAATAGATTTCTGTGTTGCTATGTATTGAGTCACTTGGAAAAAAGTCAAAAACCAAAATTTAAAGTTCTTTGTGAATGTGTGGTGCCCATTCCATGATTGATCCTAATGATATCAAATATTCACTATTAGTTTGTTAGTCCTAATGGTCACAATAAAAAAAAAAAACTTTTAAAACTAGGTAACATTATTATTATTATTGTTATTATTGTTATTATTATTATTAAGATGGAGTTTCGCTCTTTCACCCAGGCTGGAGTGAAATGGCGCCATCTCGGCTCACCGCAACCTCAGCCTCCCGGGTTCAAGTGATTCTCCTGCCTTAGCCACCCGAGTAGCTGGGATTATAGGTGCGTGCCACCACGCTGGGCTAATTTTTGTATTTTTAGTAGACGGAGTTTCCCCACATTGGCTAGGCTGACCCCTGACCTCAGGTAACTCTCCCGCCTTGGCCTCCCAAAGTGCTAAGATTACAGGAGTGAGCCACCGCGCCCGGCCACTAAAATTAATTTCATTAATACATTTTACTTAACCAGTTTCAACATATAAGCGATATGAAAATAGTGAGAGATTTTACTTTCTTGCCATTTTTACTAAATCTTTAAAACCCAGCGTATTTTACTTACAGCCCATCTCAGTTAAGACCAACCACATCTCAGGGGCTCAATGGACACTTGTGGTGAGTTAACAACCCTATGGAAAGTACAGACCTAGATTTTTTCTCTCTCCATCTCCTGGCAGCTAAGGGTCCTTCACTAGGACCCTGCTACTCAGGAATTTAAATCTTGAGTGTGTAATTCATGGCCGTTGAATTGTATTAAAGCAAGAACAAAGGTAGTTTTTACAATATGCTTGCATTCTGGCCAGACTATTCCAGATAAAAGATGGTTTTGTGACTTTCAACTTTTTGCTCCTCTGAAGTTACTTTATTTAATTAAAGGCCAGTTTCTAAATCTGCTTTTCCTCTTTCTCATTGCTTCTCTGAGCCTGATATCCTTCCAAACAATACTATAATTATTTTTTAGGAGAAAGACAAAGTCGGATACTGTTATTTGAAGCTAATGTATTCCTAATTCGTATGTAATAAAATTTTTAATAAAAGTGAAAATACTGGCTGGGCAAGGTTGGCTCACACCTGTAATCCAAGCACTTTAGAAGGCCAAGGCAAAAGGATTGCTTGAGCCTGGGCAATATATTGAGATACCTGTCTCTATAAAAAGTTAAAAAAAGAAAATTAGTCAGGCATAGTGGCATGTGCCTGTAGTCCCAGCTACTCAGTAGGATGAAGTGGGAGGATCGCTTGAGTGCAGGAGGTTGAGGCTAGAGTGAGCTGTGATAGCACCACCGCACTTCAGCCTAGGTGACAGAACGAGTTGCTGTTAAAAAACAAAACAAAACAAAAAAAGAAAATACTAACCATGGTATTTTGGAGCCATGCTCCAATTTAAACTTTGTTTAAAAATATTCACAATATGGAGTTATTGTATATAAAGACTGTTCTTCTTTAGTAATAAAAACATAAACTGTCAAGTGCTGTGCATACTCCAGATTAAAGCCGAGGTAATTAATTGCAACTTGGGAACTACCTTCATTCTTTCACTTATTTACTATCTCTTTATACATTTTTTCAGCAAATATTTATGGAAATATGTTCAAAACACACTGAGACATAAAGATGAATAGTAACACAGGATATCTAATTCAAGGTTTTCAAGTGGATTTTTATCACATACATATGTATAAAATATAAGACCAATATCTCATGATTACAATAAACATGATTCTTTTAATGTGAGAGAATAAAGTGGCGATGGTTGGTAAAAGACATGTCAAATGTCTTAAGACTTAAGGGATGAGAAGAATTTTAATTTGTAAAAATATGAATGACACAGAGGATTAAAGAAAAAAGTTCACAAAGGCTGGAAATCACACACACAGCATAATTTGGACCCAAGAGTGACCAGTTTAACTGAAACATAATAGAGCTACAGTGGGGCAGTGATGTTGCCTGAGTGTTATTCAACTGAGATTTTTCAGATTTCAGCGATCCTCCAACACTTTATTACCTGGCTTCCTTTTTGTGAGTGGGGCACTTTGCAAGATACGTAGTCTGAGAGCTGGAGCAGAACAATGCTAATTGTCCCATGCAAGGATTAGACCCTGTGCCTTGACCTCGTTAGCACCAAACTCTAAGCAGCTAAGGCATCTAATTGAAACTGGCTCCAAGTAAAGGCCTTTCTTGTTACCTCCTTTTCCCTTTATTTTTAAAAAATAAGTACAAAGAAATGTTCTAATAATATTACTCTGTTCAAAACACTGCATGAAACTTTTTATCTTTATACACCCTTATTAACATTTTTAAAGTAGATGTCTAAAAGAATATTGTTACATATATGTGTGCATTTTATTTATGAGCCAATTAAAACACTTTGTAGGTAAAATTTTAGAAACTAAATTTTTATTAGAACATTAGAATATAAATGTCATGTGCCCGTTAGAGTTTAAGAATGTGCTTAACTAGTACAATTCTCCTTGCCCAGTTAAAATAGTACTCTTTTTTGTTAATTCATGTAGAATAACAAATCTTCAAGAATAAACACATTTCAGCCATTATAAGGAATTTAGGAGATAGTACAATGGATAACACATCACAGATATAAGTAATCATATACCCATTTTCATGGTCTGTTTCTCTAGAAAAATAGTAAATTTAATTATATGTTTTAACATTATATTTTAACTTTTTCATCTCACTACAACATTCATGAAAAAATTGCTGTGTTAAAATATTTTTAAAAAGCTGCTGTTACTAAATCAAGTAATTGTAGTTCCCTAAGAAAAAGAAAGTTGTCTACATATTCAGTTTTAAAAAGGTCTTCCATATTCATGGGTTCCACTTCTTAGATTTCACATCTGTGAATTTAACCAGTCGTGGATGGAAAGTATTAAAAAAAAAAAAACAAACAAAAAAAAAAAACACAAGGCCGGGAGTGGTGGCTCACGCCTGTAATCCCAGCACTTTGGGAGGCCGAGGAGGATGGATCACAAGGTCAGGAGGTCGAGACCATCCTGGCTAACATGGTGAAACCCCGTCTCTAATAAAAATACAGAAAATTAGCGGGGCGTGGTGGTGGGCACCTGTAGTCCCAGCTACTCAGGAGGCTGAGGCAGGAGAATGTTGTGAACCCGGGAGGCGGAGCTTGCAGTGAGCCGAGATCGCGCCACTGCACTCCAGCCTGGGCAACAGAGCGAGACTGTCTCAAAAAAAACAAAAACAAAAACAAAACAAAACAAAACACACACACACACACAAATAAAACAATATAGTATAACAACTATTTACATAGTTTTTACATTGGATTAGGAATTATAAGTAACCTAGAGATGGTTTAAAATATATGAGAGGGTGTGTAATGGTTATATGCAAATACTATATCATTTTATATAAGGGACTTGAGCATCCTTTGGTACCCACAGGTTGGCAGCAGAGGTCCTGGAAATGCAGATACTCCGGGGCAACTGTCTATTATAGACACCTTAAAATACCACCTGAACCATGAAATAAGGAGATTACCATGAATTTTTATACATTGGATATTTAATGGTGAAGTCAAAGAGAAAATACACAGTACTACATGTGAACACTAAACAGTGAAGGGAACCAGTTTTTCAATTTTTTTCATCGTTCTGGGACGGTTTCCTAAACAGGCGTGGGGTTAAAATACAAAGGTATATTTATTTTACTTCCAAAAGTGCTTACAATAGATGATTCAGAATCTGGACATTATTAGTAAATAAGCATGAACTAACTAAACTACCCTTTATTGGCTAAAGTTAATCACATTGTACAATAATTTTATTAATGAAACCAAAGCTTGCTTCTTTTATAGAAGATATAGTGAGTCTTGCCCTAGTGTTTTCTGAAGACTGAGCAATCTGAAAACCAAACTAGAATTTATAGAGCTATACAATTTTAAATTTAGTTTTCTCTTAGAAAACTTTCCATTATATTGAGTAGAGATAATATGTTACATTATTTAAATGTAACATATAATCACAAACTGGATTTTGATGAATTTATTACACTTCTCTTTTTAATTTTTATTGCATAAGGTGTTTGTTAAAGGAAGGCAAATTCCAAACTGACTCCATTCCCATAGCTTTCTAAGTGGAGACTGGTGATAGTCCCTGAGAAGCATCTGCAGCTGAGCCTCAGGAGGCCTGGGATTTGCTCTATCCTCTGCTTTCCTAATGACCAATGCAGTCGAGCACCTTTTCATTTGCCATTCCTATATCTACATCTTATTTGGTGACAAGTTTATTCAAATCTTTCACTTAAGATCTGGTTTCTCTTATTATTGAGTTGTAAGAGCTCTTATTGCTTTACATATCTTGTATTCATGTCCTTTATCAAATATATAAATTCCAAATATTTTTTTCCTAGTGGCCTTTTATTTCCCTAATGCTATATTTTGAAAAACTTTTTAATAATCTCTATGGAGTCAAATTTATTATTTTTTTTAAAATTTCATGGTTTATGCTTATACTGTACTCTCTTTTTGTCAATGTGTGACTTCTTTTAAAAAATCTGCACTTAATTCAAGATGGCAAATAATTTCTCCTATTTTTTCTTTTAGTTCTATACTTTTAGTCTTTGCTTTGGATTTATAATCCACTTCCAGTTAGTTTTGTAATTCAGTAAGTAGTAAGTCTAGAGATATACATTTTTATTTGTACACAGATATCTAATTGTTTCACAATTTGTTGAAAAGACTATTTTTTATCTACTGAATTATCTTGGCACCTTTTTTAAAAATCAATTGACCATATATGTCTTGGTCTATTTCTGGACTCTAATATATTCCAATGCAATCCTAACACAACAATACACTCTAAATTATTGTAGTTTTATGGTAAGTCTTGAAGTCATACAGTATGAATTATCTATCTTTGCTCCTTTTCAAAGTTGTTTTGCCTTGCTTAGATTCTCTGTATTTCCACAAAAATTTTAAAAGCAGTTTTTCAATTTTATAGTGAAGGAAATAGCCTGTTGGGGTTTTCATTGAGATTGCGTTGTAACTGAAGATTAAGTTTTGGCATCTTAACAATATTGAGCCTCGTGATCCATGAGCATGATATTTCTCTCCCTTTATTTGTGTCCTCTACAGAGGACACAAATTTTATGCTCTTGTATTTTATGCTCTTGTAAGTGGTCTTTCTTAAAATTTCAATTTCCAAATATTCATTTCTAGAAATGGAAATACACTAATATTTGCATATTGACCATGCATCCTGCAACCTAGCTAAACTCACTTATAAATTATCATAGTCTTTAAAAGTTCTTTAGGCCTTTCTACATAGATGATCGTGCTATTGACAAATACAGACAATTCTATGTCTTCCATACAATCTATATTCCTTTTATTTCTTGCCTACTGCACTGGCTAGTACCTTTCTTACAAGTCAAGTATAAGTAGTGAGAAAATACTTCCTCATCTTGTTTCTGATCTTGTAGCAAAACATACAGGTTTTCACTGTTATACATAGTGCTGAGTGTAGGTTTCACAAAGCTGCCTTTATCAGGTTGAAAATGATTTCTTTTGAATTATGGAGTTGTTTAAAAATCATGAATGGTAATTTTCAATGCTTTTTCTGACATTAAAAATTATCATATGGATTCTTATTTAATCCCTTTATATAGTAATTCCATTATTTTTAAACATTAAAACAATTTTATTCCTCAAATGAACCCTACTTGGTAGTTGAGCATTATCTTCTTAATGTATCATTGAGTTCTACTTGCTAAAAGTTTGGTAAAGACATTTGCGTCTACCTCTCTGAAGGATGTTGGTCTATAGTTATATTTCCTTGTAATATCTTTGAAAAGATTTCACTGACAGGATAATGGTGGTATCATCAAAATAGTTAATTAGTGTTCTTTCTGTCTTTATTCTGTGGTGTATTCGTATAAAGTTGGCATTATTTTCTTCTTAAATGCTTGCTAAACTTCCACTGTGAAGGCAACTTGACATGACAAGAGCTTTTCTTTTTTGGCAAAATTTTCCACTTCTTCATAATAGATATGGGCCTGTTCTGGTCATCTACCTTTTTAATGAGTTTGGCAGTTTCTCTTTTTAAAATATCAAATATATTGGAAATAATTGTTTGTAATATAACCTTATTGTTCTAATGTCTATAGGCTTTGTAATTTTCTCTCAGTGTTTTCTGACATTGGTAATTTTGTATTTTCTTTTTGCACAATCAGTTTCCTAATAGAATTTATAAATTTTATTTGTCCTTTGAAAGAAAATACTTGGTGTTTTTTTCTCTGTTTTTATTGTTTTCTGTTTTCCGGAGTCTTTTCATTTCTGTTTTGGTATTTCTTTTTGTTTTAAGTTTAGTATTGTTCTTAATTTCTAGTTTCTTTAAGTAAAACGTTGAGCATTAATATGAGGCTTTGGTATTTTTTCTTTATTTCTTTATTAATTTTTATTTTTGTGTATCTGCGGGGGTACAAGTACAGGTTTCTTACACGCGTATATCATGTAGTGGCAAAGTCTGGGCTTTTAGTTTAACTATCACTTGGAAAGTTACATTTTGTGATTTTCTTTCTTTTTTTTTTTTTATTTGATGGAGTCTTTCTCTGTCGCCCAGGCTGGAGTGAAGGGGTGTAATCTTGGCTCACTGCAGCCTTCACTGCCCGGGTTTAAGCGATTATACTGCCTCAGCCTCCCAAGTAGCTGGGACTAAAAGTGCGTGCCACCACACCCAGCTAATTTTTTTTTGTTTTTTTGGTTTTTTTTATTTTTATTTTTATTTTTTAGTAGAGATGGGGTTTCACCGTGTTACCCAGGCTGGTCTCGATCTCCTGACCTCGTGATCCACCTGCCCTGGCCTCCCCAAGTGCTGGGATTACAGTCATGAGCCACTGCACCCGGCCACTTTTGTGATTTTCTAACATGAGGGTTTTGACAGAATTTCTGTAAGCCTGGGTTTAAAGACATTTCTTAAATTTTAGCATGTTATATTTTATTTTTCAGTTCAACACTTTTCTATTTTTTATGTGATTTCATTTTACTCATCAATTAATAATGTTTAGCTTATTTCCAAATATGAGGACAATTTTTAGACAGCTTCCTGTTACTGATTTTCTTTTTATTTTTATTGTGGCCAGAGAATACAAGTGGTATTTTCCAATTTATGGGCACTTTTTGAAATTTAATGACGCTCCATATGGCATGAAATATTGTCTGTTTTGTAGAATAATCTACGTACCATTGAAAATAATGTATGTCTTGTTATTTTCATGTGAGTATTCTCTAAATATCTTTTAGGTCAAGTTAGCTGATAATGCTCTTCAATATGTCCTTATTAGTTTTCTATTTGTTCTAATAGTTTTGAGATAGCAGTGCAGCAAAAATCCAATAGAATTGTAGATTTCTACAGTTCTCTCTCTCCTCACTGTCTGTCTCTCCCTCTCTCCTCTGTATTCTATTAAATCTTGCTTTATGCATTGAAACTCATTTCAATGCATAAATATTTCTCCAAATTAAATATTTCTCCAAATATTTAAGGATATTATGTCCCCATTGATAAACTGAAAAAAATATTGTTAAAGAAGTCTTACTTTATGCTGGTAACATTTCTTTTTCTGATATTTAAATGGTCTTATATGAAAACATTATTCCAGTTTCCTTGGATTAATATTTGCATAACATTTTTATTCTAGTCTTTAACTTTTCAAGTACTTTTCTAGTAACAGATATTTTAATATCCATTTTAAAGTTGTCTCTCCATCATCTTTTAGCTTGCATATTTTCTGACATCATGTACCTGGATCTATTTCTGGGTAATCTATTTTATTCCCACTAGTTTCTTGTCTATTCATATGCCAATGCTACATTTCTTAATTATAGAAGCTTAGTATGTTTTAAAGTCTGACAGTACTAATCTCTATAGTAGTTTAGTAACAACCTCTCTTCTGCTCTCAATGGTTCCATGTTCATTCTCACATGTTTGTCTACCATATGAACTTCAGAATCAATTTTTCTAACTCTATAAAAAATGTGGAGTTATCTTTACTGGGGTAACATATCATTTATAAATTAAAGAGAACTGACATCTTTATAATGTTGAGTTATCCTGTCAAACAATGTGAAACATCTTTCATCTTCTCCATGTCTCTGTCTCTGTCTCTCTGTCTCTCTCTCTCTCTCTATATATATATATATACACACAAGCACATATATAACCTATACATTTAACTATATAAGAATGTATGTTAAATTTATTTATATTTAAATATCTTTAAAACATATACAAATATATTGTATATATTTCTTAATCTTTTAAAAGTTTTTAAAAGTTTTTCTGTATAAATTTTGCACATTTCTTATTAACGTTTATGTATTTATTTTGTGTGGTTGCTGTTTTAAATGTTTTTTTCTCTACTATTGTGTTTTCTGTTTGCTTATTGTTTAGTATAGGAAGGCTATTGATTTTTATGTATTGACTTTATATTTTGTTATACAATGAATTATTTTATTGATTGAGCTAATTCCGTCGTTGGTGTTTTATGTATTTCTAGGTATACTGTCATAGCATGCATAAAAATAGTTTTATTCCTCTGATACATCAGCAGGTTATATCTTCATTCTGTTGATTGTTTCTGTTTATGTGTAGAAGGTTTTTAGTTTAATAGAGTCATATTTGTCTATTTTTGTTTTTGTCTCCTGTGGTTTTGAGATCCTAGGCTTATTTGACTAGAACAATGTCCACGAGAGTTTTCCCTAGGTTTTCTTCTAGTATTTTTATTTTGGGGGGTTTTACATTTAAGTCTTTAATCCATTTTCAGTTGATTTTTGTCCATAGTGATAAATAGGGGTCTGGTTTCATTCTTTTTATGTGGCTATCCAATTTTTCTGGCACCATTTATTGAAGCAGTGTCCTTTTTCCAATGCAATTATTTGTTGGCTTTGTCAAAGATCAGTTAGCTATAATTATCTGGCTTTCTTTCTGGGTTATCTATTGTTTACCATTGGTCTATGTGCCTATTTTTATACCAATATTATGCTATTTTGATTACCATAGTCTAAGATGTAATATATTTTGAAGTCAGGTAATGTGATGACTCTAGCTCTGTTTTTTTAGTTCAGGATTTCTTTGGCTATTCAAGTGCTTTTTTGAATTCATATGAAGTTTAGCATTGTTTTATCTACTTTTGTGAAGAATTACATTGGTATTTTGATAGGCATTGCCTTGAATCTCTAGATTGCTTTGAGCAATGTCATTGTAACAGTATTCTTACAATACATGAGCATGCAATGTTTTTCCATTTGGGTCATCTTCCATTTATTTCATCAATGTTTTGTAGTTTTCCTTGCAGAGATTTTTTTTTTTTAACTCCTGGGTTAAATTTATTCCTAGGTAATTTATTTTATTTTTTTTGTAACTATTATTATTGGGAATGCATTCTTTATTGGCTGGATCATTATTGGGAAATAGTAATGCTAACAATTGTACCTTGATTTTGTATCCTGTAACTTTACAGAATTTATCAAGTCAAAGACGTTTTGGATAGAGTCTTTAGCTTTTTTCCAGATATAAGATCATATCATCAAATAATGAGGGAAAATTTGAGTTTCTCTTTTCTAATTGGATGTTTTTATTTTTTTTCTCATGTCTTATTACTGTTGTTAGGACTTCCAGTATTATGTTGATTAGGAGTGGTGAAGGTGGGCATCCCTGTCTTGTTCCAGTTCTTAGAGGAAAGGCTTTCAACTTTTTACCATTCAACATAATGTTAGCTGTGGGTTTATCATACATGACCTTCTATGCCTGGTTTGTTGAGGGTTTTTATCATGAAGGGATGTTGAAATTTATCAAATGCTTTTTTTCTGCCTACTGAGATAATCATCATCGCATGGTTTTTGTTCTTTTTTCTGTTGATATGTTGTATCCAATTTATTTATTTGCATATGTTGAATCATTCTTACATCTCCGGTATAAATCCCACTAGATCATGGTATATTATCTTTTTAATGTGCTGTTAGATTTGATTTGCTAATATTTTCTGGAGGATTTTTGCCATTAGGAATGTTGGCCTGTAATTTTGTTTTTTTGTGTGTCCTTGTCTGATTTTGGTATCAGAGTAATGTTGACCTTGAAGAATGAGTTGGGGAGAATTTCCTCCATCTTGCTTTTAAACAATAGTTTCTGGAGGATTGGTATTAATTCTTCTTTTTACATTCGGCAGAACTCAACTGTTTATCTGGTCCTGGGCATTTCACTGTCAGAAGGCTTTTTATTACTGATTCAATCCAACTACTCATTATTAGTCTCTTCAAGATTTCTATTTCTTCTGATTCAATCATGGTAGGTTGTATGTTTCCAGGAATTTATTCATTTCCTTTAGGTTTTCCAGTTTGTTAGCATATAGTTGTTCATAATAGTCTCTGATAATCTTTTGTATATCTATGATATCAGTATGTCTCTTCTTTCATTTCTGATTTTGTTTACTTGGATCTACTTTTTCTTTCCATGGTTAGTCTAGTTAACAGTTTATCAATTTTGTTTATCTTTTTGAAGAAACAACTTTTTGTTTAATTAATCCTTTGTATTTTTTTAATCTCTATTTTGTTTAATTATGCTCCAATCTTTTTTTTTTCTGCTAATTTTAGTTCTGGTTTGTTCTTGCTTTTCTAGTTCCATGAGGTGCATTGTTAGACTATTAATTCATAATTTTTCTACTTTTTTGATACAGGCATTTATTGCTATACGTTTCCATCTTAGCACTTCTTTTGCTGTATCCCACACATTTTGGTATGTTGTATTTCCATTTTTACTTGTTTTAAAACACTTTTTGATTTCCAGTTTAATTTATTAACTAACTCAATGGTCCTTTAGAAATATGTTAATTTGTATGTATTTGTGTGATTTCCAAAGTTCTTTTTGGTGTTTATTTCTAGTTTCATTCCATTGTGATCTGAGAAGATACCTATATGGTTTTGATTTTTTAAAATTTGTTGTGACTGATTTTGTGCCCTAACATAGTCAATCCTGGTTAATGTTTGATGTGCTGGTGAAATTAATGTATATTCTGCAGTTGTTGGATAGAATTATCTGCTAATGTTCGTTAGGTCCATTTGGTCTAAAGTTTAGTTTAAAGTTAACATTTCTGTATTGCTTTTCTGTCTAGATGATCTGTCTAATGCTGAGGGTGGGGCAATGAAGTCTGTCACCATAACTGTAATGCAGTCTATCTCTTTATTTTTATTTTATTTATTTATTTATTTAGAAACAGAATCTCACTCTGTCCCCCAAACTGGAGTGCAGTGGCACAGTCTTGCCTCACTACCTCTGCCTCCCGGGTTTAAGCTATTCTCCTGCCTCGGCCTCCTGAGTAGCTGGGATTATAGGCACCTTCCACCACGCCCGGCAAATTTTTGTTTTTCTTTTAGTAAAGATGTGGTTTCACCATGTTGGCCAGGCTGCTCTCAAATGCCTGACCTCAAGTGATTCGCCTGCCTCAGCCTCCCATAGTGCTGGGATTACAGGTGTGAACCACCATGTCCAGCCCTATCTCTTGCTTTAGACTGAGTAATACTTGCTTTATAAGTCTGAGTGCTCTAATTTTGGGTTTGTATTTACTTAGAATCCTTACAACCTCTTGCTGGATTGATCTCTTTATGATTACAAAATAAGCTTCTTTGTCATTGTTTTACTCTCTTTGATTTATACTCTATTTTATCTGACATAAGTATAGTTACTCCTGGCTGAGCGCAATGGCTCACACCTGTAATCCCAGCACTTTGGGAGGCCAAGGCGGGTGGATCACCTGAGGTCAGGAGTTTGAGACCAGCCTGGACAACATGGCAAAACCCTGAAACCCTGTCTCTACTAAAAATACAAAAAATTTTAGCTGGGTGTGGTGGCACGCACCTGTAATCTCAGCTACTCGGGAGGCTGATGCAGGAGAATTGTTTGAACCTGGGAGGCAGAGGTTGCAGTGAGCCAAGATTGTGCCACTGCACTCCAGCCTGGGCAACAGAGCAAACTCCATCTCAAAATAATAATAATAATAATAATAATAATAATAATAATAACAATAAGTATAGCTACTTCTGTTCACTTTTGGTTTCTGCTTGCATGGAGTATCTTTTTCTATCCTTTACTTTCAGTCTATATGTGTCTTTACTGGAAAAATTAGTTTCCTTTAAAGAAGCATGTAATTGGATCATGTTTTATTTGGTTTTTTGTAATCCATTCAGACATAATGTATCTTTTAAGTGGAGAATTTAATTCATTTAGGTTCGAGATTATTATTTATATGTGAGGCTTTGTTTCTGTCATATCGCTAATTGTTTTCTGGTTGTTTATTCTTTGTTCTTGTTTTTCTTTTATTGTTTGTCACTGTGCTTTGGTGGATGTTTGTAATGGTAGCATTTGAGTTCTTTCTCTTTCTTCTGTGTGTAATTGTGTTACCAGTGAGTTTTACACTCTTATATGTTTTCACAATGGTAAATATTGTCCTTTCTCTTCCAGGTTTAGAATTTCCTTGAACATTTCTTTAGGGTCAACCTAGTGGTAACACATTCACCACTGTTAGTCTGATATGGTTTCCATCATAGGTGACTAGATGCTTTTCTTTTGTTGTTTATAGAATTCACTCTTTCTCTTCGATTTTAGACAGTCTGACTATAATGTGTCTTGAAGAAGACTGTTTTACATTTTATCTGCCTGGATATCATTGAGCCCCCTGTATTTGCATGTCCAAATCTCTCCCTAGACTTGGGATGTTTTCATCTATTATTTCAGTAAATAGGTTTTCTAATTCTTTCTTTGTTTCTTTGCCCTTTGTATGCCAATAATTTGATATTCAATCACTTCGTGTTATCCCAAATGTCATAATGAATTTGCTCATTCTTTTTTGTTATTATTTTTCTTTATTTTTGTCTGATTCAATTATTTCAAAAGATCTCTCTTCAAGTTCTAAAATTCTTTCTTCTTCCCGAAGGTTTTGAATGTATTTTTGCATTTTCTTCAATGAATTCTTCACTTCCAGAATTTCTATTTTGTTCTTTTTAAAATATCTCTGGCAAAATTTTCATTCACATCCAAAAATTGTTTTTCTGATTTTGTATTATTTTTCAGAATTCTCTTTTATGTTACTGAGCTTTAAAATCAATATTTTGATTTCTTTATCTGGGATTTCAATTTTTTTGGTCATTTAAGATGTATTGCCAGAGCATTAGTAGATTCCTTTGGAGGTGTCACATTTTCTTGATTTTTTTTTATGTTTTCTTTCTTTTTTTTTTGATACATATGCATCTGGTGTAGCAGTTACTTTTTAGTTTTGAATTTACTTTTGTGGGGATCCTTTTCCTAAGGATGTATCTGTGGTGTTAGTTGGGTAAGGTATTTTGGCTTTGATTCTGTGTGCATGCAGTAGTGTGGTCTCTGTATGATTTCTTTGACTGTACACTTTGTTAGTTGCATGTGAAATTCCCTCCGTGGCTTAGGGTAAAATTATTAGTGGAGGTTGGGGTGAAGTTATGCTGGGGACTTGAATGCCAGCTTGGCCAGTCTTCAGGACACAGTGGTGGCAGTGGTGAGATGAGCATGCCTATCTTTGTGCCTCAGGGTGGTGTATACTGCCACCTGTGTTGGCAGTTACCAGTGGGCCAATTCTTGGGCCTCTACGTGGCTTGGTTGAATTCTAGAAGCAATCTCCAAAACCTCGGGCTATGTGCTCTGTCTCAGGGGAGGGGCAAATCTTGGCTAGGTGGGCTTATACTCAGACTTCCCAATGATAAGAGCAAGCACCAGCTCTGGTGTGCAGGAGTGGGGAAATCCTCAGGCTCCAGGTGAAATGCTTGAGTGATAGCAGGTTTGCTAAAGCCCCACCACTAAGAAGAATGGTGCCATCCTTGGTGACCACAGCCTGGGCCACTGAGTAGGAACTGAACATTCCTCTCAAGCCCTATACCCAATGGGCTTTCCCCTAGCGCTGGTGGTGAGAGCTTGCACCTAGCTTACATCTCCACCACAGCTCCAGAAGCCCCCAACCAACTGTTGACTAAGTACCAGCAGTAACTCACATTCCGCTGTGTCCAAGTCTCTGTCCTAGCAGTGCTCACTAGTTGGTACCAGCAACTGCAATCCGTACCTTGCTTGCTTATTATCCCCAGCTGTGGCAGCATGCCCAGCTCACTCCTCAGTTCCATCATTGACAACCTGAGTTTCTATAACACATCAGTTTCAGTGCTGCTAACCTCCAGGGCAGCAAGCAGTCTGCCAAAGCCTAGATTTAAAAACGGCGCTTTGATGTAGCCACTTAGGTCTCAGAAAGGGGATGGGACCCAGCATAAGCTTCCTCTATGGAGCAGTTCTATCTAAGTTCTGAGCAAGTTCTGTCCAGTTCTCACGAAGCTGCCTCCTGGCAGCTTCCTATGTTAGTTTCAGGACTTGGGAAGAGCAAGGGGTCCTCCCATGGCCAGGATTGAATAATTGCATGGTGGGAACATGGGACCCTGGAAGTCTCCCACTCACCTTTTCCCTGCATTCGGAAGTCATTTTCAGCTCCCAGCTGATCCCAGCCAGGAAGGCTGCCTCTCTCCCTTCTTCCATGCCTTGGTGTTTCCTGCCGCTTCTGTGTTGAATTCCAGCATTCTCTTTTGGGTAAACTATTCAAAGTGTGACTGTTATACACTATTTCGGTTCTTCTAAGTGGAAGAGGTGGGCATGAAATGCTTCTGGTAAGTCATTTTGAAGCTTCTTGACATTAATATTCTTGAGCGATTTTGACGCCTGCCTTCCTTCCTTCCTTTTCTTTCTTTCTTTTCCTTCCTTTCTTTCTTTTCTCTCTTTCTTTCTTTTTTTCTTTCTCTTTCTTTCTTATTTTTTTCTTTCTTTTCTTTTCTTTCTTTTCTTTTTTCTTTTCTTTTCTTCTTTCTCCTTTCTTTTCTTTCTTCTTTTTACCAGCTTTAGGTGTCACTGCTATCCCTACTTTCTAAAAGGAATTAGAAAGGATTTTTCATTTTAAGTGCTCTTGAACAATTTATGGCACATTGAAACCATATGGTCTTTGAAGTTTTCATAGAATTCCCTTTTGAAACAATGCATGAATCTGGTTATTGTTTGTAGAGGACTGCTTAATAACTTTTCTATTCATAGTATGGTAATTTATCTGCTTAGACTTTCAAACTCTACCAGGGTCAAATTGGTTATTTGTGTTTCTCAGAAAATTCCTAAGTATGTTCAAATTTGTTTTCATAGACATGTGCAGATTAGAGTTTTTAATTTCTTTTGTTTTATTGGTTATTCATGCTTTGTTATTTCTTATTGATTATTAGCAAATTTTCATCTTGCATTGTTCTACTTCTACGTAAGTACTTTCTCTTAAAATTTATTGTACTGCATTTATGCTGGATGAAGTCCCTTAGCTCCTTACATATCACAACACAATGTTTTTTATTTACCTGGCTTTTTCAAATATCTATAAAATATTTGTCAGTAATTAAAAACATTTATTTTCCAAATTATATTGTATCTGATTAGAAATCTCTTGTCATTATCTTTTTGTTGTCATTTATATATAGCTACCTTTAAGTCAATCTATAAAATTGGTTTCAGGAATTTCATTAGATTGTAATTTGAGTGATTTTCTTTCTGTTTATCCTACTTAGGGCTTGTTTAGCACTTTGAACCTATAAAATTATAGTTTTATTAAAATCAGAAAATTTTTTGCCATTATTTCTCCAAATATTTTATTCAGCCCATTCTGACTCCATTTTTTATTTTGTTTTATTTTTAGGTCTTTATTAACAGTTTTATTAGACTTTTTGATCTTTTTTTCAGGTTTCTTTCTCTATATGATTCTTTTTACATAATTTATACTGCCATGTCCTTAGGTTCACTTATCTTTTTTCAATATGTAGTGTTTAATCTGCTTTTCTTTCTATTTTGAGCATTTTTCCTTTTAATATCTGTTTCATCTCTATAAATTCTGTTGTCTTTAACAAATATACTTTTTATTTTCTATTTTTCAACTTTTAATACCTTTTCCTAGAATGGTTAACGATTTTATTTTGCACCTTTTCATATTTCTCCATCATATTTTTTTTCAGTTGTGCATTTGATATTTGATACTTATATGGCTTTTCTATTGTTCTGTGTAGTCTTTTAAGATACTCTTAATTCTTGGTTCAGATAGTTGTTGCCCACTTACTTGTTTATCAATTTTCCTCTTTCTTTTTCTCTTTAATCTCTTTTGCCTTCTTTTCTGTGACTCAGTAGAAATCTCCAAGTTTGTTTTTCAAATTACGATTACAATTTCCAAAAGGCTATCATTACTGTTAATGATAGTAGACACTTAACTGTTTTATTGTAACTTGCTTTCTTTGATTTTAAAAACTCTTATCTAACTTATTTCTATTGTAATTAATCTTATGTTGTAGACACAAGGTTGATTGGATTAATAATTTAGATTTCCCCTTAAGGGTGCTTATAATAAGAGTATGCTTTACCTGTTGTTACTGTAAAATTAACAAAGTTGAAAATGTGTTTGATCTGTTCTTCTTGTAGCTAGATGTGAACATATGATTCAAGCTTAACCAATGAGGTAATAGCAGAGGTCTGTTGTACATTTTAATGCACAAGGAAAAATGAATCTACCTTAATTAGGCTTGGTCAGGAAACAAAAATTAAAGCACATATTTTACTAGATATATTCACATAAAATGAATGTATTAACTAGATATAAATGCTTGGTAACTGGTCAACAAAGAAAAAAATAAGATCATAATTACATAGGTATCAACCTGTAGAAACTAGTTACTACCCTTGTGTGTGAGGGAATAAAGGGGAATATCTGAAATAATGAAAATTTAAACTTTAGAAGAGTATCCTTGAAAAGCTGAAATTTAGACTTCTCAAAAGGTCATGCTGCTTGATTGGTTCTGTTGTTTCTTAGTCAGGGGCTGTGAGGTTGGCTCTGTACATAAATAGAAAACTGCTCACTGTCTCCACCCACTGTTATGGGAACAAACTGTTGCTGTTATAAAAAAAAGTTAAAGTAATGCTGACATGAAAAAAACAGAAAATCCCTGCTTTCTTAGCCAATAAGTCTATAATGCCCCCATTGGTAGAACATAATAGGGAAACAGCTGACCAATTAGAAATATGATTTGCACATGGAATAGTATGCAACCATAAAAAATAATGAGATAATGTTCTTTGCAGCAACATGGATAGACCTGGAGGCCATTATCTTAAGTGAATTAATGCATAGGTGGAAAAAAATACTGCATGTTCTCACTTATAAGTGGGAGCTAAATACTAAGTAAACATGGACATAATGAAGGGAACAACAGATACTGAGACGTACTTGATAGTGGAGGGTAGGAGGTGGGTGAGGATAGAAAACCACCTATCTGGTACTATGATTATTCCCTTATTATCACTCATTACCTGGGTGATGAAATAATCTGTACATCAAACTCCCATGACACACAATTTACCCATGTAACAAACCTGCACATGTACCCCCTGAACACAAAATAAAAGCTGGAAAGAAAAAAATAAACAAAAACGAAAACAGCCAAAGAAGATAATACAGCCATAGAAAGAATAAAATCATGTCCTTTGCAGTAATATGTATGCAGCTGGAAGCCATTATCTAAGTGAATTAATGCAACAACAGAAAACCAAATACTGCGTGTTCTCATTTGGAAGGGGGAGCTAAACATTGGGTACTCCTGGATGAGAACAGTAGACACTGAGAACTGCTACAGGGGGAAAGGGAGGGAGGCAAAGGCTGACAAACTCCCTATTGGGTACTATGCTTACTACACGGGTGATGAGATCAACAATCCCATAAATTTGTTGCATCCCATAATGCAACAAATTTCAGTATTATGTAATATACATATGTAAGCAAACCCCTCAAATCTAACATAAAAGTTGAAATAGTTTTTAAAAAGCATGGTTTGCAGGGTTCTAGTCCAGCCTCACAAAGCTGACTGGAGAAGTGTGACTTTGGACCTGTGAGTAATAGCTTATTAACTGATAATAATTCAGTAAAAATTGTTGAAAATGGAAGTATATTTTTATCACCCACATCTGAAATTCAGAGCAGGCTCTCTGCACTGTCTAAGTCTATGTCTACATGTACACATCTGTACATCTGTCAAACTAAAATTGTAAGCTATATATATATATATATATATACACTAATATATTTATCTAAACTGAAAATAAAACATTTCTTATAAATTTCAGTATGTTTGGCTGATTAGTTTGACAATATATATGGACTTTGCCAATTGATTTATATTGTAGATATTTTATATAAATTGAGTAGCTAATAGAGTTTTTAGCAGATAGATTTGAAAATATATTTTGGTCAGAGAGGTCACCATGTGAATTTTGCCTATAATATGAAATGGCTTTAAATAATTTAATGACAAAGATTTACATTCACACACACACACACACACACACACACACACACACAGCCTCATTTCCATTAGGTTACACTTGTGAGAAAGATTTCTCAATATTTAAATGTATCACATGAAAAATTTGGGATTGAAAATAGATTCCCAAATGCTGATACAAAACTGTGTTTGAAGGTCAGCCTTTTGTGTCAGCTTGGCTAGGGTACAATCCCTAGATATGCAAACACTAACTTTCTTATTTCTGTGAAAGTATTTTTTTTAATTTTTAATTTCAATTTTTGTGGGTACATAGTAAGTATATATATTTATAGGGTATATGAGATATTTTGATGCAGGCATGCAATGCATAATAATCACATCAGTAAAAATGGGTTATCCATCCCCTCAAGCATTTATCCTTTGTGTTACCAACAATCCAGTCCTACTCTTTTAGTTATTTTCAAAGGTACAATTACATTATTATTGACTTTAGTCACCCTGTGTTGTTGTCAAATACTAAATCTTATTTTTTCTTTCTAATTTTTTTGTGCCCATGAACAATCCCCACTTCATCCCTACTTTTCCACTATGCTTCCCAGTCTCTGGTAACCATCCCTGTACTCTCAATAGCAATGAGTTTAATTATTTGGATTTTTAGATTCCACAAATAAGTGAGAAGATGTGATGTTTGTCTTTCTGTGCCTGGCTTATTTCCCTTAAAATAATGATCTCCAGTTCCAGCCATGTTGCTCTGTATGACAGGATTTCATTCACTAGTGCTCCATTGTGTATATGTACCACATTTTCTTTATCCATTCATCTGTTGATGGATACCTTGGTTGTATCCAAATCTTGGCTATTGTGAACACTGCTGCAACAAACATGGGAGTTTAGATATTTCTTTAATATACTGATTATCATTCTTTCGGGTCTATACTCAGCAGCAGGATCAATGGATCATATGGTAGATGTATATTTAGTTATTTGAGGGCCTTCCAAACTATTCCCCACAGTTTTTTGTACTAATTTACATTCCCACCAACAATGCACAAGGGTTTCCTTTCCTCTACATCCTCACCAGCATTTGTTATTGCCTGTCTCTTGGCTATAAACCATTTTAACTGGAGTGAGATGATATCTCATTGTAGTTTTGAGTTGCATTTCTCTGATGATCAATGATGTTGATCACCTTTTCATATTCCTTTTTGCCATTTGTTTGTCTTTTTTTCAGAAATGCCTATTCAAATATTTGACTCATTTTTAATTGAATTATTAAAATTTTTCCTATATAGTTGTTTGAGCTCCTTATATATTTTGGTTATTAATCCCCTGTCAGATGGGTAGTTTGCAAATACTTTCTCCCATTCTGTAGGTTGTCTCTTCACTTTATTGATTGTATCTTTTGCTTTGCCAATTTTTTTAAACTTGATAAAATCCCATTTGTCTATTTTTGCTTTGGTTGCCTGTGCTTGTGGAGTCTTACTCAAGAAATTTTTGCCTAGCTCAATGACCTGGAGAGTTTCTGCATGTTTTCTTGTAGTAGTGTCATAGTTTGAGGTCTTAGATTTAAGTGTTTAATCAATTTTGATTTGATTTTTGTATATGGTAAGATATAGGGGTCTAGGTTTATTCTTTTGCATATGGATATTGAGTTTTCCCAACAACCTTTATTGAAGAGACTGTCTGTTTCCCAGTGTATGTTCTTGGCAACTTTGTTGAAAATGAGTTCACTGTAGGTGCGTGGATTTGTTTTGGGGCTCTCTATTCTGTTCCATTGGTCTATGTGTCTTTTTTTATGCCAGTATCATACTGTTTTGGTTACTATAGCTCTGTAGTATAATTTTAAATCGGGTAATGTGACTCCTCCAGTTTTACTATTTTGCTTAGGATATCTTTGGTGATTTTGGGTCTCTGGTGGTTTCATATAAATTTTAGAATTGCTTTTCCTATTTCTGTGAAGAATGTAGTTGTTATTTTGATAGGAATTTCATTGAATCTGGAGTTTGCTTTGTGTAGTATGAATATTTTAACAATATTGATTGTTCTACTCCATTAACATGGAGAATCTTTCCATTTTTTGATGTCCTCTGCTTTGAAGGTATTTTGTAGATGTGAATAAAGTCCATAACCTGTTTCTTTAAAGCAGATTATTCTACATAATCTGGTGGACTTGATTCAATAAACTGAAAGGCTGTAAAAACAGAGCTGAGGCTTCCCTAAAGAAGAAATGTTGCGCATTGATAGCTGTATGTTCTACCAAATAGTCCCAGGAGATCATTCCTGACAGACTGCCCTATACAATTTAGTCTGCTGAGCCAGCCCCCACAATCATTTAAATCAAAGATTTGCATTTAATCTCCTAATATATATCTTCTGTTGGGTCTGTTTCTCTGGTTGGATTCTAACTATCACAGGTTGTCTCATTCTAAAAATAAGTAAATTTATATTCATGGATATGTAAATTGATTGAAAAAACCTATTTTAATCTCATAAATTTTTTCCAGTTAAGAAGTTACTTATTATAAATAATTACTTTTAATGTAGTGTGTTCATATTCATGATTATATTTTAATATTAAATATTGTCACAGGATCCTTGAGATGTTGCTTTTTTCCAGCTGGAAATCTCTGTGGCCGTTGGCTCCTTTGCCTGAGTTTTGCTCGGGCTGCTGGGTTCATTCCACCCACTCAGCCTGGCAGGCTACACTTAGCCTGCTCTATCGCATGCCTGCCAAGGGTGAGCCACGTACGGAGGGACGAGTGGTGTGTGAACGAAGGAGCATGGGGTCCGGCCACTGCTGCGGTGGGGCAGACAGCTTCAGGCACCGGCATGGGTGTCGGCTCCCTTCCATACTACGGCTGGACCATGTTTACCACAAGCAGCTTCCACGGCTAGCACAGGGGAATGTGGTGGCACCTGGAAGCTTGGAGACGCCAGGAACTACAGAGCCCAAAAGAGTGTCACAACCCTGGTTTGGGATACCCAAAGGGCCACAGCTCTTCTCTCCTCTTCTCTTCCTCTCATCGTCTGCAAAATGGGGAGTAAGGGATGTGTTTCAGCCCTGTTTGTGTTACAGCCCTTTCAGCCCCACCATTCAGCGGGGCCTGAGTTCTTGTCCCAGGTCCAGAAAGAATGAGGTATGCAGACGAGTGGAGGGTGAGAAGGTGAAGAGGTGCTTTATTGAGTGACAGAACAGCTCAGAGGAGACCTACAGGGGTAGCTCCTCTCTGCAGGCAGATCATTCTGATGAGACTCCAGCTCTCAGCAGAGAGGAGACCTACAGTGGGTAGCTCCTCTCTGCAGGCAGGGCATCCCAAGTGTTCAGCTCTCAGCAGAGAGGATACCCACAGTAGGTAGCTCCTATCTGCAGACAGGTCATCTTGTCCACTGCCCAAGTCTGGCTGAGTCCAGGGGTTTTTATGGGTTTCAGAGGGGAGAAAATGTGTGCTGATTGGTCCATGGGCAGCAATGGGCAGGCCTGGAAAAAGCACCATAAGCTCTCACTCCAGTCCATGGAACTGGCAGCCTGGCCCCAAGGCCTCAGGCCCCCTTGCTGGAAGGTGGGGTTTCACTGGGAACCCGCCCCTTTCTGGCCAGGAGGCTGTCTGCCTACTGCCGCCATTAATCTGCCATCTATTGTGCTCAGGGCCCCCAGGCTGTTTGTGCTGAGGGGCGCCTGCAGACCCACGCAGAGCTGCCCCTAGACCCCACTCGGCCTCCTTCCCATGCTTGTCAGTGCCCAAAGTCTGATGGGGTCCCAGGCGGCAGGGGTTGGCATGTCAGTGCTGCCCCAAGCTGCACACACCCAGCTGTGTCATATCAGCGTCCAGCCTCGTCCACAACTTTGTTCCAAAATCAGAGCAGGCGCCAGGAGCAGGGAGAGGCTAGGCAGTAGGAGTAGGCACTTCCAAGCCTGCAGGGGAGGGGAATTTACTGGGCCCTCGGGAATGCAGAGATGCCTGGGTCTGCAGCCATGGTTAGGCAGCTGCAGTTGTGTCCAGTAGGGTGGGGCTCCTGCTACTCCTACTTGGAAGTGGGTGTGGCTTCTGCCCGTTCCCAGCTCCAGCTGGCTCCGTGGAGCACGGCAGGCCCAGCTGCGCCTCCCTCACTGCAGTCGTCATCTTAGCTGTAGCTGCTGGAGACAGGCTGCCGCTGCCATCAATATGACCAAAAATGCTGAAATTTTTCGTGTTTACTTGAGTTACAGGAAATTTGAACAATTATTTTAATTGATAAAAATATTTTCATTATAGAAAAGTATGATAGGGTGATATATATATATACAAATATATTTATAATTATTATACAATTTTGGGTGTCAAATAACTATTATATAAATTTTATAACATGCATTTTAAGAAGTTGTGTTTCAACATTTTGTAAATGTCAACATTTACAAAAAATCCAAGTTATATTATCTAGAGATATTTCAACTTATAGTAATATGATAAAATATTCATATTTTAACTTAAAGTAAGAGAACATAGCTTTTCAATTTTCTGTGAGAGGATATCTAAGCAAGTTGTTGGCATCTATATCATGAGATCTTCTTTTCCAAATCCTTCTCCTAGAGGCATGCCGTTGTAACTCAATGAATGAAATTCTGTCTGCTATAAGAAGCTATTGTCAGGAGCTGTAAGAAAATGCTCTGAGCAGGATACATGGTCTGAGGTTTTTGTTCTCTTGCATATCCATTTCCAAACAATACATTGGATGTAAGACCCCCTGATGTCACTTAAATTCTTCGACAATCAACCAGCCAGTCCAGTCCTCCCCTGTAGAAGAATAAAGAGGGTATTACCTAGACTTCTATACTAAAAAGTGGGGATGGTATTACATTATGCTGCCATTACATAACTGGAATTTGTCAAATATTATCAGAAAAAAGTGTTTAAAAACCACAGTGGCTTTTGACAGCTGCCATTTACTAGCAATGATTTTATTCTTTTGCTAGTAGAGCAACCATACTTAAATAAATATTGACCAGAAATATTTTTACATTATTAAGTTTAATTTACATATTTTGTATCTAAAAATATTTATGATACTGTCTAAGTTGCTGGTGTGCTTGCCCAAAAGCTGATCATTTTATATTCTATACACGGCATATTATATTTCCTATTTATTAAGTAATTGCCCACAATTAGAATTTTATTGGTTATGTGATTAACAAAAACTCCGTAGAAAATTCTATTTACACTTAATTGACAATATACCAACATAAGTTTTAAAAATATAAATAACGGAGACATATATGATAGTAATACTTTTCAATATGGTACAATATCTACACATATTTATTAAAATATTATTTTTAGGAAAATTATGTAGAAAGGGAAGTATTATGAACCAAGCTTCTCACACTATATTTCAAAGAAATTTTGCAAACATGAAAGCTATTTTTAACATTGCTAGAAGCTTTTAACGTACTAATTCTGACATAAAATTCTCCATATAAAAGAATATTAAGAAGAAAAAAATTGGAAACACAATGATAAAAGTGATTATACAAGGAAGAAGTATAGAGTTTTTTTCTTTCTTCCAATTTTTTCAGTATTCCAAACGTTCTTCAAGGATTTTTTGATAATTATAAAAAAGAAAAATATTATTTTAAAGTTATTACTAAGTGTATTGCATATGGTCCTTTAAATTGTTTTATATACTCAAATTTGAGATGTCAACTTGATTGCCAATAATATAAAATTTTTAATAATATGCAATAATAAATGTGGCCTCTCCCTTTATTTTTATTAAAACATAAATATGGTTTCAGTTATAAAATATGGATTTCTCTCATTCTTACTTATCCAACAAGTATAAATGTATTCTGAAAATTCCCTAGAAATTGAAGACATGCTATGTTCACTAGATTAGATTTTTTCAAAATTTTGTAATACTGAAAAACCCAGTGGAATCCATATTTTATTATCTCTTGTTTCTACTTTTTATTTTTGATGGTATTCTGCTGCTCCCCACATGAATGACATTATAACAGAATTTAATTCATCAATTTCTTATCTCATGTATGTGACTCTTTGTGAAAAATTGTACAAAGAGGAAGGAACTAGTGCTACCTAATGGCTAAAGAAGTTTAGTAAGAAGTATGGGTCAGCGCGGTGGCTCATGCCTGTAATCCTAGCACTTTCGGGAGCGGTAGCTCATGCGTGTAATACTAGCACTTTTGGAGGCCGAGGCAGGCATATCACCTGAGGTCAGGGGTTCGAGACCAGCCTGGCCAACATGGTGAAACTCCATCTCTACTAAAAACACAAAAATTAGCCCGGTATGGTGGTGGGTGCCTGTAATCCCAGCTACCTGGGAGGCTGAGGCAGGAGAATCACTGGAACCCAGGAGGCAGAGGCTTCAGTGAGCCAAAATCAAGCCACTGTACTCCAGCCTGGACAATGGAGTGAGACTCTGTCTCAAAAAAAAAAAAAAAAAAAAAAAAAAAAATATATATATATATATATATATATGATTGGGGAAGATTCTCCTTTTCACAGTAGTTTGTACGAAAATTTTTAGGATTGTTACCATGATAGGGGTAACTAAAGAAAATTTAGAAGAATAATGATTTTTAGGCAATAATACTATTAGCCTGTCTAGGCCCATATAATATTATACATTCATCAAAGTTTTTACCCATGTAATGTTAAGAATTGCTTTTAGCACGTATAATCTATATAAGCATTTCTAGTTCATATTCAGCTGTATGCTATGCCAAGTGTGATAGCTTTTTTGCTGAAAACAAAACAAAACAAAACAAAAAAGTGCTTAAGAATCAAAGTTTGAAATGCTACATAGTAGGTCATCATGAAATATCATGAAGCATACTAGCACAGAAAATATTTGGAATTAATAAATACAGATATTATGATTCTAAAACTTATTTTAAATGCTATCCTTACCAATATCCGCTGATGTTAACAAATGCTTGATTGTATTATAGTTTTAGTTTTTTAAGCTTCCACTAAACTAACCCTTTAGCATCTGCAATCTATGCTTTTCTTTAGTCAGTTCATAGGTGTTTATTAAATGCCACCAATAATGTTTGCTAATGCATTTATATATGAAATTGACAAATTTATTAATGAAGTTTTACCAAATGTTTTTAATTATTTATGTCCCCTTAAAAGGATATGTTGAAGTCCTAACCCCTGGTACTTCAGAGTGTGTTTTACTTGGAAATTGAGTTTTTATAGACGCAGTCAAGTTAAAATGAGGTCATTAGTATGGGCCCTAATCCTATATGATTATTGTCGTTATAAAAAAGAGGAAATTTGGACACAGAGAGAGACGTGCAAACAGAGAGAACACCATGGGAAAATGAAAACAGAGATCAGGGCGATGTATCTATCAGCGAAGTAACACCAAAGATCACCCGCAAACCACTGGAAGATAAGAAAGAGGCATGGAGGTCGGGCGCGGTGGCTCACGTTTGTAATTTTAGCGCTTTGAGAGGCCGAGGCAGGCGGATTGCCTGAGCTCAGGAGTTCGAAATCAGCCTGGGCAACACGATGAAACCCTGTCTCTACTAAAAATACAAAAAAAAATTTAGCCGGGCGTCGTGTTGTGCGCCTGTAGTCCCAGCTACTGGGCAGGCTGAGGCAGGAGAATGGCTTGAACCCAGGAGGCGGAAATTGCAGTGAGCCGAGATCGCGCCTCTGCACACCACACTCCAGCCTGGGCGACAGAGTGAGACTCCGACTCCAAAAAAAAGAAAAACAAGAAAGAAAGAGGCGTGGAATAGATTCTCTTTCCGCTAGTAGAAGGAATTAACTTTGCCAACATTTTCATCTTGAACATCTAGCCTCCAGAATTGTGAGAAAATTAATTTCTGCTCACAACCACTCAGTTTGTGGTACGTTGTTTTGGAATCCCTAGCAAACTAATGCACCAACTAACGTGAAATATAAAATGTTAATATATATTTGTAGATGATCAACTATATATGATCAACTATATATGACTTAAACTAATTCCAAACTTAAACTAAGTCAATGATCAACTGTATATGACTTAAACTAATTCCAAAGTTTTGTCTAAACAGTAAAAATAATTAAATGTACTTATTCAAAATTCTAATTAAAACAATGTTTATGAAAACAAATTCATTTTTAAATTTCAGTATACAAAGTACAGAATGTACTACAAAGTATTGCAACATGTGAAATTCAAAATCATTTATAGAAACATCATTAATTAATTCAGAACATTAATCAATGGTCTTCACACATTTTTAATTGTTATTATGGGCACACTGAGATTCAAAAGTCACTGGAAAAACAGAAATCAAATTATGAATAATTATACTCTTTGTAATAACATAAATTGAAATATTCTGAAATTTCCAAAGACTTTTGGGCACAGTTCTGGAGGAAGGATAAAGGATATTTATGGGAAAAAGAGTCAAAATAATTTCCATTTCAGGCATTAGGAAACTGTAATTGCTTGGAGGCAGGCAAGTGTACAGTAAATGAGGAATTTCATGGAGTTTGTGTAGAGTGCTTACAAATTATAATCTCCTAAATTTCACATTTAATATTAGATATATTTGGTCATGCCAAAACACTGATGAGATGAAAAATAACACTATCAACCTGTGTTATTATATTATTACATCCATCGAATTTGAAAGGAGGATGTCATCCTTAACTGTGACAATGAAGTCATTACAGCTTAAATTAGTGAAATAAATAGAAACCAGATAACTTAGCACCTATATTTGATGAAGAATTTATGGAATGTAATGGTTGACATGGTAAAGCTAAGGAGTAATGAAAATAGGTAGCTATGTATCTGGAAATATCAAAAAACTGTAGATTTTAATTATTCAAGGGAGTAATATTTAACAAGGTAAACGTCTTAGTTATAATATGAAATTGTATAATAAAAGATAATTTTAAAAATTGTATCTATGTCAATTTGTGTAACAAAATTTTCTTCATGTTTGAAACCAAATGATATCCAAATATCAATCTTATGGGAATAAATTAGTTTTCTTAAGATTTCAATCAAAATCACAGATTCAGTTGATTTTGACACCTAAAGACAAAACAGTTTTGGAAAATGTCCAGCTTCTGTTGTAACCTAAAGTATGTTTATTCAAAAGGTGTGTGAACTTTGGTCCAATTTATTCCAATTAGGGAATGGATTATATATTGTACTTTGCGAATCCAGCAATAATTCCTTGCTCCAAACTCTCTGTTTTGTGTTCTTTTTATGTATTCCTTTCTAAACCTGGCATAGGCTTAAAAATTGGAAGAAAGGGTCAAATGTAACAGACATGACCTGTCATCTGCATCTCTTATAAATGATGCAAATATGTTTCTCTTAGGTCAGAGATCAGATGTCACCATTCACCATGCAATTATAGAGTCTGTACCTTGAAAAATGCCAGAAAAGAATCATTAGACTTCTCTTGCCATGAGCAGAAAAATAACCTGCTCTCTGGAGTAATAAGCAGTTTAATTTTGAACTTCTACTGCCAATTTTAAAGAGGAATATTAAAAAGTTTAATGTAATATAAGTTTTTAAAAAAGGTATACTTTTAAAAACAGAAATATTGGCAGATTAGTATTTACTAACCGAAGAAAAATTAAAAGGCCAAAATTGTTGTCCTTTAAGAGTAAATAGCTTAAAGCAAATGGCAATTCTGTATGTAAAATAAACAATTACCTTTTAAAAATAAACACATTTCAATTATTTTGTTATGATGGTAATCTCCAAGCACAGCCACACTAGAGTTTACATCTGTTAAAAGTGATTACATATTAGGCTTCTCCCTCTCATTTCCATTATCATTAAGTGGCTTTTGCTGATGCTTCAGTTTTCAGAAAAGATAAGTTAATAAAACTAGTAGATTCGAAATATCTTGTCTCTGTGATGTCTCTCTTAATCCATGGGATATTAATTTGCTGTTGTATATTCATTTAACTTCAAAGTTCCTATAAATTTATCTCAGTTATTTGCCTGCAGATTGCTTCAATTTTTTTTTCATCTTTGGAGACTGTAACAAATCTTGACTATTTGCTAAGAAATACTATTACTCTTATTACTTGATAAGAAATTAAGTTTTGTTATAAATTTTTCTCTGAAAATGGAAATACAAAATCTTATTTATGCTATACTAAATAATATTCGGAATTTTCTTACGAGATTGTATAGCATGCAAAAGCAATTTATTACAAAATCTTATATTTATGTAAATACACATTCATACAGATCTGTGGTTAAAATTAGCTTCTAACAATTACATCATTTCTTACAATTCACAGCCCTCCTGTTGTTAATGATGAAATCAAAGGAGGAAAAAAGTATCATGGGGAAACCAATCATCATTAATCCAATGTGTTTTTATATCTTCTAGCTTGAACTCTAACACACCTATAAAAAGCATCTCACTAATTTTACCCTTAATTATTGTACTAACAATAATGCTAAGTCATACAAGTATAGATGTTATGTAACAGATTATTAAACACATATAATCAACTTACTCTTATAATAAATATCTGTTATTAATGTTACTATTTCTACTTTTAAGAGAACTAAAGTATAAGGTAGTAAAGTAATAATCCTTTCTATTCACTCCTATGTCACTTTTTCATTCATTCATTAACTCATTCATTGTCTGTTCAATAAAAATTAGGTGTTTACCATGTGCCAGTCATTCTGCTAATTGCTAGGCACTTAAGGCTGAGTCTTGTAGATGTTTGCCTGTGTTAGAAAACAGGTGAATCTGTTTGATAAATTAAAAGGTCACTGCTATTGTACTTCATTAAGTAGTCTTCAAAGATTTTCTAAATACATTTTTCAAAATTCTCAGTTATTCACAAGTATAAAAATTAGTGTGTAGAACATACATTAATTACTACATAGTTCAGATCACATAGCTGCTTTATACTATATTTAATTTTCAATTAACAGATGCAGCAACTGAGGGAAAGTAAGAGTTAAGAGCAGTAGCTCTGTAATCAAACCATCTGGTTTGAATTAGTCATTTATGTAGTGATATTGGATTCTGAGTCTCATTTTTGCCATGTTTCAAGAGTGAATAATGATATTAGGCTTATTATGAAGATATAAATTGCTTGATAATGCCTGCCTTTTAAGAAGTACCGAGAAAACATGCACCTCCTACCCAAAACAAAACATCCTCATTTTATATTACCTATGTTAAATAGGGCCCTGACTATTCAGTAACTCAAACTAAAAACTATGAATTCTTATCAACTATCTCATATCTCTCAGTCTTGCGTTAAGTAGTCAGTCATCAAGTCTTACAATTCTACTTCCTATATTTCTCTTACTTAGAACCTCTGTTTTCACATGGGCACTGATTTAGTGTAGACTCTTGCCACTTTTACTTGGAGAATTTAAGCAGATATTTCATATAAATTTAAAAACATATAATTTCTAAGATTTAGTGGGAAATAAAATTTGAATTACTAATTTTACTCACTTGGAGCTTAAGATAAAGTTTGGGAAACATAACTGTTTAAAATTATAAAGATATTTTAAAAATTAAACTTTGATGTATTGTTGTTATTGATTCCACAGTCATATATGATTGACAAACAAAAAACATACACAATAATTAATATGGGAGGGTTGAAAATCAGGGATTATCATTAATTAAAAGTTTTTAGGAAAGCTTATAATTTAATGGTGATTTGACTTGGCTACATTTCGATCAGCCACAAATAGTGAGCATGCTATATTACTAATTCTAATATCAAATAAAGTAGCACTGCTTGATGTATCTAAAATTTACATTTTATTGAAATTATATTCCCTCATCCCTAGGCAGTAAGAGATTCAGGTGTTTGGCTTCTTTATTCCTTTTGTCCTGTAAAGCAGTTTCTGGGAGACATCATGATATGGTTTGGCTGTATGTCCCCACCCAAATCCCATCTCGAATTGTAATCCTTATAATCTGTGGAGGAAGGAACTTGGTCGGGGGGCGGTTTCCCCATGCTGTTCTCGTGATAGTGAGTAAGTTTTCACGAGATCTGATGGTTTTAAAAGGGGCTCTTCTCCACCTCACTCTCACCTGCCACCATGTAAGACGTCTCTGCTTCCCCTTCAACTGTGATTGTAAGTTTCCTGAGGCCTACCCAGTCATGTGGAACTGTGAGTCAATTAAACCTCTTTTCTTTATAAATTACCCAGTCTCAGGTAGTATGCTTAAAGCAGTGTGAAAATGGACAAATATACATTAACAGCCTTAGCAGCCTGCATGATGAACAGCCTTCAAAGGCTGGCTCGGGATGCTGGAGCACAGAGCAGGAAGTGCTGTTGGTTTCTAATTAGTTTCGTAAATGAGTGAAATCTGAGAACCAGCTCAAAACTGTTATCTCACTGAGGACTTTCCTATCACTTTCTAGGCATTGATGGTTGTTCTCTTTTATGCAGTACGACTATACTTTTGCCCTAGTTTTTGGTTTCACACTGTTTAGTAAATATTAATATTCCTCCTTTCTCAAGAAAGCAACTGTATAAAAGCAAGAGAATGTTCTTTCAAATTCAGTACCAGGTAGCATGCATTAGTAATCACTCACTAAGAGATTTTTGACTGCATAGTTTTACATTATTCATCACTCAATTTGTTTTTTTTTTTTTCCAGATGACAATATAGCAAGAACTTGTTTTTTTCTTTTTTTTTTTTCACACTGGGTTGATTTTCTTTTTTTTTTTTTGGACTGAATTGAATAGATGTGTGGGTATTTGCTAGATATAGCTCTATTTTGAATAATAGCTGTACTAAGCTGGCTTCAACTGATAGCTGTTTTCCATGTCCTATAGGCATTTTGATTGATTTTTACAATTCATGGGTTCTTTAAACTTGCCTGAACACAATTCTTTCTCTACACACATCAAAGAACACACACTGTATTTCATTATCTCAATTGATCGTTTTAACTTCTAATCTTCATGGAAGGGTTCCAATCACTTCCCTGACTCCTTAAGCCTTTTACTATTGTTAGTCCAAACCTCTTGCTCATTTTATTTTCCAAACCAAAATACTTCAAATGCTAAATTTAAAGAATGGGGAACATATATATGTTTTTGCTCTCTCTTGCCTCTAGGCTTTTTTGATGCTTCTGCCTAAATAAGGTCTTTGACAGTCCACAAATTGTATACTCCGAATTCTTGCAGTCAGTTTACGATAAACATAGCAAACATGTAATATCCATAATATTTTGAAATACATGCTGATTTAAATGCCCATTTCAGGAAGTTGGTCTCAAACCTCACCAAACCTCATATACTCCTATAACCACAGAGAAAGTGAAAATAATTTTTTTGCCTTTAAAAGGATAAACTATAGCATTGTGTGAAAACAGGATTATTGTAAAACCTGTTTTGAAATAATTTTAATTATAAAAATGTTGCAAAAATAATAAAAATAATTCCCATAAATCCTTTTACCCACATTACTCAAATGCAAGTATCTTACCAAGTGATATTTCATATCATTCTCTTGCTTTATATGTATATTAATTTCTGAATCCTTTGAAAATAATTTGTTGAAGTACCATGTGCCTCTAAACAATTCAATGTGTTTCTTAAATACACAGACTTTTTAAATAACCTTAGAAAAATTATCAAAATAAGGATATTAACATTTATACAATAATATATCTGATAGGCAACAGTTTTATTAAAAATGTATTACTTGTGCCAAAACCACCTCTATACCCAAACAATCAAAATAGTATTTTTTATTTTTTCTGATCTAGCAATCCATGGTATATTGAGTTATCCCATCTCTGCTTCCTTTAAACTGGAGGTGTTTCACAATCTGTTTTTGCTTTTCTTGAACTTGATATTTTTGAGGAGTACAGGGTAATTATTTTGTAGAATGTCCCTCAAATTGGGTGTGCCTAGTATTATCTCTGAATAGAGTCATGTTATGCATTTTCACAGAAGTGATATTTTATTCTCAGTGTATTACATCGGGAGGTAAATGATGTTTGTTGAACCTATTACTGGTGATATTAACTTGGATTACTTGGCTAAGGTGGTGTTTACCGAATATTACAATGTAAAGTTAAGAATTTTTCATTTTTATTTAGTAAGTTCCACTCACTACTTTTATCATTCATTGATGATCCTTGTCTGTAACTATTATTACTATGGCGGTTGCTAAATGGTGATTTTCTAATTCTATAATTCATTTTACATTTAATAGATGGAATTATATCACAAGAAAAACTTTCTTTGCTCCTCTATTTATATATTGATTTATTTATATCAGCATGGGTTTATGGATTCTAATTTTAGTCAACAGGTTATAATCACTTATTATAATTAATAGTCTTAAACATAAAGTGTCAGTGGAGGATGATACTATCAAGGTTGTCCATGTATTCTTTTGATGTATTCTGTCTTTTCTTTAATATTTTCTTACTTTCTGTCACAAAAGCATACATTTTATTCTGGTATTTTTCTTGCCCAAGCTCAGAAGAAACCGTTTATGAAAGGAGACTTTGTTCCTTTTCATGAAAAAAGTTAGAGTAATGATCTGAGTGTCTGGTATGCTTATTTCTATTTGTGGGGCAGTGCTTCTATTACCTCTCCATGGACAGAGCTAGTAAATGCATGAACATACAAAGGGAGATATACGCATATAAAATATAAATTTATCTATTCCATGTGAAATATATTTTATATTATTATTATTTTTTTTTATTTTTTGACACAGGGTCTCACTCTGTAGCCCAGGCTGGAGTGCAGTGGTGCAATCTCTGCTCACTGCAACCTCAGCCTCCCAAGTATCTGGGACTACAGTTGCATGCCACCATTCCTGGCTAAATTTGTACTTTTAGTAGAGATGAGAATTTCACCATGTTTACCAGGCTGGTCTCGAACTTCTGCCCTCAAGTGATCCACACACCTTGGCCTCCCAAAGTGCAAGGATTACAGGCGTGAACCACTATGACTGGCACATTTTATATTAATTGACAAATTTCATAAATATACAACAAACTGAAGATGTTACAAGAAAAAAAATGGAGAAGCTGAATAGTTCTATACCTATTATAGGACATACATTTATTACTATTCTATTTTCAGTAAAGAAAGCTGTAGATACCAATGGTATTCCTGCTGCAAGCTGTCTAATATACAATACAAATAACACCAATATTAAACTCTTTCAAATATATAAAATTCAAACATTTTCCAACTTGCTTTTTGAGGTCAGAATAACCATGATAGTATATTTATTTAAAAAAAACTCACAAAAGTAACAGTTCACTTTCTTTCATGTACATAGGTACAATACCATCAAATAAAGTCCAGTGACATATGAAAAAGGCAGTACATTATGGTCAAGTGGTGATTATTCCAGAAAAGCTAGAATGTTTTGTATTTCATAGTCAGTGTATTTCATCACAGTAGCAAGAGGAGGGGGAGAGAGAGAAAAAGAGAGAGGGATCAAGATCACATCATCGTCTCAGTATATATGAAAACATCATTTTAAATAATTTAGCAACCGCACATGATTAAAGCCTCTTAAAAATCTAGGACAGAAAGGCTCTTCCTTAAATGTATGAGAAATAGCTCAAAATTCTGGAGTAAACACCAGGCTAAATAGTGGATTATTAAGTTTGGCTCCTAAAATTGGAAATAGTTAGAGGATAACAATAATGGCTACTTCTCTTCAACATTGTGCTGGATGTCAGTGCCAGTACAATAAGGCAAGGAAAAAAATGTGTGTGTGTGTGTATATATATGTGTGTGTGTGTGTATGTGTGTGTGTGTGTGTATGATGTTTCCAAATAAATAATCATTCCTAAATGACATGAATGCATATGTAGAAATCCCAAATAATCTACAAATATTATAATAAATTAATAAATTTAATAGAATAGCTGCATAAAACATTAGTAAATAAACAAATAAAAACCAAATCACTTTTATTTCTGTACACCAGAAGCAAACAACTAGAAAATAAAATTTTTAAATTACCATTTATAATAGCATGAAAACATTAATATCCTGGAATAAATCTAAGGAGATGTATGCAAGGTATATACACTAAAAATTATGTAATGCTCAATAAATTAAATAATATTTTAATAAATAAAAAATACATAGCATTCATGGGATAGATTACCCAACATAGTAAAGATGTAATTGCTTTCTTAATCAGTCCATGGATTCAATGAAATTTTAATCAAAAGTTCAGTAGTTTATGTGCAGTATACAAAGCAAATTCTAAAGTTTACAGAAAAATGAAAAGGGCCAAGAGAAACTGAGACAGTCTTGAAAATAATGTATCTGGATGCCTTGTGTACTACCAGATGTTGAACTTATTATAGATCTATAGTAATTCATGCAATTTAATATTAATTAAAGATCAATGTATTAAAAAATCTATAATCTACTTGTGGCATACCAATATGTGGCAGAATACAAATATGCAAATTCTGCTATACATAGAAAACTAAAGCCGATCAGCGGACATGCTGTCAACATTGACCTCTATTGAATTCAGCAATTCAATTATTTATAAACCTTTCATACAGATTTTTATAAGCTGAATTGTGACCCACAACCCCCCCGCCGACCCCACCAATCCATATGTTAAAGTCCTAACTCCAAGTACCTCAGAATGTAAGCGTATTTGGAGATAAGTCCTTTAAAATAGTAATTAAAGTAAAATGAGTTCATGAGGGTGAGCTGTAGTTTAATATGAGTGAAAAGATTACAAAAGGAGATTAGGACACAGACAGACAGACACAGAGGAGAAGACCAGATTAAGAAGCCAGAGGAAGATGGCATCTACAAGCCAAGGAAACAGATCTTACAAAAAATCAACTTTACCAACACCTTGATCTCAGACTTCTAAGCCCCAGAACTGCGAGAAAATAAGTTTATGTTGTATAAGCCGCCTAGTTCATGATACTTATGGCAGCCCTAGCAAACTAATACACAGATCTAATTTAAAATGAACAGACAATTGAAAAGGGTGATTTAAAAATTCCCATTTGTATTGGCAATGAAGAAAATAATGTACCTAGGACACATAATTTTGATTTGTTATTAAAATGCTATATAAAAGTCAACTTAAAATGAAGATATGTAACATTTTCATGAATCTGAAGACTCAATATTGTAAGAGTCTTGACATCAAAGCAATTCCAGGAAATACTGTAGTAACTTTTTAAATCCATTTGATGATGTGATGAGGAAATTTTGCTGTGTTGCCGCGATATGATTCATCTTTCTAATGTTATGCCTTAAATAATTAAAATATACGTTTTCAAATGTATTTTTTCAGTTCTTAGCATAGTAACTAAATTTCTTTTAAATTTGTTGATACTTCTCATAATAATAGTATTGTTCAACTTACACTTTTCTATTGCCTTTTCCCGCTGTTCAAGCCCAGTGTGCCCTGGACTATGACATTCTTGGATACAGTTTTAATTTTTTTGGTACTTGTCTGGTTTCAGAAACTTCTTTTTTTCTAGAGTCCAGGGATTATTTTTCCTTCCATCTTTTTAAGATTTGTTCTCTTTGTCTGTATTTTCTCTTTTTCTTTCTCTTTTTATCTCCTCAGTATTTATGTCTTCGAATTGGAAAAGGGACCTATCTTTATCAGCCCGGTTTTACATTTCCACTATTTGGCATTTTCACTATAGAAACTATATTTATCATTTGGAACATGTATATTTCTACATGCTATTCCAACCATATTGTACCTATTGGCTAATTTAATGCTAACAAATATCTTATTAGATGGTTAAGTATTATTTCATTTAAAAAAATCCTTCTTTTGCTCAATGAGAAACATGAGGCAAGAGGAGTTTGGTAACTTTCCCTGTATCATATAGTCTATATGAAGCAGAGTCAGGAATTTGGATTTAAATTAATGGCAATCATTAAAAAGTCAGGAAACAACAGGTGCTGGAGAGGATGTGGAGAAATAGGAACACTTTTACACTGTTGGTGGGACTGTAAACTAGTTCAACCATTGTGGAAGTCAGTGTGGCGATTCCTCAGGGATCTAGAACTAGAAATACCATTTGACCCAGCCATCCCATTACTGGGTATATACCCAAAGGACTATAAATCATGCTGCTATAAAGACACATGCACACGTGTGTTTATTGTGGCACTATTCACAATAGCAAAGACTTGGAACCAACCCAAATGTCCAACAATGATAGACTGGATTAAGAAAATGTGGCACATATACACCATGGAATACTATGCAGCCATAAAAAATGACGAGTTCATGTCCTTTGTAGGGACATGGATGAAATTGGAAATCATCATTCTCAGTAAACTATCGCAAGAACAAAAAACCAAACACCGCATATTCTCACTCATAGGTGGGAATTGAACAATGAGAACACATGGACACAGGAAGGGGAACATCACACTCTGGGGACTGTTGTGGGGTGGGGGGAGGGGGGAGGGATAGCATTAGGAGATATACCTAATGCTAAATGACGAGTTAATGGGTGCAGCACACCAGCATGGCACATATATAACTATGTAACTAACCTGCACATTATGCACATGTACCCTAAAACTTAAAGTATAATAATAATAAAAAAAACTAATGCAAATATCATAAAACTTATACCTACAAAAAAATGTATGATTATATGGCATTAATATGCTATCACAGTTTTCTAATTTTCATGTTTTTCTTCACTTCAGTTAAATCCAATGATTCTTATGGGTAAGATTTTGAACTGAAATTTGTTTTCTTTTCCCAAAGTACCTACATTTGAAAATTTCACTGCATTTCTTCCTCGATTCCAGGGAGTAGTTAGTGGCAAATTTTGAATTTTTTTCTTTTTAATGTAAAAGTAATGTAATTATCACCATCCTAGTACTGCACTATGAAGGAAATAGTTATATGTCCTATTTGCCACAGCCAAATTATCTTGTCTTCCTTCTTAGAATGACCCCAATCTCCTCCTGACTACAATCTCTCCACCAGTAAGGCTGTTTTACGTCTTTTAGAATTTCTTAAAATACTTGAACTACTAGGAAAATCTGTGCTTTGCAATTTCTCATATATTTTTGCCCTAAATATTTTCAGAATTTACACAACTCTTTTTAAAAAATAAAAAGTTCAAGCAATATCTTGAATTCTTTATGTAGAGTTACACATTCCTAAGTTTCTGAGAATGACTCAATCAATACAAACAGATCACTAAAACCTTTAAGAATATATACACAAGGGAAAGCTGTGATTAGAACATCAACAACAATTAAAAACAAAATTATCCAGCATTTTAAGAGTTAATGAATCAATTAGTTTTTCATCTATTGACTCATGTATTTATTTGCTAATTCATTCAGTGATTATATGTATATATGTATGTATGTATGTATTGCTGACCTATTGTGAGCCAAGGAATATTTCAAGCACTAGGAATATAACAGTGATCAACAACCATAGAATTTGTGCACTCATGTAGTAAAAATTTCTAAAGAGAAAAAGAAAATAAGCAAATACACGAAGTAGATATTTATAAATTATCATTGTATGAAATTTTCCATGGATTCCTCAGGTTTCTGCACAGGCTGGCCCTTCTAAGCAAAATCCATGTTTCAATAGCAAAGAGCCTTAGAAGCTAGAGAGAGTGTTTCCCTCTGGACAAATTTAGAGATATATTTTGTAGATGTCCAAGGTAGTAAAGGTAAAACCCTCTCTGTTCCTTTCCCAGAGACATATGCTTACGTTCCAGGATAATAAACCTATGGAGTTTTCTCTGTTCCTCCAGGAGGATTTTTTTTTTTTATATTCCAGAAAAATAAGTAATCTCGCTCTCTACAGAGGAGGGTAGGTGGATTTGCCAGCAGTCTCATAAACTCTAAGAGGCTCCTAATTTCAGGCTTCCTCTCCTGTGGTGCAACCCACTGCATGTGCAGGTAAACATCTGGTCCTCATCATGTTCCTCTGTGGGATGTGGGGTATGGGGAACTTACACAAGAAGCTGCTCTGGCTACTGTTTTTGTTCTTTTGCTGTGGTCTGTTTTTGACTCAGAAATCAAAATCTTTTGTTCTTTTATATATGTATGTATTAGTCTGTGTGTTTGGGAGTGTGTGTGTGTGTGTGTGTGTTTATGTATCTGTAACATTCTGGCAGGCTAATAGCTCAAAAGTAGGGTAAAATCTCAGACCCAGGCTGGGCACAGTAGCTCACACCTGTAATCCCAGCACCCTGGGATTACTCTGGAGCACTCAGGAGAATTACCTGAGGTCAAGAGTTCGAGGCCAGCCTGGCCAAGATGGAGTAACCCCGTCTCTACTAAAAATACAAAAATTAGCCAGGCATGGTGTCGCACACCTGTAATCCCAGCTACTTGGGAGGCTGAGGCAGGAGAATCGCTGCAACCCATGAGGTGGAGGTGAGCTGAGATAGCACCACAGCACCCCAGCCTGGGTGATAGAATGAGACTCCCCCTCAAAAAAAATAAAAATAAAAAACCTCAGACTCTTAACCCTTTCCAATTTAGTAGCCATATGAGCCATATGTACTAGACAAAAATTACATAGTGTATGATGAAAGAATATAGATTGGGAGAGACATGTTTAAGTAAAGGCTCTTTGCCATTGAAGCTGAACTCTGAAGATAAGAAGGTATAAATAATGCAAAGAAAAAATAATAATATGAGCAAGAACATAAAATATTCAAGAAACAATAACAAAAAAGACCAGGACAGAGGAAGCCTAAAGTGTCAGAGACTGCTAAAGATGTGGAGTTAAGCAGAATCCAGATCTTCTGTGTGTAGCTGGTAATTATGATTATATTGAGAAAATTAGTGGAAGTTTGAATTGAGACTCAATCATTTGGTTTAAGTTATAGTACTTTTGATATTGTATATAGAAATGGAAATGCTGATTAGACATTTGGATTTATGTCTGTAGGTGAAGGAGGAATTCTGGGATGGAGAAAAACTAGCCTATGTATAGTCTTTAAAGTCAAATGACTGTATATGCTCACCCTAAGGAGATGGAATGGACAGTGAGGTGCACTCAGGAGAGTCGGAGGAGAGCAAAGGGGAAAACATTTAGGCAGCGAATTACCATAAAAATAAGAAAAGCCATGTTACTGAATATAGCTGAGGGTGGTTTTTCATATGATGTGACAATGATTGCTATGACAGAGAAGTGTCCACTGTTTTTGGCAATGTGAAAGTCATGGGTGAAATTCCTAATATTCATTTTAGTGAATTGGTTAGGGTGGTAGTTGATAAGAGTGGGTAGGAGGGAAGAATACAAAGATACTGAGTGCATTCAATTCCTTGATTTTTTTTTTCTTAACTGGGAAAGGTATAAAGAAAGAAATCCAGAGATATATAGGTTCAAGTGAATTCCTTCAAATAGAACTTTCTTCAAGATACGGTTATTAAAAAGAAAGGACTATCACTTGTTTTGAGTCTTTGACTGTTAACAAATCTGTATTGGCTGTTACAGGAGATGCAGTTGTATATGAAAAGTGAAAAGAACACTGGAAAACGTGGTCTGGGTGTTAAAATATAGTCCTGGGTCTTCTGATTTTGGGGGTGTTACCCTGGAGTAATAATCACTCTAATCCTCAATGTCTTCATTTGTGATATCAGAAAATATTTTCTACCTGCACAAAGACATGTAAGATTAATGTGTGTCTAACTATGAGAACACACATTCAAAACCAGCAGAAGTATGTAAATATTTATTTCACCAGTTTATGCTAAAACAGAAAAACAAAACCACTTGATATATTAAATAATGTATGAAAAGAAACTATAATATGCAGCACAGTGTGCTCTATGTGCTAAGTTAAGATTTTAAAATAGTGTTTATTATTTTTATTTTAATATAGAAAATGTAAAACTTCTATAAGAATAAGGGAGGGCCAGGCACGGTGGCTCACACCTGTACTCTCAGCATTTTGGGAGGCCGAGGCGGGCGGATCACAAGATCAGGAGATCTAGACCATCCGGGCTAACATGGTGAAACCCCGTCTCTACTAAAAACACAAAAAATTAGCCAAGCGTGGTGGCGGGCGCCTGTAGTCCCAGCTACTCGGGAGGCTGAGGCAGGAGAATGGCGTGAACCCGGGAGGCGGAGCTTGAAGTGAGCCAAGATCACGCCACTGCACTCCAGCCTGGGTGACAGAGCAAGACTCTGTCTCAAAAAAAAAAAAAAAAGAATAAGGCGCAGTGCTTTCAGGTCATAGCTATACACATCCATGGCATTAGAAATCCTACAAATTAGTCAAAATCCTGGCTTAGCTACTGAAATCTGTTTTACCTAGAAAACCATGGATTGAGGATACATAAGTAAAATAGCTGAGAAAAATGTAATAAATTGTGTTTTTATATGTTTACCCTAGAATACAGGAGGTTTTAATTATCTTGATATTCACACTAACAATTTTAAAGGCCAAAATTATGCTTTTTCAGAAAAACAAGATATATTATCTCCTAACTTTTAAATGGTTTACTAGCCATTTAAAGTGACTTGGGAATTCTACTGTCAACATTCCTTTCCACTGCTCATTGAACATGAAAAAAGGAAAATCAAAAGAAACTTTTTGAAAACAAATTTAGGGAGTCTAATGTAAGTCATGAAATTGTGTATCTTTAAAAAAGACGTAAAAGCACTGATTAAATTATCTTTCTAATTGTGCATATGATGGAGCCCTTTATTTTATTCTTGTAGACAAAAATTATGTAGCCCAAGTTAAATCTCAAATTTTTACTGTCAGAACCTTTAGAAAATATTACATCTGTGTTCAGTGGTTTGAGAATAATACCTTGGTCTCCATGGCCTGCTAGTCATCAGATTGTTCCTTTTTATTTCTGTCATACCCCTTCTAAGATACTTACTAGATGTCATATATTTGACTAAACACAATTTTAGAAAAATGATATTTCTATTTGATGGAACTAAGAGACTGCTGTTAAATGTTTCTTCTCAAATAGCAACTTGAACTTCTTCCCTTAGTACTCAAAACTTAATATATGGACTACATCAGAATATTTATTAAGGATAGAACTTGTGATAATTAGAAAAACAACTTTTCCCACATTGAAGGACATTAAGTCTAAAATACACCCGGGACATTTAAATTTTTTATCAGCTTTTGAGTTTATTTCTGGTATAAATGAAAGTATGTTTTTCCTTAGATATTAAAGACATGACTGTAGTTGCAAGGAAATAGTTAAAGTATCTAGCCTGTGATCCATTCATTCTTTAACCAGAGTCCAACCCCAGGAGAAAGAAAATAGGGCAGGTGACCTGGCCTTATCTCCTTGTCAACTGGACCTCTGGGTAAATAGGCTGATGATATTTGCTAGGAGGAAGAGAACTTATCTATATAGCCCCTTAGCAGGATGCCCCTGGCTAAAGGATTACTTATAGTAAATAAAATTACAATCACCGGATTTACGAGGCATGGCTCCCTGGAGAATGTTATACAACTCTGCGGGTATGAAATAGAGATGTTATATAACTTAAATGCCTCCTGCTGTGTGAGGTAAAGCCACAAAACCTTCCTTGGAAACCTCATCTATTATTGGGTAGGGGAGTGTTGGCTAATATTGGAGGAAGGATTTGGTAGGGTTGCCAGATGTAGCAAAATACAGATGCCTAGTTAAATTTTTGTTGGAGACAAACAATGAAGTTTGTGTGTAAGTATACAAGCATGTCCTATCCAATATTTGGGACTTACTTTACTAAAAAACAAAAAACAAAAACCAAAAGCTGTGGTTGTGTCTCTGCAATTCAAATTTAACTGAGCGTCTGTACTTTTTGTGGCAAATCTAATACCTAATCTGGAGAATCAGGTGGAATGTCCCAGGCTTGTAACTTATCTTCTTCTTTGGGTTCAGATGTATTGAGATACATCTCAATAAATGTATACAATATGTATGCAATACAAATTGTATACATTGTTGTATAATATGATGATTCAATATATGTATGCTTTGCAAAATGATTACTAGAATCTAGGTAATTAACATATTCCTCAACTTACATAGTTACTCTTTTTATGTGCATGCTGAGAACATGTAGAAAATGGCCTTTACTGTTTTTGTGTTCATACCAACATTCTGATCATGATCACTTAAGTAATCTCCAAGAAGTTTCAGACATTCCCTGTAGCATTCCTCTTGTTTGGAGTCCTTACCAGAATCACCCTTAATACTCCATTAATGGCAAAACAGGCTTTTTCTAGCCTGCTTCTCCTCCAAAGTCTTCCAGCCTCTAGTCATTAAAGTTCTCAGGATGCTTCCATATTTTCCAATGTTTGTTATAGCATCACCCCATTTCTCTGGTACTGGTTTTCTGTATTAGTCTATTTTGTTCTATAACAATATAGCACAGACTGGGTAATTTATAATGAATAGAAACTAATTAGCTGACAGTTTGAAAGCTGAAGAGTCCAAGATTGACAGACCAGAATCTGGTGAGGGTCTTCTTGGTAAAAAGGCAAAAAAGAAGCACGAAAAAAAGATTAAAATGTGGCCAAACTCCCACTTGTATAACAAACCCATTACCACAATAATAAACTCACTTCTGCAGTAATGACATTCATTCATTCTCTCATCCTCTTCTTAGGCCCCACTAAACACTGTTGAATGGGTGATTAAGTTTCCAACACATGCTTTCTGGGGGACACATTTAAATTATAGCACACCCATTGCTATTTACTGTCTGAAAATAAGGAATATTGATTGAGAAAATTTAACTGATCATAGGACTAGAAGTCAATAGGAATTTTCTCACTAAGATCTTCATTAAAATCTTTGTAACATTAGATAACACATTCAACAAATAATTTAAGCATCAGTTTAATATGCCTTTTGTTAAGCCTTTGTTTTGTTTGTTCGTAACAATAGCATCAGTATAAGATGGATAATTTCCATACAACTGCTATTCATATACAAATGCAAACATTTTGAAGGAAGTGTTGAAAGGATGAAGGGCTGTAGAATACAATAATTTCATCTAGAGTAATATTTTAGAATATGTGAAATCCATTCAACTGGATTTTTAGGTAACTCTTGAACTATACTATCCATGAGTTTTTACCCTCTTAAATGCCTCATTTGCCAATGTTACACATTGCCAGTTGAGAAGAGACTCACAGATGTAACTGTACTACAATCACAGTGGGAGAAGAGTGAAGATCTTTTTGAGAAGGTTCAGAGGCTAATGATGACTTGTGCCTGAAGAGAACTCCTTCTCCGTCTGCCCTGAACTTAGCTGCTGGCAAAGCTATGTTTCCTCTTAAAAAACGACTTTCAAACAACTCCACTACACTGTCAATTGGGTTAGAAGAGCAGAAAAGCTTGACCCACAGAGTTAATAAGTAGTAACTTTGTAATTTGAACCTAGTTTATCTAATCCCTCAGTCTCCAATTTTTCTAATACAACATTAATAACCTTTTATTTTTAGCTATAGATATTAATATTACTCTGAACATTATTGCTCTGTTTATAGATACATGTATTTTAAATGATGATGCAAGAATCATATTCAATAAATACTGCTACTTCTCCATGAATTTCTACAAAATGAATTGGCTCTTGAAAAGAAGTTGTTTTGGCATTCCCTACTAAGCATCTGACTGCTCATTAAGAATGAAAATGTGTTTCACATATGCTGGTCTTTGACCTTTCTATTTGTAGAGCATTTTACATTTATGGTTTCATTACCTCCTCCAAAGCTCTGACAATATTTGGCAAGTTTTACAAAATAGTAACTTGATCAGTTTGCTTTAAGGCCACCCAGAAAGTCAAGAGCAGCAAAATAAGGGCAAGATCCCAGATATTTTGACTCTCTTTGTTTCCTATGTTATACAAAATTATTTATATGACAAAAATGTTTTTCCTCAGAAATCTATTTAATATCTATATTTGATAAATTATTATCAATAAATTACATAATGAAAACTTAAGAAAATAAAAGTTTATAGTGTTATAGGTTCTGTAACTAATTTTCTTCAGCTATTAGTACCAGTAAGGTGGAGCTTTCTGAGTCATAGTTATAATGTGTTTGAAACATGATTGATAAACAGCTGCCAGAAACGCTGGTTATAAGAGGAAATATTTTGCAACTTTTGTGCTAAATGTAATTTTTAGTACATGTCTTAAATGAATATTTATTTTTCTGAAAATTATGACAAAAAGTAAGAGGCTTATTAAATTAACTCCATAATTCATATGAGATAATTTGCATAACTGTTGCAATGAAGCTTTCCTCCCTCATGCTAAATCCATCCCAAAGATAATTGTAGAATAAAATTATAGAGCTTTACAAGCAAAGAAGCCCAATGAGATAATTGTTGTCCTTGCTATGTATGTAATGAAGCTGAGGTCAAAAAGATTAAGTGACTTGTTCAAGGTCACACAACTAATGGGTGAGTAGAATTTAGAGATCCTGACACCCACTCCATAATCTTGTGTTTACGATCTATTTAATAGCTTTCTGTGCAAGAGCAGTAAATAGCTTAATCACTTGATCACAAGGGTACATTGATTCAACAAGTCAAATATGACACAGCTTAAAAGGTGAATTTTTATGAAAGATGTTTACCTTATCCTTGTTTACACAGCAAGGAACGTTGAGGAGTTAATTTCAAAACTGTAAGCTGCATGAATCAACTTTGATGGAAAACAAATATAGTAAATCAAAACAACCTCTAAATATTCTAAGTAGATAAACAATAATATAACTTAGAAACATGCCATATTTTGTTTGCAGTTCAATGGAAAGAAAGCTAATTCAAAATCTTAATATCAAGTCGGCTTACAAAAAGATCAAGAGAGTAGAAATAAACCCAAGTAATTAAAAAAACCACAGTGATCATTATAAATAGAATTAAACTTTCTTTTTGCTCAACTCTTTTCTTAGAAAGTAGACAAGGAATAAAGTGAAAGATATCTGATCTATGGCAAAAGAGTTTCAGTACACACATTCCATACCTGGATTTTTTTATATAAATAATAATATTAAAATGGACACTATACATTCAGAAACGAAACTTAGATACAATTTCACTAATATACATAAGACAATGTTTTCAATAGCAGATGCTTAAGGTATTAGAATCTTAAAGAAGAATATTTAATCATTGTGAATTTCTTGTCTGTGCTTTGAAAACAGACTGTGGAGTCATAATGTGAACAATGAGTGTATTGATTTTTTCACATTTAGAATCAATCCATACATATTCCTTGGTAGATTTATATATTAGGTTTATAATATTTTATGTAAAGTTTTTAAAATTTAAATTTGTATAAGTTGTATATTAATATATGAGATAGAAAGAAGAAAACCTTAAGGAAACATAAAATATAAAAATATTCTCATTTTACAAAGAGAAGAGTCAAGAAGTGTTATCTATAGTTGATAGAAAAGGAAACAAATGTTGAGCTTATTTTTCAAATAAGAAATTTGATCTATGGACTAAGTAGAATGACAAAAATTATATAAAGGAAAAAGATAATGCAAATGTGTAATAAATATATATTCTCTTCTGCCACAGCATACAGACAACAGGTAATGTTTAACCTTTATAAATCAAGAAAGAAAAGCAGAGTATGTTATTCATAGTTATGAAGTTAGCCATCAAGAAAGAAAACCTACTTAAAAATACCTGCGAGCAAGAATGAATTAGTTCTTAACAATGGGCAAGAGATTTTTCTTTTATATTCTTTTATTTTGCAAATCATGTGTATAGGTTAATAAGTTTAGTTATGGATTCTCTATTAAAATAATATTAAATATGATCATTAACTCTGGCTTCATGTTGTCACTAAGTTTCTAATCTTTTATAAAACTATTTAAAAGTATAGAATATATAGCCAATTTAAAGAATATTTAACAAATACATTGTTGCAAAAATAGCATGCGCATAGCTTAATTGGTAGATTGATAGTCTTCAGTAATATCTCAAATTAGGTCAAAATAGTTAACACCCTACCACGATTAGGAGGAGAAAATAGAAATAGTGCAAACTTGGTAGGTTGTTGACTATATTAAATTAAATCTCACTCTGACTTCTGTTAGAAAAGTCCTTCATAATTGAAAGATAATTTAAAACAAATTTTGAAATTAGTTGAAGATTATAACTCTATCTAAAGTTGACTAAAATGTTAGACATTTTGAAAAATGTCTAATACTCATTATATCATACATTTTTATTATTCACTGAATAATATTTAGTAACAGGAATAATGTTTTTCAAACCAGTGAGAATAAATGAGAACCATATATTCTAAGCAATTAAAATTAACCACATATTATTTTAGTGCTATTAATGGTATAATAATATACGGGTATACTATACTCAGCAGTTTTACTCTGTATAAGCATTTTAGTGTATTTTTACATGGTAAGAATATTTAGTTTTGATTAACAATTTTAATAATATAAACTGGTAGAATACATTTTAAGCAAGATTTTAAAATTTAAAAGGATATTGTATTATAAAAATGGCTTAGATTATTTAATAATTCTAATAGTACATTTGAATTATTCTGTATAAAATGACAATATAATATTCATATAAATATTTATGTGCCATGTAAAATTTATTGTGTATATATCTGTCAAAAATATTTAAGCTGTATTTAGAGTCACTAAATCTTTATTCTAGTCTTTACTCAGATCTGCCGGGAAGTGTTTGTGCAACAGTAGGTGAGTCTAACTACTGAGTTAGAGTCAAAATAAGGTTTGTAAAATTCTAAACAATGAATTATTTTTTACATTTTAAAGTTTTTAAACGATCTCTTAGAAATGTCAAGTTATCCTTCAACTGAAAAATACTGTCTAAAATTACCCTACAGACAAACCAGCCATATAAGCAACTAAATTACAAAAGTAAAACAAATGATTGAATTGCATTAGCTCTATTTACCAAATGATGACGGTAGGTTACAGGGGCTTCTGTCAAATTATAAAACTAACAATGATCGTAAATATAATATAAATGATTTGAATAAGAACAGTGTAAAGCAATAGGAGTGGAGTGGGCTGAGTTTGGCTACAGAGAGCATACGTCAACATAAATGGACAGCCACTACACAGATTCAATTAACCGTGGTCATGTGAGAATGTGGGCCTGTGTGGCAGGTAGGCAATTTCTCTACAGAATACATATTTCTAATTTTATGTAAAATACACGATTTTTAAATGTAGGCAACTAACTTATATTATGTGAGCCAAACAAAACAAATTTCCTGGCCATTATCTGCTCCATAGAGTATATTTGCCCTGCGTTTTTCTTTTTAATAGTTAACTACAAGAAAGATTTTTTTAATCCAATATTACCTAATGGGATAATTCATGAAAATATTTTAAAATTTAATTAGTTAATTTTAGTGTTTAAATTAATTTTGTGGAGTATTCCATTTTAATATTAGATTAAAGAAAGGTATTTTTTAACTCATGAAATTCCTTCTATTCAGATAATAGTGGGTTAAGCCATTACCAGGCATTTGCATTTATAATTACATTTTGTCCCAAAGATTTTCCCACACATCAGCCTCCAGAATGATTAGAAACCACATCATCTTTGGATGCTAAGTGGACAAAAATTAATTATAAAGTTGAGGAGGTAAATATGTTTTTAAAATAAGTCTGTGGAGTAAATGAAATGTGGCAGTGTAGCATAACAATGTATATTTCCTATAATTCAATTTGAATGATATTTGAAGTAGAAAAAATTAATGGATGCTACAATGTATAATATTACAAAGCAGGAAATGTAATATTATAATATTATTCAACTTTCCAAAATAAGTGACTATAAGTACACGTGCACACACACATTGCTCATGGGGGATCTAACAAAATTAGAAACCAAGACCTTAATGACTTCCAATAACATTTATTCATTATACACTCAGTTTAACATCTGCATTTTCCAAGTATATGTGTGTTTTTGTGTCTTTGTGTGTGTGTGAATGCGCTATACATATAGGGCCTATAATATTGGCTAGCACATAGTTCATTTTTGGGATAAATGAATGACATTTATGATAATGTTACATATATTTGAGAGATGTATTTTTGTCTCCTCTGTAAGCATAAGTGTAGAAAAACAGTATTAGAGAAATTGTTGGGAATTTCAGTAGGAAAAAAAATAAAATAAAAAACCTTCCCCAGACCTGAGTACTGTTGAAGGACAACAGAAAAGACAGTCTTAGAGCCCCTCTGCACAGAAGGATCTGAAGGTGAAGGGAGTGCACTATTTATATGAAAAGAGAGGGGTGAACCAAACAGGTCATGTGAATTATCTACACCAGAGAAATAAAACAGATTTTCTATCAGTGAGCTTACCATGTCTTCTATGTTTGTTTTGAACTAAAAGATTGAAAGAGTGCTGTGTTATTCAGGTTCAAACCCTTCACTGACCTCTCAACTTTTACAAGATTCCTTAACAATTTTAGACTTTTTAGTTATTGGTTCAAAGATAAAATGTTATGGGTCTACACAGGGTTTGCCCCCTCAGTTGCAAATGAATTGAAGTAAAAGTAAATTCAATTTAATTTTCCTCTGGCACAGTGAGTGAGTGATCATTGAGACTGGCCATTTGCAGTTCAAAGAAACTGAACTGTGCTGTGCTTTTTGGATAAAACTTTTTCTAGACATATATATCCTACATGATATGATTGTACCAGGCTTAACTAATATTTTGGCCATGCCAATTAGGAAAAGGATTATAACATTAATATGACTTTGATATTCATGAATGAAAATTTTTATTTTCAGTGCAATTTTTCAAATATAATTAAACAAGTTAACTCCTATAAAGCTGATGGTGTCTATGTTTTCACAGATGTTCATGTTTCATTAAAATTACTAATCTTGTCTACACTTATAATGTCAAAAGTGCCATAAATGATCAGTTTTATCCTAAGTGAACTCTGAAAAAGTAAATAAATGCATTTTTTGATTAATAAAAAAGTTCAATATCTAATTCATAAACAAAAATACATATGTCTCTATAAGGATTCCATAGTGTAAAATGTATCTCTCTTGATTCATCTTTTTTTTGCTTTTGTCCCATATGGTGGATAATTGCCATATTGCTTTTCACAAAACAGGCATCAGAGGCATCATAAAATTAATTTGAATTCAGGAAGTCCAAAAATTATATTCAGTTATTAATCACCCAATTCATATATACTAATACCTGGCAGAGATGTTGAATACCACTTTAGATCAACTCAACGTGTATATATTATGGACCTATTATATATCTATTATAAACTATAATATAATTTATATGAACATATATGATATATAATTATATAAAACTATATATTATATATAAAATTCTCATTGCTAGGGAATAAAGTCAAAATATAATAGATTCCTTCTCTCCAGGGGCTTTAGTATAGTGAAGAATCAGAATTTCTCACAACATAATCTTAAAACACCTCCATCAGTATTACCAAACGGTTCATTAAAAATGAAGATTTTTTTGGCCCAACCGTAGAACTAGTGAATGAGAGTACTGGGGACTGGAGTCACAAATCTACTAATTTAAAAAGCAACCAACTAAAAAACCACTGGTCTAGTCTAATTTCTTAATAATTATTTTTTATTTTTAACTTTGTTTTATTTTTATTGGTACATAGGAGGTGTATATATTTATGGGGGATATGAGATATTTTGATGCAGGACATATAATGCATAATTATCAAGTCAGGGTAAATGGAGTATCTAACCCCTTAAGCATGCATCATATCTTTGTGTTAACAAACATTCCAATTATATACTTTTAGTTATTATTAAATATGCAATAAATTGTTGTTGACTGTAGTGACCTTGTTATGCTATCAAATACTGTCTTATTTTTCTTACTATATTTTTGCACCCATTAACTATTCTCTGCACCACCCACCCACTCTGGTAACCATCATTCTACTCTCTATCTTCATGAGTTCAGTGTTTTAATTTTTAGCTTAACACAATATCTTCCAGTTCCGTCTGTGTCACTGAAAATGACAGTATCTCATTCTTTTATTTAATGGCTGAACAGTATTCCATTGTGTATATGTACCATATTTTCTTTATGCATTTCTTGATGGACACTTAGATTGCTTCCAAATATTGGCTATTGTGAATAGTGCTGAAATAAGACACAGGAGTGCAGATATCTCTTAATATACTGATTTGCCTTATTTTGTATATATATCTAACAATGGCATTACTGGATTGTATGGTAGCTCTATTTCTAGATTTTTGTGAAACCTCCATATCATTCTGTATAGTAGTTGTACTATTTTACACTTCCACCAACAGTGTATGAGGGATCTCTTTTCTCCACATCCTCACTGACATTCATTATTACCTGTTTTTTTAATGAAAGCCATTTTAACTGGTGTGAAATATCACTGTACTTTTGATTTGCATTTCTCTGATGATCAATGATGTTGACCACCTTTTTATATACACATTTCTCATTTTTATTCTTATTTTGAGAAATGTGTATTCAATTCTTTTGCCTATTTAAAAAATTGATTATTAGAATCTGTCCTACTGAGTTGTTGAGCTCTTTATATATTTGGTTATTGATCTCTAGTCAGATGGATAGCTTTCAAATATTTTCTTTCATTCTGTTGGTTGTCTCTTCACTTTGATGATTATTTCCTTTGCTGTGTAGAAGTTTTAACTTGATATGATCACATTTGTCCATTTTTGCTTTGGTTGATGTGCTTGTGGGATATTCCTCAAGAAATCTTTGTTCAGAGCAATGTCTTCAAGTTTCCTAATGTTTTCTTTCAGTAGTCTTATAGTTTGAAGTATTAGATTTAATTCTTTAATAAATTTTGATTTGATTTTTTTATGGCAAGAGATACAGGTCTAGATTTCTTCTTCTGCATATGACTATCCAGTGTTCTCAGCACCATTTATTGAAGAGACTGTCCTCTCCCCAATGTATGTTCTTGGCACTTTTGTCAAAAATGAGTTCAATGTAGATGTATGGATTTATTTCTGGGTTCTCTATTCCATTTCACTTATCTACGTGTAAATCTTTATGCCAGTACCATGATGTTTTGGTTACTATAGCCAAATTATACTACTATAATTTGAAAACAGGTAATGTGATTCCTTCAGTTTCATTCTTTTTGCTCAGAATATCTTTGGCTATCCTGGGTCTTTTGTGGTTCTGTATACATTTTATGATAATTTTTTCAATTTCTGTGAAGAAAGTCATTGTTATTTTGATAGTATTACGTTGAATGTGTAGATTGCTTTGGGTAGCATGGACATTTTAACATTTATTTTTCCAATTCATGAACATGTAGAATCTTTCCATTTTTTGTCTGTGTTCTGTTCAGTTTCTTGCATCAATGTTTCATGGTTTTCATTGTAGAAATCTTTCACTTCTTAGGTTAAGTTAATTCCTAGGTATTTAATTTTTTTGTATGTGTTGTAGATGAGATCACTTTCTTGATTTCTTTTTCAGATTGTTCACTATTGGAATATAGAAATGCTAATAATTTTTGTATGTTAATTTGGTATCCTGCCACTTTACCAACTTTGTTTATCAGTTTTAATAGTTTTGGTGGAGTCTTCAGAATTTTAAATGTAAAATCATATCATCTGCAAATAAGGATAGCTTGACTTCTGTCTTTCTAATTTGGATGTTCTGTATCGATTTGTCTTGTCTGATTGCTCTAGTTAGGACTTTCAGTACTATGTTTAATAACAGTAGTGAAAGTGGGCATCCTTGTCATGTTCCTGATCTTAGAGGAAAGGCTTTTAGTTCTGTATAATACTAGCTGTGGATCTATTGTATATAGCTTTAATTGTGTTGAGGTATTTTCCTTCTATACCCATTTTTAAGGTTTTTATTATGGAGCAATGTTGAATTTTATCAAATAAATTTTTCAGCTTCAATTGAAATGATCATATGGTTTTTATTCTTTGTTCTGTTGATATGATGTATCACTTTGGTTTGCATATGTTGAACAATCCTTGCATCCCTGGGATAAATCCCAGTTGGCCATTATAAATGATCTTTATAATATGGTGTTGAATTCATATTTCAGTACTCTGAATTTTTTTTGCATCGATGTTCATCATTGATACTGGCCTGTAGGTTTTTTTTTTTTTTTTTTTTTTTGGATGTGTGTTTTTTTTCTTTTAATCAGGGTAATACTAGCCTCATAGAAGTAATCTCTAATTTTTGGAATAGTTTGAGTAGGGTTGATGTTAGTTCTTTAATTGTGTGGTGGAATTTAGCAGTGAATGCATTGGGTCCTGGGCTTTTCTTTCCTATGAGATTTTTATTAAAGCTTTAATTTCATTGCCTGTCATTGGTCTATTCAGTTTTGGATTTCTTCATGGTTCAGTCCTGATAGGATTTATGTATCTAGGTATTTATTCATTTCTTGTTCCAGGTTTTCCAATTTATTGTCATATAGTTGCTCATAGTAGTCTCTAATAATCCTTTGGTTTTCTGCAATGTCAATTGTAATATCTCTATTTTTATTTCTGATTTTGTTTGTGTCTTTCTTTTTTTCTTAATAAGGCTGACTAAAGGGCTCTCAATTTTGTTTATCTTTCCAAAAATCTTTTTATTATGTTGTTGTTTTGTATTATTTTTTCATTGCAATTTTATTTACATCTGCTCTGATTATTATTTATTTTCTTCTACTAATTTTGGGTTTGGTTGCTCTTGCTTTTCTAGTTCTGTAAGATGCACTGCCAGGTTGTTAATTGGAAGCTTATCTACTTTTTTCATGTAGGCTCTTATTGCTGTAAACTTTCCTGTTAGTACTGTTATCTTTGTATCCCATAGGTTTTGATATGTTGTGTTTCCATGATCTTTTCTTTTTCAAGAAATTTTTAAATTTTTAAAATTTCTTCATGGATCCACTGGTCATTCAGGAGCATAGTATTTAATTTCCATGTGTTTGTATAATTTTCAACATTCCTCTTGTTATTGATTTTTGGTTCTATTCCATTATGGTAAGAGAAGACGCTTGATATGATTTTAATTTTTTTGAATTTTTTAAAGACTTATTTTGGGGCTTTATGTATGGTCTATCTTTCAGAGTGATCCATGTGCTGAGGAGAGGAATGTTTATTCTGCAGCAGTTGGAGCAAATGTTCCGTAGATATCTCTTAGGTCTATTTGGTCTATTGTGTAGATTAAGTGTGATGTTCATTTTTTGATTTTCTCTCTGGAAGATCAGTCTAAAGTTGTAAGTAGGTTGTTGAAGTCCCAATGTATTGTTGTATTCAGGTCTATCTGTCTTTTTAGCTCCAATATATCTGGGTGATCCAGAGTGGGATACATATATATTTACAATTATTATATCTTCTTGCTGAATTGGCCCCTTTATCATCACATAATGACTTTCTTTGCCTCTTTCTACTGTTTTTGTCTTGAAATTTATTTTGACTGATATAAGTATAGCTACTCTGCTGTTTTTCAGTTTCCATTGAGATGGAATATTTTTTTCCACCCCTTTATTTTCGCTATGTGTCTTTTTAGGTGAAGTCTGTTTCTTGTAGGCAACAAATCATGGAGTCTTGTTTTTTAATCTATTTCATCCAATTAAAAACATCTTTTTTTAACTATGTCTTTTGTTTGGAGAGTTTAGTCCATTTACATTCCGTGTCATTACTGATAAGTAAGGACTTACTCCTGCTATTTTGTTACTTGTTTTCTGTTTCTTTTATTGTCTTCTCTTCTTTCCTTCATTCCTTCCTCTCTTTCTTTTTGTGAAGGTAGTTTTCTCTGGTGGTATGTTTGAATTTTCTGCTTCTTAGTTTTTGTGTTTCTGTTGCAGGTTTTTTGATTTGAGGTCACCAAGAGGCTTGCAAATACATACTATCTTATAATTTATTATTTCAAATTGATGAAAATACTGATTATAAAAACAAACAACCAAAGAGAAAACTAACAAAAACTCTACACATTAACTTAATCTCCTCCCCCTTTTAATTATTTTGTGGTTTCTATTTTTATTATACTGTCTATATCTTGAAAAGTTGTTGGTTAGTTTGATAGGTTCATCTTGTAGTCTTTCCATTCAATATATGATTAGTTTACATACCACAATTATAGTGTTATAATGTTCTGTGTTTCTCTGTGTAATTACTCTCACTAGTAAGTTTTGTACCTTGAGATGATTTTTCTATTACTTATTATTGTCCTTTTATTTCAGATTAAATAACTCTCTTTAGCATTTCTTGTAGGAAAGCTCTGGTGTTGATGAAATCGCTTGGCTTCTGTTTATCTGGGAAAGTCTTAATTTCTCTTTCATGTTTGAGAAAAACTTTCATTGGATATACTATTCTAAGATAAGTTTATTTCTTCAGCACTTTAAATATGCCATGCCACTCACTCTCTCCTGGCCTGTGGGGATTCCACTAAAAAGTTTCCTGCTAGACGTATTGGAGTTCTATTTGTTATTTCTTTTCTATTGCTTTTTAAAGGATACTTTATTTTTGACCTTCAGGAGTTTGACTATTAAATGCCTCGAGGTAGTCTTCTTTGCATTAAATCTACTTGGTTTTCTCTTTCTTGTACTTGAATACTCACATCTTTCCCTAGATTTGGAAAGTTCTCTGTTGTTATCCCTTTGAATATACTTTCTTCCCCAATCTCTCTCTCTAGCTTCTCCATAAGGCCAAGGATTCTTAGATTTGCCCTTTTGAGACTATTTTCTAGACCTTATAATTGTGCTTTATTCTTTTTAATTTTGTCTCTTCTGACTTTGTGTTTTCTTTTTTTTCTCACCTTTGAATTTTTTTAAATTATACTTTAAGTTCTAGGGTACATGTGCAGAACATGGAGGTTTGTTACATAGGTATACATTTGCCATGTTGATTTGCTGCACCCATCAACTCATCATTTACATTAATATTTCTCCTAATGCTATCCTTCCCCCAGCTTCCCACCCCCAAACAGGCCCTGGTGTGTGATGTTCCTCTCCCTGTGTCCATGTGTTCTCATTGTTCCACTCCCACTTATGAGTGAGAACATGGGGTGTTAGGTTTTCTGTCCTTGTGATAATTTGCTGAGAATGGTGGTTTCCAGCTTCATCCATGTCCCTGCAAAGGACATGAACTTATTCTTTTTTATGGCTGCATAGTATTCCATGGTTTGTATGTGCGACATTTGCTTTATCCATTCTATTATTGATGGACATTTGGGTTTGTTCCAAGTCTTTACTATTGTGAATAGTGCCACAATAAACATATGTGTACATGTGTCTTTATAGTAGCATAATTTATTACCCTTTGGGTATATACCCAGTAATGGGATTGCTGGATCAAATGGTATTTTTAGTTCTAGATCGTTGAGGAATTGCCACACTGTCTTCCACAATGGTTGAACTGATTTACACTCCCACCAACAGTGTAAAAGTGTTCCTATTTCTCCACATACTCTCCAGCATCTGTTGTTTCCTGACTTTTTAATGATCGCCATTCTAACTGGCATGAGATGGTATCTCATTGTGGTTTTGATTTGCATTTCTCTAATGACCAGTGATGATGAGCTTTTTTTCATATGTTTGTTTGCCACATAAATGTCATCTTTTGAGAAGTGTCTGTTCATATCCTTTGCCCACTTTTTGATGAGGTTGTTTTTTTTTTCCTGCGAATTTGTTTAAGTTCTTTGTAGATTCTGGATATTAGCCCTTTGTCAGATGGATAGATTGCAAAAATTTTCTCCCATTCTGTAAGGGAATTGACAGTTGTGATCTAAATCTTTGATCATTGCAGCCATATCTGCATTAGTGGGCACTTAAATTTCATTATTGCCGTGACTCTTGCAGACTCACAGAGCTTTGATGGTCTCAGGTAAGATCCAGGAGAATTCCCTGGATTACCAGGGAAAGACTCATATTCTTTTTCCTTATTTTTCCTCAAACAATCAGAGTTTCTCTCTGCACCAATCTGTCTGGAGTTGGGGGATGGGTGACACAAGTACCCCTGTGGCCACCACTGTTAGGACAGCACTTGGTTAGGCCCAAAGCCAGCATAGCATTAGATCTCACCCAAGGTCTGAATAACCATTGCCTGGCTACTGCTAATGTTCACTCAGACCCAAGGGCTCTTCAGTCAGCAGGTGGCAAACCAGCCAGTATTTTGTCCTTTCCTTCAAGGCAGCAAACTCCCCCAACCCCACCCCAGGCCTAATTCCTTCATTTTAAGAGTTTTAAGGTAAATAAATTTATCTGTAAATAGTTTATCTTGGCTGACCTATACAATTACTTCACGACTAAATTATTAAGCTGTTAAATTGAGCACATGACTATTTTCTTTCTGCTCCAAACACTCACTCCAACCCCCACACATATAGAAGCAAATGCAGTCTTCAGTATAATTCCAGGGCATTGTACCACTGCACTAGCAGCATGAATTTTATCTTACTTGAATGCCTAATTCAGGGTCTTTTTCCTATGTTTCACACAGAATTTTTTTTAATGACTTTCTGGTAGAGTATGGTAGATAACCACATTGAAATAGCTGATTTAGTGGGACATTCCATAATTCTATAAGTTTTTATTTATTTTAAGGGTTTTAAAATTGAGTACTATACATGAACTTAGAGAAACTCCAGTTCATAGTTCTTATCATTGTGAAGCTTGCTTTTTTGCATGAGATTACTTATATTTAAAATTTAACGTGAGCACTTTTACAATGAAGAATATTTCAGTGTCTTTACTTCTAGATAGTTTATTCCCAGAAAAATTACAAAGTAATAAAAAAGAGAAATTAAATAAGTAAATGAATAGAATTCTGTTTCTACCTACTATTTTAAAAACTACAGGAGAATTTTTCTCTGATACTAATTATGAGGAAAATGGAATCATCAATAAAGTTAATTTTTCTTGTCAAAAAGCTGAAATTGCAAGGCAACCAATGAAACTGACTGACAAAATCCTATTGGGAAAGATGATATGTATAAACTGATAAAAGAAAAACTTAAGCCTATTTACATTTTAAATAGTTTATTTGAGCTATCAAAGATTCATGAATGGGGCATCACCAGACTGCAAGTGAATTAGCATTCCACATGGAAGAGTAAGAGAAGAAATTGGTACCACTTGGTTGTAAAAGCAAGACAAAGGAAACATTTTTGGTTACAGTAGAAAGTCTCTAATGATGGTTAGTTGGTGGTTTCTGATTGGTACAGTTTTTAGTTTCAATTTACTGTTTTACATTGGACTGTAGTTTGTTCATGTAGGAATTGCTCACATAGAAAGTCCCAGAGCTACCAAAAATTTAAAAAATAATTAAAGGAAATGAACAGATTCTCCAAGAAATATGGGATTATGTAAAATGTCCAAACCTAAGAATCATAGGTGTTCTTGAATGAGAAGAAAAAGCAAAAGGTTTAGAAAACCTATTTGAAGGAATAACTGAGGAAGACATTCCTGGTCATGCTAGAAATTTAGAAATCCAAATACAGGAAGTGCAAATAACTCCTAGGAGATTAATTGCAGAAAAAGGACATAAAAAAGAATATAGTCATCATTCTCTTAGAATTATTTTCTTCATGTCAACTTTATATGATGACATTACATTAAGTTAACATAAAGAAAAAAATTCTAAGAGCAGTGAAATAAAAGCATTGGATAACTTATAAAGGAAAATCAATTAGACTAACAGATGCCTTCTCACCAGAAATTGTACAAGCCATAGGGATTAGGTCCTATATTTAGTCTCCTCAATCAGAATAACCATCAGCCCAAAATTTTGTATCTAGAAATATTTCTTAAATGAAGGAGAAATAAAATCTTTCTCAGACAAGCAAATGCTGAGGAAATTTGTCACCACTAGACCAGCCCTACAAGAAGTGCTAAAAGGAGTTCTAAATATGGAAACAAATAGCTGATACATACCAGTATAGACTTGAAAGCATAAAACTCACAGGACTTATAAAAGGAACACAATGAAGAAAACAAAGCAACTAGGTAGTAATCAAAACAACTAAGTAACAATCAAAGCAAACAAACAAAAAAAGGCAACAATCAAAACAACTAGGTAACAATCAAGGTGATGACTGAGATAGTATCTCACATATCAATATTACTAACAAAAGTAAATGGTCTAAATGTCCCACTTAAATTAGTTCATGTTAAAGTCAGATAAAACAGACTTTAAAACAAAAACAGTACAAAAAGACAAAGAAGGTCATTATTATAAGGATAAAGATATCAAGTCAACAAGAAGATAGAATCTTAAATACATATGTGCCTAACTCTTGAGCTCCCAGATTTGTAAAACAAATACTAGTAGTCTTAAGAGATAGACAGGAACACAACAATATTGGGGAACTTTAATACTTCACTGACAACACTAAAAAGATTGAGACAGAAAGTCAACAAAGAAACGCTGGACTTAGCCTGGACTCTTGAGCAAGTCTAACAGACATTTACAGAATATTCTACTCTAAAATTGTAGAATATGCTTTCTTCCCATCAGCACATGGAACATTTTCCAAGATAGTCCATAAGGTAGGCCATAAAGCAAGTCTCAATAAATTGTAAAAAATCAAAATTATATCAAATATCTTCTCAGACCACAGTGGAATAAATTTAGAAATCAGTTTCAAGGGGAACTCTCATAAGCATAAAAATTCATGGAAACTAAACAATCTGCTCCTAAATGATCTTCTGTCAGCAATAATATCAAGATGGAAATTTAAAAATTTTTCAAAATGAATAATAACAGAGACAAAAATTATCCATCTTGAATTAATTTTTGTATAAGGTATAAGGAAGGGATCCAGTTTCAGCTTTCTACATATGGCTAGCCAGTTTTCCCAGCACCATTTATTAAATAGGGAATCCTTTCCCCATTTCTTGTTTTTGTCAGGTTAGTCAAAGATCATATAGTTGTAGATATGTGGCATTATTTCTGAGGGCCCTGTTCTGTTCCATTGGTCTATACTCTGTTTTGGTACCAGTACCATGCTGTTTTGGTTACTGTAGCCTTGTAGTATAGTTTGTAGTCAGGCAGCAAGATGACTCCAGCTTTGTTCTTTTGGCTTAGGATTGACTTGGCAGTGCAGGTTCTTTTTTGGTTCCATATGAACTTTAAAGTAGTTTTTTCCAATTCTGTGAAGAAAGTCATTGGTAGCTTGATGGCATTGAATCTATAAATTACCTTGGGCAGTATGGCCATTTTCACGATATTGATTCTTCCTGCCCATGAGCATGGAATGTTCTTCCATTTGTTTGTATCCTCTTTTATTTCATTGAGCAGTGGTTTGTAGTTCTCCTTCAAGAGGTGCTTCACATCCCTTGTAAGTTGGATTCCTAGGGTTTTTTTTTCTCTTTGAAGCAATTGTGAATGGGAGTTCACTCATGATTTGGCTCTCTGTTTGTCTGTTATTGGTGTATAAGAATGCTTGTGATTTTTGCACATTGATTTTGTATCCTGAGACTTTGCTGAAGTTGCTTATCAGCTTGAGGAAATTTTGGGCTGAGATGATGGGGTTTTCTGGATATACAATCATGTCATCTGCAAACGGGACAATTTGACTTCCTCTTTTCCTAACTGAATACCCTTTATTTCCTTCTCCTGCCTGATTGCCCTGTCCAGAACTTCCAATACTATGTTGAATAGGAGTGGTGAAAGAGGGCATCCCTGTCTTGTGCCAGTTTTCAAAGGGAATGCTTCCAGTTTTTGCCCATTCAGTATGTTATTGGCTGTGGGTTTGTCATAGATAGCCCTTACATATTTTGAGATACGTCCGATCAATACCTAAATTATTGAGAGTTTTTAGCATGAAGGTTGTTGAATTTTGTCAAAGGGCTTTTCTGCATCTATTGAGATAATCATGTGGTTTTTGTCTTTGGTTCTGTTTATATGCTGGATTACATTTATTGATTTGCATATGTTGAACCAGCCTTGCATCCCAGAGATGAAGCCCACTTGATCATAGTGGATAAGCTTTTTGATGTGCAGCTGGATTCGGTTTGCCAGTATTTTATTGAGGATTTTTGCATCGATGTTCATCAGGGATATTGGTCTAAAATTCTCTTTTGTATGTGTGTGTGTGTCTCTGCCAGGCTTTGGTATCAGGATGATGCTGGCCTCATAAAATGAGTTAGGGAGGATTCCCTCTTTTTCTATTGATTGGAATAGTTTCAGAAGGAATGGTACTAGCTCCTCCTTATACCTCTGGTAGAATTTGGCTGTGAATCCATCTGGTCCTGGACTTTTTTTGGTTGGTAAGCTATTAATTATTTCCTCAATTTCAGAGCCTGTTATTGGTCTATTCAGAGATTCAACTTCTTCCTGGTTTAGTCTTGGGAGAGTATATGTGTCGAGAAATTTATCCATTTCTTCTAGATTTTCTAGTTTATTTGCATGGAGGTGTTTATAGTATTCCCTGATGGTAGTTTGTATTTCTGTGGGATCGGCGATGATATCCCCTTTATCATTTTTTATTGCGTCTGTTTGATTCTTCTCTCTTTTCTTCGTTAGCTGTTTTTTTTAAAAGATCAACAAAATTGATAGACTTCTAGCAAGACTAATAAAGGTAACATGGACATTTAAGCCGATGAATAGAAAGAAAGAATACACAAGGGAATGCAGTGTGTAAAGAGAATTGTCCTGGAAGCCAAGGGGATATTATTAAGAAATAGAGAAAGTATATGCAGATCAAATGCTGCTGAGAGCAAATGGAACAGGATGAAAACAAGCTATGGAATAATGTCATTTATTTTATGCAGAGAATATTCTTTTAGTCTTGTGAGTAGAAATCAGGTTATAAAGGGTTGAGGATGGAGGGAGGAGGCAGAGATTAGATTTTCTTCTTTTTTTATTTGTACAGATTCTCTTTCTCCTTATATTTTTCTCAGTTTCCTTAACAAATAGACCAACAGCTTTTGATGGGTATACTTTATTTTACCTTTTTTTTTTTTTTTTTTTTTTTTTTTTTTTTTTTTACCTCTTTTCTTCTTTGTTAGTCTTGCTAGCGGTCTATCAATTTTGTTGATCTTTTCAAAAAACCAGCTCCTGGATTCATTGATTTTTTTGAAGGGTTTTTGTGTCTGTATTTCCTTCAGTTCTGCTCTGATCTTAGTTATATCTTTCCTTCTGCTAGCTTTTGAATGTGTTTGCTCTTGCTTCTCTAGTTCTTTTAATTGTGATGTTACGGTATCAATTTTAGATCTTTCCTGCTTTCTCTTGCGGGCATTTAGTGCTATATATTTCCCTCTACACACTGCTTTGAATGTGTCCCAGAGATTGTGGTATGTTGTGTCTTCATTCTCATTGGTTTCAAAGAACATCTTTATTTCTGCCTTCATTTCGTTATGCACCCCGTAGCCATTCAGGAGCAGGTTGTTCAGTTTCCATGTAGTTGAGCGGTTTTGAGGGAATTTCTGAATCCTGAGTTCTAGTTTGATTGCACTGTGGTCTGAGAGACAGTTTGTTATAATTTCTATTCTTTTGCATTTGCTGAGGAGTGCTTTACTTCCAACTATGTGGTCAGTTTTGGAATACGTGTGGTGTGGTGCTGAAAAGAATGTATATTCTGATGATTTGGGGTGGAGAGTTCTGTTGATGTCTATTAGGTCCACTTGGTCCAGAGCTGAGTTCAATTCCTGGATATCCTTGTTAACTTTCTGTCTCGTTGATCTGTCTAATGTTGACAGTGGGTGTTAAAGTCTCCCATTATTAATGTATGGGAGTCTAAGTCTCTTTGTAGGTCTCTAAGGACTTGCTTTATGAATCTGGGTGCTCCTGTATTGGGTGCATATATATTTAGGATAGTTAGCTCTTCTTGTTGAATTGATCCCTTTACCATTATGTAATGGCCTTCTTTGTCTCTTTTGATCTTTGTTAGTTTAAAGTCTGTTTTATCAGAGACTAGGATTGCAACCCCTGCCTTTTTTTGTTTTCCATTTGCTTGGTAGATCTTCCTCCATTCCTTTATTTTGAGCCTATGTGTGTCTCTACATGTGAGATGGGTTTCCTGAATACAGCACACTGATAGGTCTTGACTCTTTATCCAATTTGCCAGTCTGTTTCTTTTAATTGGAGCATTTAGCCCATTTACATTTCAGGCTAATATTGTTATGTGTGAATTTTATCCCGTCATTATGATGTTAGCTGGTTATTTTGCTCGTTAGTTGATGAAGTTTCTTCCTAGCCTTGATGGTCTTTACAATTTGGCATGTTTTTGCAGTGTCTGGTACCAGTTGTTCCTTTCCATGTTTAGTGCTTCCTTCAGGAGCTCTTGTAGGGCAGGCCTGGTGGTGACAAAATCTCTCAGCATTTGCTTGTCTGTAAAGGATTTTATTTCTCCTTCACTTATGATGCTTAATTTGGCTGGATATGAAATTCTGGGTTGAAAATTCTTTTCTTTAAGAATGTTGAATATTGGCCTCCACTCTCTTCTGGCTTGTAGAGTTTCTGCCGAGAGATCAGCTGTTAGTCTGATGGGCTTCCCTTTGACACAAATTATCAATACCTCTGGGATACAGCAAAAGCAGGGCTAGGAGGAAAATTTATAGGCTAAATGTCTGCATAAAAAAGACAGAAAGCCTGGGTTGGGTGCCTTATTTTATAATACCAGTATTTGGAAGACCAGGAAGATCACTTAAGCCCAGGAATTTGAGACCAGCCTGGGCAAAATAACGAGACCATTTCTCTACAAAAATAAAAAATAAAAATAAAAATTAGCCAGACGTCATGGCCCCTACCTGTAGGCCCAGCTATTCAGAAGGCCGGGGCAAGAGGATGACTTGAGCACCGGAGTTTGACACTGGAGTGAGCCATGGATTCACTACTGTACTCCATCCCGGGGACAGAGTGAGACCCCTGCCTCATAACAATAAAATAAAATAAAATGACAGAATGATTACAATTTGAGAACACAACATCACACCTCGAGTAGCTAGAGAAACAAAAGCAAACCAAAACCCAAGCTAGAAGAAGAAAAGAAATAACAGATCAGAGCAGAACTAAATGAAATTCAAACAAACAGCAAAAATACAAAGGCTCAATGAAATAAAAAGTTAGTTTTTTGAAAAGATAAACAAAATTGATAGACCACTAGCTGGATCAACCAAGAAATGAAGATGGAGATATTACAATTGATATCACAGAAATACAAAGTTCAAGACCACTTGGAACACCTCCATGCACACCAACTGGAAAATCTAGAGGAAATGGATACATTCCTGGAAACACACATTTAGAATTTGTTTTTAATGGGACTGTTTCACTTTTAGCATAGCATAGAAAGAAGTGGCTGATTTAAAAGCTAATCACAAAGAATGAACTGAAATTTTAACAAATGACTATAGACCAGAAATGCAACAGCATATCAGTTTAGAGCAGTGTTTCTTAACAAGTATTATTGACATTTTGGGTTAGATAATTCTATGTTGTGGAGTGCTGTCTTGCACAGTATATTTAATGAAACAATAGTAATGAAAAAAGTAGAACCAAATGTTCATTAAAAGTAAATGGTGGCCAGGCACAGTGGCTCATGCCTATAATCCCAGCACTTTGGAAGGCCAAGACAGGATGATCACTTGAGCCCAGGAGTTTCTGACCAGATTTGGCAACATAGGGAAACCCATTGTTACAAAAAAATAAAAAATAAAAAATAAAAAAAAATTAGCCAGGCCTGGTGGTGCTTACCTGTGGTCAGGATGTCAAGTCTGCAGTGAGCCATTACTGCACCACTGAACTCCAGCCTGGGTGACAGAGTGAGATCCTGTCTCAAAAAAAAAAAAAAAGTTAACGGCCTAAAAATACGCATTAAAATGCAGATATTATCAACTGGGTAATGAAGATTCAACACTTTCTCCATAAGAAAATAGAAAACAAATTAAATCTAACGAAAGTGGATGGTAGAAAATAATATAAAAGCAGAAATCAATAAAGTTAAAAACAGAAAAATATTTAAGAAAAATCAATGAGCCAATATTTGCTTTTAAAAGTACAATAACATTTATAAATAGCTAGGACAAACCTCCATCATACATATACATATACATACACACAGTGATATAAATTGCAAATGTCAGGAATGAAAGATCCTAAAGCTACTAAAGGAAAACATATTATGAGTAATTTGACCTCAATAAATTTATCCAATTAGATAAAATTGGCAAATTCTATAAAGGTCTAAAATAACAAATCACAAAGAATTGACAACTCTTTAAATATTAAGTAAATTAAATATATTTTTAAATCTCTCCCAAAAAGAACGCCCCAGATTATTTAACTCATGAAGTCTATAGAACATTTGAGAAATAACTAACACTAATTCTACATAACATCTACACTTCTCAGTTCATGAGGCCAGCATTAGCTTAATATCAATGACAGAAGAAAAGGAAACTATGGGCCAATATCCTTCACAAATATGAATAAACAATTTTAAAATCAATATTAGTAGATATTACCTAACAGTGTATCAAAAAGGTAATAAATCTTGACAGCATGGAATTTATTTCAGGAATGAAAAATTAATTTAACAGTTAAAAATTGATTGATGTGAATCATCCCATCAACAGACTAAAAAATAAACAATGATCTCACCATATGCAGACACATGCTTGACAAAATTCAACATATGTACACAAAATAAATTTTCAGCCAACTAGTAATGGAAGGTAACCTTCTCAGCCTAATAAAGGTAATCTATGAGAAACACACTTATTGCCCTTAATGGTGAATGACTGAATTCTTCTCCTTTAAAATCTCAAAGAAAGCAATGATGTTCACTTTCTCTATTTTTACTTAACATTCTACTGAAAGTCAGTGAAATACAGTAAGAAAAATAAATAAAAGGCATTAATATAAAAAACAAAAACACTGTAATATGTGTGTGCATGCGTAAGAAAACATGAAAAAATACATTGAAACCCCTAAATCTTGAAAATAACCCAGCTTTGAATAGTAGTATATGATTTGATTCAGGTTTCAGGATAAAACATCAATAAAAAATCAAATGTGTATCTAGATATTAGCAATAACAATTGAAAAGTGACAGAAATAAAACACAAAACCATTGATAACAGCAACGACAAAATATGCTTAGTTATAAAACTAAAGAAAATATGTGAAAGAATTACGTCCTTAAAACTACTAAATATGGATGAAAATGATTAAAATTTATTGACATATGTAGATAAATATAGAATGAGTTTATGGACTGGACAACTCAGTATTGTTAAGGTAGCAATTTTCCCAGTTGCTATGTAGATTCAATGCAATCACAATCAAAATATCACGAGAATTTTTGAAAACATTGATAAGTTGATTTGATATTTTATATGGACAGCTAGAGGTCCTACATTAACCAAACAACATTAAAATAAACTTATACACCTATAATAACAAAGTAGTAAATAATTGGCAAAGAGACATGTGGATCAGTGAAACAAAATAGAGAATATACCAACACATACATATTCAATTGATTTTTACAAAATTAAATGTGCTAAGGTAAAAATGGAGTCTTTTTAACAAATCGTGGTAGATCAACTAACTATTAACCTTGACTTATATCTTGCACTATATATAAAATTCAATTTTAGGTGGATAATGGACCTAAAAGTAAAGCCTAAAACTATAACTTTTCTTTAAAAAATTATTTTAAAAAATCTGTGGCCGGGCGCGGTGGCTCACGCCTGTAATCCCAGCACTTTGGGAGGCCGAGGCGGGCGGATCACGAGGTCAGGAGATCGAGACCACGGTGAAACCCCGTCTCTACTAAAAATACAAAAAATTAGCCGGGCGCAGTGGCGGGCGCCTGTAGTCCCAGCTACTCGGGAGGCTGAGGCAGGAGAATGGCGTGAACCTGGAAGGCGGAGCTTGCAGTGAGCGGAGATCGCGCCACAGCACTCCTGCCTGGGCGACAGAACGAGACTCGTCTCACAAAAAAAAAAAAAAAAAAAAAAAAAAAAAAAAAAAAATTTGTAACATTTGTTTAGCAAATTATTTTGTGAACATGAGACAAAAATCATAAAAAGGGAAAAATTAATAAATTAGACTGTCAAAATTTAATGCTTCTGTTCTTCAAAAATATAGGAAAGGCAAGTTATAGAATGGGAGAAAATTATTCCTAAAACAATTTTTATAGAGAACTTTTATCTGGAAAATATGATAAGTATTTACAACTTAACTAAAGACAATCCTATTAAAAAGTAGGTCACAGACTTGAGTAGACATCTATCAAAGATAAGATGATTGACAAATAACATAAATGTCTTTTCAAGATCATTAGTTATTTGAGAAATGCAAATTAAAATTAAAATATATTAAAACATGTCTACTAGAATGGCTAATATGTGAGAAAACAAAAAGATTAGGGTGCTGGTAAGGATTCAGGTCAGTACAAATACCATACATTGGTGAAAATACAAAGTGGTGCAACCATTATGGAAAAGGGGTTGACAGTGTCTTATGAACTTACATGTACTATAGGACACTGAAATACTACTGTAATTTTTTTAAAAAAGAGAAAGGAAAACATATGTTCACATAAAGCTAGTACATGAACATTTGTAAAAGCTTCATTCACAGTAACCTTAAACTAAAAACAACCCAAGTAGTCATCAACTTATTGGATGAATAAGTATTGGATTTAAAAACATTGTGGTCTATGCATACTAACTGCTACTCAGAAATAAAATACCAAATCACTGGTATATGCAACAACAGGGCTAAATCTCAAGAAAACCTTGCTAAATGGGATAAGCTAGACACAAAATATCTACACACTGCATATTTATATGGTTTTCTGGAAATGGGAAAATATGGGAATTGAAATGAGGACAATGACAGCCAGAGCCTGATTTTGCGATGATGGGTGTGGAGAGAGGGTTGGTTGCAAAGTGGCACAGGAAATATTTGAGATGATAAAAATGTTGTATTTCTCAATTCAGATGGTGGTTACACCACTTTCAAATTTGTCAAAACACATTAAACGGTATACCAAGAAACAGTTTTATTGTATGAAAATTAACCTCAGTAAGCATGAAAAAAAGTAAACAGAGTGTCCTTAGAGAGTTAAAAGTTGTATATATGACAAACTAATCCTAAGGAAAGTATGAAAGTATTAGGGAAATGCCATAAAAGAAGTTGGACCCTCTCCACTAACAATCTGCTTCTTATATAATTAGTTATATAAGAAGTTACAAGGTCTTATAACAAGTTACAAGGTTAAAGAATCTTGTAACTTTGGCTTAAGCATAAATGCCACACTTAAATTGAAATAATTCATTTATATATAAATATATATATAAATATATATATAAAGAAGTAGAAAATCATTTTATATTCCTAGTCAAGAATGTAGCATAGATAGCTCCAGAAAACAGTTTTCTTTTCTTATATACTTTGTTTAAGCTAAACAATTAACATGTTCGTCAAACATTAAACAAAATAATGTGAAGTAAAAATGAAATCCTTCCCAAATCCTTTTAAAATAACCCCCTTACTACCACTCCTTTCAGATGTTCATTATGGAGATATATAAACAGCAATTTTGAACAACTAGCTTCATGCTTTCTGTCGATAGGAATAAATCAAGTTGACCATGTTAGGTGTATACTGTAAAGTTAACTTGTTAAATTTAATGTTTCCAGATAAACCTGGTAAACTTGTTAAACATACCTATACTCAACAACCTAAAGGGATAAAGAGTGACTTGGCAGAATTAGACATCCATCTCTGACCACTCAGAGTTCATGTAGACATTCAGGCTCTCCAGATGTCACTCTTATCTAGCGACATCTTTCATATCTAGTAGACTATCATCCCTGTGGGAAGCAGATTCACTTTGCACTAGTTACCAACTTGTCTGAGTCCGATGCAACAGAACACCCCACACACAGCAAGTTACATGAGGTGGATTTATTACTGACATACAGGCAACATGAAACAACAGAAGCCTAGGATTCGTTGTGAGCCGGTGCCCTGAGGATCAAGAAAGCTGCCCAAGTGAAAGGAGTTTCTAATATGTGTGTCCCATTTGAGAAACCCCAGAATTCAATCCACCCTGGTTTTTTTTTATTTTTTTCCCTCACATGAAACACTGGGCTAAAGTGATAAAGGACCGTCCTCTTTTGGGGAAGAGGGAGGGGAACAAAGCCTGAGCTGTTCAGGCCAGCTCCCCCTTATCTTAAGATGTCACATTCCCAGTCTACAGTTATTCTTGAGAACTACAAATGAGAAATGGGGGAGAACTGGGTTTGTGGAAGCCTGCCTGGAGAACGGTCCTGCACAAATGCACATTTAAGCTTAATTTATTGCATGTAATCTATGAGCCTGGCACTACCTGTACATTAAAATAATGGCCCTCAGAGTTAACCACTATTAGAATTTAAAATTCAGGATTTTTTTTCAGATTAAAAAATCGGAAATATTTGAATAAACAAAGCTAAAAGTAAGGTTAAATCTAGTATGCTTGGAAAAAAATAATCACTAACATGCACATTGAAATGCTACTGGGGAAAAAAGGCACTTCAGTTTTTTTTTTAAGATTGCGAAAGTGATTTTTCTTTATGTATAGAGATTTTGTTCCTATATAACTAAAACTGTAAAAAATAATCCAAATTTTCACTTATCTTAAAGTTTAAAATTGACCACAATATTTTACCAAATAATTATTATCTAAAGATAATTAAGTAATAGGTATTTGACTTTAAAATATTTGCTATTTTCAATGATGATTTTATGCATTAGATATATGGAAACTCACTATATCTAGATATTGAATGTACTTCTAAATTATGTACCTTATAACGTCTGTATCAGGAGTAATTCTATCTATAAGATAGAGCATTTATATATTTGCTTTAATTATAGACTGATTTTCACCACATTCTCAGCAACATTTCAGCAACACTGTAGCAAGTAATATTTCATCTGATGTCAGAGAAATTAATACATTCACTCCCATATATGCATCTAAGCAGATTCCCGATTTTTCACCCAGCCTTCTGAAACCAGTTTCTTATTATACCAATGAAAGCCCTCCAGGTCATAGGCTGCCCTGCAGCTATAGCTATGTATCACAGCCTTCTTTGGCTCTAGGAACGTTCAGATGCATGCTTTGCTTACCTGAGGCTATTATTAAGCCCGACCTGTTGCAAACACCGTATGCAGCTATTTCTGCTCTACTGTTTCCACACCATTTATAGTGGAAAGACGATCTGAAAAGTATCAACACTTTTAAGAATTCCATACCAAGAATGGGTACATGTCTTTTCTGCTAGGGTCTTAACTTATTTGTGAGATACTATAGATACTATAACCCTCAACTTTGGATTTTGAACAGAGGACAAAGAAGGGTACAGGTTCATGCCGTTAGCATCTAATACTCTTGTTGCATTCCTTTGTAATCTTTTCTTTACAGAATAATGGTAGTGGTAGAGGCTTGGATGGTAGCTCCTTCTGCCTGATCTTATCTTCTACATATTTCATGCTTATTTTGTTTCATTTTTGTTTATTTTGTTTTCTTTTTGGGAAAGTGATTTTTTTCAAACATAAATTTTGAATTTGGCATTTTGCTCAAATACTGACTCTAGGACCATCCTCCCCCAGCACGGACAATGCCAGACTCATATCTTCATAAGCCAAAGTAAGAAAACAGCACAGAGTTATAGTATGAAAATTGGAAATGAAATTAACAGAATTGGCATCTATAAATACTTTAAATGTCATCCTATCATCCTACCATATATTGTTATTTTCTTATAATTTTTTTGTGGAACTCATATTTTTTTTTTTTTTTTGAGACAGAGTCTCTCTCTGTCTGGAGTGCAGTGGCATGATCTTGGCTCACTGCAAGCTCCGCCTCCCGGGTTCACACCATTCTCCTGCCTCAGCCTCCCTAGCAGCTGAGTAGCTGGGACTACAGGCACCTGCCACCACGCCCAGCTAATTTTTTGTATTTTTAGTCGAGACACAGTTTCACCGAGCTAGCCAGGATGGTCTTGATCTCCTGACCTCGTGATCCGCCTGCCTCGGCCTCCCAAAGTGCTGGGATTACAGGTGTGAGCCACCGCGCCCTCCCGGAACTCATTATTGATATTGTTCTTATAAGCTTTCTTCTTCATGTTTTAGGTCAAATACACTTTTTAGTGTATGCTAGTTCATTACCCATCATATTTTTATTATGCCATGAAACTAAAATTATAACATTTCATTTCTATAAAAATGCATGTTCTTGAAAATGTAATGGAACTATAAATACATCTGGAAATAATATTTTTATTTTGTATAAAAATAGCCTTAATCTAACACTCTCCAGAATGAAGGATTTAAATCAGATACATAAGAAAATAGTAAAATGGGATTGATCACTACCTATATGTTCTATAAATTGTTTTCTCATTATTCTTTTCAAATGTCAGACATGCAAAAGTACTCCCATGTTGTACTCAAGTTCACTCTACCAAAGACTTTATGCCTCCTATTACGTTTATTGTAAGGTTTGGCACTGAGAATTAGAGAAAAAGGTGAAACAGGCAAATCACAGGAAAATAATATTTTTTTTGTGTTAAACAATAATTAAATCACTAGGGATGAGATTAGCTAACAGCATGAAAACCTCCCAGAAGGAGCTTGCCTAAAATGGATTTGGAAACATTCAAGGTGCTTCCCTGGATGCTACTATGAAGTAGTCAAATTAAAATGAGTCAGTATTTTAAAAAGCAAGTTGTCAAATATGTTATTAAATAAATGTTGAATTATGTAGCATAATTTTGTGATGACAAATGCAACAGTCTATAGCTATTGCAGCTGTAGGGAAGCTGATGATTTCTAGACCAACGAGATTTCTCAGATAAAGTAAACAGAATTACCATTAACTATCCCAAAACTTAGAGAAAGGAAACCAAGGAGGGTCTCAGAATTACATAATAGATAGTAAACAATTATAAGTTTATAAAATCACCACATTATTTCCCTAATCAACTGTACATTTTTGAAAGTGTTTTGATTTATTCTTTCAGAAATTCCCTTTTTTAGCATTGGTTTACCGTATCATTTTACTTATCACATTAGATCTTGGTAAGAATGTAATGAGTCTACAAATTAAAGAAAAAATGGAAAATAATAAATTAGTAGTCTGAATAAATTAATAATAACATTCATATACATTATGCTAGTGCTTTATTGACATTAAACAATTTTGTCACATTTGTTATTTATATTACTCTTTTTCTAGCATATGGGAGACCTAATAAAATTTTTGGATATACCAACTTATTGTGCTAGAGATACCAAACTTAGACATTAGAACTCATAACCGTAAAAATCATTGCAAAGTGATTCTGTGATATATTCATGGTATATTTATGGATTCATATCACCTGAAGGTAAATGAACTGTAGTAAAATGTTTAAGTTAATTAAAGAAAGTAATGTGCAATTGTTACTTTGGTTGGCATTTTTGTTGTTACTTTAGAGAGACTTCCCTTATAAGAATGTCTACATATATAAAGATCTCTAAAACATATATGTATAGTTATACACACAGACACATGTGTATATATATACATATATTTGTACATTTATGTACACATATTTATATAAAATATATGTAAGAAAATATAAATATTTATAAGATAAATATTTATATATTATATAATAATATAAATAAGACATTTATATAAATATATATAAGATAAATATTTATATATAAATATATATAAGATAAATATTTATATATAAATATATATTTATATAAATATATATGGTATATAATATTTATATATTTATATAAATATATATAAATATTATATACCATATATATTTATATAAATATATAATATTTATATATATTTATATAAATGTCTTATTTATAATATATTATTATATAATATATAGATATTTGTCTTATATATTATATATTTATATATATTTATATATAAAATATTATATATATTTATATAAATATGTATAAGGTATATAATATTTATATATATTTATGTAAATATATATAAGTTATATAATATTTATATATTTATATAAATATATAGTATATTATATATATTTATATAAATATATATAAGGTATATATAAATATATATAAGATACATAATGTTTATATATATATAAATATATATGATATATAATATTTATATATGTATTTATATATGTATTAAATATATATTCCCCCAGGACTAATTTAGTGATACCACACAAACAAATGTGACTATATATTTTATATATATTATATATATTTTGTATATAGATTATATATATTTATATGTAGTATATCATATATATATATTAGGTGTGTGTGAATGTATGACATGAGTACAAATTGGTACAAACAGGCAAATAGTTGAAGAGACAACAATTTCTCTTTTTTTAAAATGTTTATTTAAAATTTACTTTGTAGTCAAGGCACATAGAGTCTTTGATTTGAAGAGGTTTCCTTTTGAAGGTGACAAGCTAACTTTCACTAAAACATTAATCCTCTGGCTATTTATCAGAGACTAGAGGCTGTAAAGAAACTGGAGACTAAAAATATACTCAAAGAATAAATAAAAATCCTAGTGCTTGTTGAACTCAGAAATTTTTTCACATGACACAAAATAATTTGGAAAGTTTGCTTTTGAAGTTAAAATGAATGTGCGAGTCTTTAATCATTTATAATGAAAAGACTACAGAAAACTCTCATTTATTACATTTATTAAATTCTTGTAAACATTTTACAAAGCTAAAGAAACTGCATGCACACACAAAAGTTTGTATAAAGAACCGTTTTAATAACTATGGTAAAATAAAAACGATAATTTGCAATATTTTAGTCACCTTTGTTTGGTGCCACTAAGTCTCTGAGGAAAAATCAAGAGATTAAGCCGACTGCACAGAAAAGGCCCTCCCCTGGGAACGCTTTTTAGAGGATACTGTGGACAGATCAGTGCATGGAAGTAATCAGACCAGTTTCACGAATCTTTATTCCTCCCTATTTATGTGCCCAGAACTATGAGAGAGTTCAAGAAAACACACAAAATGTAACACAAAGGAGCTGATGTATGCATAAGAGAAATGTTAGAAAATAGCCCTGATGAAACAGGTAGACAACAGAGTTGTGACTTTTAGGCTTTTGAAAATACAGGTAATCTAGTTCAGAAGTATCATCTTCTCGCAGGTCTACTTGTGAGTATGCTGAAATTCAGAGTGCTGAATCATGCAAGATCACACAGGATGTAACTGAAAGTGGTTGTTGTGTGGTAGAAGAGGTATTGGGTTGACAGTAAGGGGAACTAAATGCTCATTCACTAGCTTAGCTTTATTAAATCAGATGCCTCAGCTTTCATATCTGTACTTGTAAAATTAAAATTGAACTCAAATATAACAACTTAAAGGAATAAACATATTTCAATGTCTATATCTTTAGAAAATTAATTTTCAGAACTGCACGCATAGTATATTTAAAACACATAACATACTGTGATATATGTAGACATTTGAATGTAAAAAATTAAAATGAAATCAATCAATATACACCAAACTCATGCTAGTGATTGCTTCCAAGGAAAGAGTATAAGAAACACGACTGGAGCATATGATCAAAAGAAACTTTATCTATATCTGAAAGTCAGTTTTTCCACCTGTAAAATGAAGATAATAGTATGCACCTCATGAAGTTTCTGTGACTATTAAATGAGCTAACATGGTAAAGTGTTTAGAGCAGTGACTGGGACTCAGTAAGCTAATTATTTTTTTAAAAATTGGGACATCAGATCTATCACATTCAAATACATTCCATCCCAAATAGAGAAAGATTCCTGAATCTTCCTCTATTCCTAGATATACATCAGGCACCAGAGAGATAGAAAAAAAATTTTAAACAGTTTGATTATTATTATGTCAATAGGTTTTGCGGAACAAGTGGTGTTTGGTTACATGTATTAGTTTTTTAGTGGTGATTTCTGAGATTTGGGTGCACCCATCACCTGAGCAGTGTACACTATACTCAATGTGTAGTCTTTTATCTCCTATCCCCTCCCACCCTTGCCCCCTGAGTCCTCAGAGTCCTTTATATCATCCGTACACCTTGCATTCTCATAGATTAGCTCCCACTTATAAGTGAGAGCATATAATGTTTGGTTTTCCATTCCTGAGTTACTTCACTTAGAATAATGGTCTCCAACTCCATCCAGGTTGCTGCGAGTACCATTATTTAATTACTTTGTATGGCTAAGCCATATTCCATGGTGTGTGTATAAATGTATATACCTCTTACATCTTTTTATCCACTCATTGATTGATGGGCATTTAGGCTGGTACCATATTTTGGCAATTGTAAATTCTGATACTATAAACATGCATGTGAAAGTATCTTTTTCATATAATGGCTTTTCTTCCTCTTGGTAGATACCCAGTAGTGGACCTGATGGATCAAATGGTAGTTCTACTTTTAGTTCCTTAAGGAGTCTCCATACTGTTTTTCTTAGTGGTTGTACTAGTTTACAGCAGTGTAAAAGTGTTCCCTTTTCACTACATCCACACCAACATCTATTCTTTTTTGATTTTTAAATTATGGTCATTCTTACAGGAGTAAAGTGGTATTGCATGGTGGTTTTGATTTGCATTTCCCTGATAATTAGTGATGTTCAGCATTCTTTTCATACGTTTAGTGGCCATTTATATGTCTTCTTTCAAAAATTGTCTATTCATGTCCTTAGCCCACATTTTGATGAGATTGTTTTTTTCTTTCTGATTTGTTTTGAGTTCCTTGTAGATTCTGGATATTAGTCCTTTATCAAATGTTCGGTGTGCAAATATTTTCTCCCACTCTGTGGGTTGTCTGTTTACTCTGCTAATTATTTATGTTGCTGTGCAGAAACTTTTTAGTTTAATTAATTCCCATCTATTTACCTTTGTTTCTGTTGCAATTGCTTTTGTGTTATTGGTCATGAGCTCTTTGCCTAAGCTAATGACTAGAAGAGCTTTTCCAATGTTATCTTCTAGAACTTTTATGGTTTTAGGTCTTAGATTTAAGTCTTTGATCCATCTTGAGTTGATTTTTGTATAAGGTAAAATATTAGGATCCAGTTTCATTCTCCTACATGTGGCTAGCCAAATATCCCAGCACAATTTGTTGAAAAGTATCTCTTTCCCCACTTTATTTTTTTGTTTGCTGTGTTGAAGCTGAGTTGGCTATAAGTATTTGGCTTTATTTCTGGGTTCTCTATTTCGTTCCATTGGTCTATCTGCTTATTTATGTACCAGTACTCTGCTGTTTTGGTAAATACAGCCTTGTAGTATAGTTTAAAGTCAGGTAATGTGATGCCTCCAGATTTATTCTTTTCCCTTAGTCTTACTTTGGCTATGTAGACCCTTTTTTGGTTCCACATTAATTTTAGAATTGTTTTTTTTTCTAGTTCTGTGAAGAATAATAATGGCATTTTGATGGGAATTGCGTTGAATTTGTAGATTGCTTTTGGCAGTATGGTCATTTTCATAATATTGATTCTACCCATCCATGAGCATGGGATGCATTTCCATTTGTTTGTGTCATTGATGATTTTAGCAAAGTTTTGTAGTTTTTCTTGTAGAGATCTTTCACCTCCTTGTTTAGGTGTATTCGTAAGTATTTTATTTATTTATTTATTTATTTATTTTTCACAGTTACTGCAAAATGAGTTGATTTTTTTATTTGATTCTCAGCCTGGTCACTGTTAGTGTACAGCAGTGCTACTGATTTGTGTACAATGATTTTGTATTCTGAAACATTACTGAATTAATTTATCAGATCTAGAACCTATTTGAATTAGTCTTCAGGGTTTTCTAGGTATACGATCATTTCATTGGCTAACAGTGACAGTTTGACTTCCTCTTTCCTGATTTGAATGCCTTTTGTTATTTTCTCTTATCTGATGCTCTGGCTAGACCTTCCAGTACTATGTTGAATAGAAGTGGTGAAAGTGGGCATCCTTGTCTTGTTCCATTTCTTAGGGGAAATGCTTTCAACTTTTCCCCATTCAGTATAATGTTGGCAGTAGCTATGTCCTAGATGGCTTTTATGATCTTAAGGTATGTCCCTTCTATGCCAGTTTTGCTGAGGGTTTAATCATAAAGGGATGCTGGATTTTGGTAAATGCTTTTCCTGCATCTATGGAGATGATCATATAATTTTTGTTTTTACTTCTGTTTATGTGGTATATTACATTTAATGACTTTTATATGTTAAACTAACCCTATATCCCTGGTATGAAACTCTCTTGATCAGGATGTATTATCTTTTTGATATGCTGTTGGATTCAGTTAGCTAGTACTTTGTTAAAGATTTTTGCATCTGTGTTCATCATGGATATTGGTCTGTAGTTTTTTTTAATTTATTTTTTTGATATGTACTTTCCTTGTTTTGGTATTAGGGTTATACTGGCTTCATAGAATGATTTAAGGAGGATTCCGTTTTTCTTTATATTTTAAAATAGTTTCAGTAGGGATCATACCACTGCTTCTTTGAATGTCTGATAAAATTCAGCTGTGAATCCATCTAGTCCTGGGATTTTTTTTCTTGGCAATTTTTTTATTACTGTTTCAATCTTGCTACTTGTTATTAGTCTGTTCAGAGTTTCTATTTCTTCCTGATTTAATCTAGGAGGGTTCTATGTTTCCAGGAATTTATCTTTCTCCTCTAACTTTTCTAGTTTGTATGCGTAAAGGTGTTCATAGTAGCCTTGAATTATCTTTTGTATTTCTGTGGTATTGGTTGTAATATCTCCTATTTCATTTCTAATTTAGCTTATTTGGATCTTCTCTTTCTTGGTTAATCTTGATGATGGTCTATTGATTTTGTTTATCTTTTCAAAGAACCAGCTTTTTGTTTTATTTATTTATTTATTTTTTGTTTCAATTCCATTTGGTTCTGCTTTCATCTTTGTTACTTTTTTTTTTTTTTTCTGCTAGGTTTGGGTTTGGTTTGTTCTTGTTTCTCTAGCTCTTTGAGGTGTCAGCTTAGATTTTTCTATTCGTGCTCTTTCAGACTTTTTGATGTAGGCATATAATACTATGAACTTTCCTCTTAGCAACACTTCTGAGGTTCTGTTAGGTTGTGTCACTATTATTGTTCAGTACAAATAATTTTTAAATTTTCATCTTGATTTCATTGTTGACCCAAGGATCATTCAGTAGCAGATGATTTAATTTCTATGTGTTTGTAGAGTTTTGAGGGTTCCTTTAGGAGTTAGTTTCCAAATATATCCTACTGTGGTCTGAGAGAGTACATACTTGATATAATTTTGATTTTCTTAAATTTACTGAGATTTGTTTTGTGGCCTATCATATTGTCTCTCTTGAAGAATGTTTCATGTGCTGATGAATAGAACGTATATTCTACAGTTGTTGGGAAGAATGTTTTGTAAATTTTATTAAGTCCATTTATTCTAGGGTATAGTTTTAAGTCCATCGTTTCTTTGTTGACTTTCTTTCTTGATGACCTGTCTAGTGCTATCAGTGGAGTATTAAAGTTCCCCATTATTATTGTGTTCTCATCTATCTCATTTCTTAGGTATGGTAGTAATTGTTTTATAAATTTGGGATCTCCTGTGTTAGGTACATATATATTTAGGATTGTGATATTTTCCTATTGGATTAATCCTTTTATCATTATATAATTTCCTGCTTTTTTAACCGTTGTTGCTTAAAGTCATTTTTTTTTCTGATATAAGAATAGCTACTCTTGCTCACTTTTGTTTTCCATTTGAATGGAATATATTTTTCCACCCCTTTATCTTAAGTTCATGTGAGTCCATATATATGAGTTAAGTCTCTTGAAGACAGTGAATACTTGGTTGGTGGATTTTTATCCATTCTGTTATTTTATATCTTTTAAGTGGAGCATTTAAGCCATTTATATTCAGCATTAGTATTGATATGTGAGGTGCTGTTCTATTCATCATGCTAGTTTTGGCCTGAATACCTTTTTTTTTCATTGTGTTATTGTTTTATATGTCCTGTGAGATTTGTGCTTCAAGGAGGTTCTATTTTCTTTTATTTTGAGGTTTCTTTGTTTTTTCACAATTTAGAACTCCTTTTAGCATTTCTACCCAGCAAGGCTACTGGGCTCTGGGCTGGTGCTGGGGAATACCTGCAAAGAGTCCCATGATGTGATCTATCTTCAGGTCTCCAAGTCATGAATACCAGCACATGCTCCAGTGGAAGTGGCAGGGGCAAAGTGGGCTCTGTGGGAGTCCTTGGTTGTAGTTTTGCTTAGCGCACTGGTTTTCTTGAATGCTGGTTATGCTAGCAGTGAAGTTGTCATGTGGACAGAGTCAGGACCTCTAGTTAGCCAGGATGTTATAGGTGGTGGAATTAGATGTTGTTTTTTCCTTCTTTGTAGCACGGTTGTTCTGTTACGGGTTGCTGTAATGGCTTGAGTTAGTTGGCCTCCAGCCAGAAGGTGGTGCTTTCAAGAGAGCATCAGCTGCCGTAGTAGAAAAAGGATATAATCTTGCCATATATTAGCCAAGATGAGTATTCAGATGTCTCAGGCAATGTGCTGGGCCATAAGCTCTCAAGACTTTATGTGTTTTGTCTTCAGCTACCAGGGCAGGAGGAGAAAAACCATTAGGTGGGGGCAGGGTTAGGCTTGTCTGAGCTCAGCCTCTCCTTGGGTGGGGCTTGCTGTGGCCACTGAAGGTGATGTAGGGGGTTGGTTTTCAGGCCAATAGAGTTATGTTCCAAGGGGATTATGGCTGCCTCTGCTGCATCATTCGGGTCTCTAGGAAAGTGGGGGAAAGCTGGCAGTAACAGGCCTCACCCATCTCCTATGCAGCCAGCACGGCAAGTCTCACTTTCACCGTGCCCTGCCAACAGTGCTGATTATATATCCAGGCAGCTGGTGCACAGTGCTGAGATCTTGCCCTAGGCTTCAAGCCTCCCTGCTGAGAAAGCAAGCAGGGCCCTCAGGCCTCACCCCTCCCCACCTGCCTGCACCATCAGCTGTGGCTTCTGCATTTTTATTTGCACTTCCCTTTTGCCCCCCTGAATTCTGCTCAGGAAAATTCATGCTCAGTTGAAATCATTTCATAGTTCAGCTAGAAGCTTTCTATACCCTTTGGTGCATCCCTGAATCTGCTGGCGGCCTTCCCCAAGGATCCCTGTGAGATAAAGCCAGAGATGGCTTCCCTGGGCTGGAACTGGGACCAGGAGTGCCTACAGGGCTCTTCCAGCTGCTGCTTCTACTTTTATATTTTGCTCAGCTTCCTACATCTGTTTCAGCTGTAGATAAGGTTAAATCCTTCTCCAGTCGTCTGGATTTTCGGCTTCCCCAGTAGGGATGTGCGTTAAGGGCAGATTTTCCCCTGTCACTCTTTGGGAATTCATAGTTTTCCAGCTTTCTCATGGAGTTTGCAGTGGCAAACTGCTTCTTTCAAAGGGTCTGTAAATTCTTTTTTTTTCCTGGTATGTTTCTGTGGTACTTCTCAGAGCAAAAGGTCAACGTGTGTCTTCCCATGCTGTTCAGTCTAAGTGGGAGCTGCACATGATTCTGTCACCTATCTGCCATTTTTCCTTCAAACAATTTTTAACACAAGTAAAAGCTCTATATTTATCAAATTATGTTTAGCATATATTGAAAGGAAAATGCCTGTGTATAATCAATAAGTTTTAAAACCATGTATTTATTAGCTAATCAAAAATATCACAAATTTTACATACACAGAGAATATCACATAGATAAATGAGTAAGATTTGACAAATTGCGTATTAATCTTTAATTGTAAGTTTTTTTAGTATGTAAAGTAGAAAGATCCAATTATCTTAATATAATACAGTTGGTTATTTAATTTGTTTGTAGCATTAACCCATCACCAAAAAATTCATTCTCATTTTGAACTGATTATCTTTTATTTAGCTGCATTTTCAATAAACAGATAGTTTTCAGTATACATCATAAAATTACCTTGAAATAACACACTCTGCTTATATAATTTGTAATGAATAAATAAATGTCATTTATTTAAAATATTTTAAAATTCATCTTTTCACTGTTTTTCCTTCTTATATTTTAACTATATTTACTGTTTTGTGTTTAATACAGATATATTGATTAGAAGTATGTGAAAAAATATATATCCTAAAATAGCCTGCTTAATGTTGTGATAATTTCAAATTCTAATCTATTAGTAAATATATAAAAATATTATTTACATTAACTAGTTATAATCTAGGCATGTGTCTAATCAAATGAAGAAACTTTTAGTTTAATTTTAAGATTAAATTGAAATCTAATCAAGCAATGGTATCTTAATTCCTCAACAAATGATATTATGGACTCTAGAGCAATTATTTCAATGTGGCACACAAATTAGCAGTAGTTTAAATAATATACGTACCAATTTACATAGTGAAAAAGCAATAATTTTATTTTATAGCTCCAAGGATTTGAATTTTAATGATCACTAAACTTTTAAGCAACTCTTAAGTCTTATAATAAAAGATCAAGTGTTTTTCCTGTTATTTATTTTGAACAATAGTAGAGTCTTTTCAATTTCAGTCAAACTTTAGGTCCTAGTATAGGGGACTGAATATCTCATAGCTTTTTTTACAAATTCAAAAAATTTAAAAAGTATAAGTTATTAAAAAAATAAAAATGTCTTATAATGTTCATTACCATGATTCATCAAATTATTACAACATTTTGATCCCTGGAGTCAGAGACAATTTATCCTTATATCCATAATGCTTAGCATGTGTCTTGGTACACTGAAGGCACTCAACAATAGCCTGTTATGTTGAAATGAATGAAAACCAAATTAATTGCTTTATATATATGCCAATATTATCTGAATATGACTCTGAATTGTGCTTGTTTTTAAGTGGAGATTTAATAACTGTAAGAGAGAAAGAGAGAAAACTCGATCCTGTCATTATGATGCTAGCTGGTTATTTTTTCCGTTAGTTGATGCAGTTTCTTCATAGTGTCAATGGTCTCTACAATTTGCTATGTTTTTGCAGTGGCTGGTACCAGTTTTTCCTTTCCATAATTAGTGCTTCCTTCAGGAGCTCTTGTAAGGCAGGCCTAATATTAACCTTAAATGTAAATGGGCTAAATGCCCCAATTAAAAGACACAAACTGGCAAATTGGATAAAGAGTCAAAACTCATTGGTGTGCTGTATTCAGGAGAACCATCTCACATGCCGATATACACATAGGCTCAAAATAAAGGAATGGAGGAATATTTATCAAGCAAATGGAAAGAAAAAAAAAGAAAAAGAAAAATATAGCAGGGGTTGCAATCCTAGTCTCTGATAAAACAGACTTTTAGCCAACAAAGATCAAAAAAGACAAGAAAGGGCATTACATAATGGTAAAGGGATCAATGCAACAAGAAGAGCAAACTATCCTAAATATATATGCACCCAATACAGGAGCACCCAGATTCATAAAGCAAGTTCTTAGATACCTACAAAGAGACTTAGACTCCCACACAATAATAGTGGGAGACTTATCACCCCACTTTCAATATTAGACCAATAAACGAGACAGGAAATTAACATGGATATTCAGGACTTGAACTCAGTTCTGGACCAAGTGGACCTAATAGACATCTACAGAAGTCTCCACTCCAAATCAACAGAATAAACATTCTTCTCAGCACCACATTGCACTTATTCTAAAATTGGCCACATAATTGGAAGTAAAACACTCTTCAGCATATGCAAAAGAACAGAAATCATAGCAAACAGTCTCTCAGACCACAGTGCAATCAAATTAGAACTCAGGATTAAGAAACTCACTCAAAACTGCACAACTACATGGAAACTGAACAACCTGCTCCTGAATGACTACTGAGTAAATAAAAAAAAATTAAGGCAGAAATAAATAAGTTATTTGAAACCAATGAGAGCAAAGTCACAACATGCCAGAATCTCTGGGACACAGCTGCAGCAGTGTTTAGAGGGAAATTTATAGCACTAAATGCCCACAGGAAAAAGCGGGGAAAGATCTAAAACCGACACCCTAACATCACGATTAAAAGAACTAGAGAAGCAGGAGCAAACAAATTCAAAAGCTAGCAGAAGACAAGAAATAACTAAGATCAGAGCAGAACTGAAGGAAACAGAGACAAGAAAAACCCTTCAAAAAAAAATCAATGAATCCAGGAGTTGTTTTCTTTGAAAAGACTAAGAAAATAGATAGACCGCTTGCCAGACTAACAAAGAAGAAAAGATAGAAGAATAAAATAGACACAATAAAAAATGATAAAGGGGATATCACCACTGATCCCACAGAAATACAAACTACAATCAGAGAATACTATAAACACCTCTATGCAAATAAACTAGAAAATCTAGAAGAAATTGATAAATTCCTGGACACATACACCCTCCCAAGACTAAACCAGGTTGAAGCCAAATCCCTGAATAGACCAATAACAAGTTCTGAAATTAATAGCCTACCAACCAAAAAAACCCAGGACTAGACGGATTGACAGCCGAAATCTACCAGAGGTACAAAGAGAAACTGGTGCCATTCCTTCTGAAACTATTCCAAACAATAGAAAAATAGGTCATTTTATGAGTTCAGCATCATCTTGATATGAAAACATCGCAGAGAAAAAAAAAAGAAAATTTCAGGCCAATATCCCTGATGAACGTCATTGCAAAAATCCTCAATAAAATACTGGCAAACTGAATCCAGCAGCATATCAAATGGCTTATCCACGACGATCAAGTTGGCTTCATCCCTGGAATGCAAGGCTTGTTCAACATATGCAAATCAATAAAAGTAATCCATCACATAAACAGAACCAATGGCAAAAACCACATGATTATCTCAATACATGCAGAAAAGTCCTTTGATAAAATTAAACACCCCTTCATGCTAAAAACTCTCAATAAACTAGGTATTGATGGAACAAATCTGAAAATAATAAGAGCTATGTATGACAAACCCACAGCCAATATCATACTGAATGAGCAAAAGCTGGAAGCATGCCCTGTGAAAACTGGCACAAGACAAGGATGCCCTCTCTCACCACTCCTATTCAACATAGTATTGGAAGTTCTGGCTAGCTCAATGAGGCAAAAGAAAAAAAAATAAAGGGGATTCAAATAGGAAGAGAGGAAGTCAAATTGTCCCTGTTTGCAGATGACATGCTTGTATATTTAGAATACCCCATCACCTAAGCCCAAAATCTCCTTAAGCTGATAAGCAACTTCAGCAAAGTCTCAAGATAAAAAATGAATGTGCAAAAATCACAAGCATTCCTATACACCAATAATAGACAGAGAGCCGAAAAATGAGTGAACTCCCATTCACAATTGCTGCAAAGAGAATAAAATACCTAGGAATATAACTTACAAGGGATGTGAAGGACCTCTTCAACGAGAACTACAAACCACTACTCAAGGAAATAAGAGGGGAAACAAACAAATGGAAAAATATTCAATGCTTATGGATAGGAAGAATCAGTATCATGAAAATGGCCATACTGCCCAAAGTAATTTATCAATCCAAGGCTATCCCCATCAAGCTACCATTGACTTTCTTCACAGAACTAGAAAAAACTACTTTAAATTTCATACGGAACCAAAAAAGTGCCCATATAGCCAAGGCAATCCTAAGCAAAAAGAACAAAGCGGGAGGCATCACGCTACCTGATTTCAAACTATACTACAAGGCTACAGTAACCAAAACCACATGGTACTGGTACCAAAACAGATATATCGACCAATGGAACAGAACAGAGGCCTCAGAATTAACACCAAACATCTACACCCCTCTGATCTTTGACAAACCTGACAAAAATAAGCAATGGGGAAAGGATTCTGTATTTAATAAATGGCGTTGGGAAAACTGGCTAGCCATGTGCAGAAAACTGAAATTGGACCCCTTCCTTACACCTCATACAAACATTAATTCAAGATGGATTAAAAACTTAAACGTAAGATCTAATACCATAAAAACCCTAGAAGAAAACCTAGGCAATACCTTTCAGGACATAGATATGGGCAAATAATAATATTCATGACTAAAACACCAAAAGCAATGGCAACAAAAGCCAAAATTCACAAATGGGATCTAATTAAACTAAAGAGCTTCTGCACAGCAAAAGAAACTATCAGCAGAGTGAACAACCAGCTTACAGAATGGGAGAAAATTTTTGTAATCTATGTATCTGACTAAGGGCTAATATCCAGAATCTACAAAAAACTTAAACAAATTTACAAGAGAAAAACAACCCCATCAAAAAGTGGGCAAAGGATATGAACAGACGCTTCTCAAAAGAAGACTTTTATGTGGCCAACGAACATTTGAAAAAAAGCTCATCATCACTGGTCATTACAGAAATGTAAATCAAAACCACAATGAGATACCATCTCACACCACTTAGAATGGCAATCATTAATAAGTCAGGAAACAACAGATGCTGGAGAGGATGTGGAGAAATAGGAACACTTTTACACTGTTGGTGAGAATGCAAATTAGTTCAACCATTGTGGAACACAGTTTGGCGATTCCTCAAGGATCTAGAACCAGAAATACCATTTGACCCAGCGATCCCATGATTGGGTATATACCCAAAGGATTATAAATCATTCTACTATAAAGACATATGCACATGTTATGTTTATTGCAGAACTGTTCACAATAGCAAGGACTTGGAACCAACCCAAATGCCCGTCAATGATAGACTGGATAAAGAAAATGTGGCACATATGCACCATGGAATACTATGCAGCCATAAAAAAAGACAAGTTTATGTCCTTTGCAGGGACATGGATGAAGCTGGAAACCAACATTCTCAGCAAACTAACACAGGAACAGAAAACCAAACACCGCTTGTTCTCACTCATAAGTGGTAGTTGAACAATGAGAACACATGAACATGGGAAGGGGAACATCACACACCGGGGCCTGTCAGGGGGTGGGTGGCTAGGGGAGGGATAGCATTAGGAGAAATATCTAATGTAGATGACGGGTTGATGGGTACAGCAAACCACCATGGCACGTGTATACCTATGTAACAAACCACATTCTGCACATGTATACTAGAACTTTAAGAAAAAATAAAATAAAATAAACAATGACTTTGACAAAAAAAAAAAGAAAAGGAGAAAGCAAAGGGGATATGTGGGATGCAATTTTGGCTGTGCTGACAACATTCTGTGTTGTTTGTTTTAAAGGTCAGAAGCAAATGTGAAAACATCTCGATGTTTGTTAAATCTGAGTGATGAGTACATTTGGTCATATATTTTACTTCTCTTTATTTTTGAAATACTAAGTAACTAAGACACTTCTTTAAATAAAAAATAAATGCTTCTAAAAAAAAGAAAGAGAGAATACTCTCCTCTGAATTTAAAGTTGGGGGTTAAGGGCAGAAGATGTGGTAGAATTGAACAATCATATTCATCTTGGATCTAATTATATTCAACTACTTTCCAAGTATATCCTTAATCTCTTTCTCTATGTGGCAACATATGAGGCACTGGGAGATAGAAAAGAAGTGGAAGATAATATCCTATGTTTCAATGAGCTTGCTATTTTCTAAATAAATGGTTAAGAAAACTAAAGATGTCTCTCTATCCGTCTACTTAACAATACAGATATAATTTGGTCATTTGGAACCTAATTTTGGAAAGCTAAACTAATCAATTTGAAATTATTAGCTTTGTATTTTATATAAATTCTACTAGAAGTTTGCATGAGGTTTTCATTTTTTAAGTGTTGGATATAGGCTCTGCTTATTGTAGATATTATTACATGTAAGTAGTTAGATATATATTGCCTGTAACATCAGTGCTGAACTATTGAAATCATGCCAAAATTCACAATAATTAACATTATGAACCTTATATCCTTTAAACAAACATCATATTAGATTGATTAGATTGCATGAGACTTATTTAATTTAAACAACAGATTTTTTGTTATGTAATATATTTCATATATATGGTAGACCAGCAAAGAAACATTTTCCTTTAAACTCCTACCTACTAGATGCACTGAAATATTGTTTTTATCACAAAAGATGTTTTCCAAGTTTTTAAGAAATAAAAGCTTATTGAGTCTTTGGAAAAAATAAATATTGCCTAGAAAAAAAATAGCTCTATAGTGGCAATTACATGAAAAGGAAACTTCTTTTTTATAAAGTCCCTGTCCTTTTGATTCTTAGACAAATGACAACACCTGCAGATAATTTTTCAGAACTGTAAATGTTAGGGCAATAAGAAGAAACTACATATACTTCTCACCTTTTTGGCAATAAAACAAATAACAGATGTGTGTCTAGAGATACATACTAAAGATGCTTGCATATTTTTTAATGCCATGCTTGCCATACATTCAACATGAAACTGGCCAGTGGTTTCCCCGAACAAAGAGAATGAAGACAGCATAATTTCTACATATAGCCAGGTTATAATATTTTATGACTTAGTTTGGGCAATATCAGATAATACGCTAACCAAATATAGAGCTATGACACCTGGATCATCTAACCTGAAATCTTCCCCATTGGCCTATTTCTTTAGGTTGTAATGATACAAAGCAGGATCACTGTTTTTAGAAGGTCCTTATTACATTAATTGTATGCTGTCAGGACACAGAACTAAAGCAATAAATTACCCTGACAGAAAATTCAAACAAAAATAACAAATTTATTGAAAAAGGAGTGACATAAAATACATTCTACACTTGATCTTAGCCAAAAGGCATAAAAATAAAAAAAAAAATAAATACATTCTAACTTATTTTCCTATCTTAATGTTACTTTTTTTTTTTTTTTTTTTTTTTGAGAGAGAGTCTTGCTCTGTCGCCAGGCTGGAGCGCAGTGACATGATCTCAGCTCACTGCAACCTCTGCAAGCAATTCTCCTACCTCAGCCTCCCAAGTAGTTGGGACTACAGGCACGTGCCACCATGCCCAGCTAATTGTTGTATTTTTAGTAGAGACGGGGTTTCACCATGTTGGCCAGGAGGGTCTCGATCTCTTGACTTCATGATCCGACCGCCTCGGCCTCCTAAAGTGCTGGGATTACAGGCAGGAGCCATTGCGCCCAGTCTTAATGTCACTTTAAGATACCTATATGTATAGACAATACACAAAATTCGATTGTATTTTTATATACTACAAACAAACAGTTGAAAACTACAAGTTAAAAATAATATTTTCAGTCTTCAAAACCCATATACTATTTAGGAATGCATTTATTGAAAATATTGGAAACTTCTAGTCTGACAACTAGAAAAAATTGTTGAGGGGAAGTGAAATATCTAAATGAATAAACGTGTATTTCATGTTCATGGATTGTAACAAGTGGGAGAAAGAGGCTGTAAATAGTAATATGGTAGATTTAAGCCCAATCATATTGATAATCACACTAAATGCCAATGGTCTGAATAAACCAATTATATATTAAGATTTTTATGTTGAATAAAATGCAAAACACTATGTTTTAGCATGTATTGCTCTATAACAAATTACCCTCAAACTTAACATGTTAAAACAAGAATTGTAATATTATATCTCACATATTTTCTCAGGTGAGAAATCTGGGAGCAGCTGTACTGGGAGGTTCTGGCTCAACAGACTCTTGTGAGGTTGCAATTGAGTTCTTGACCAGTACTGTCATCACTGAAAGGCTTGACAGGGGCTGGAAGATTCACTTGTTGGCAAGATGCCTCAAGTCCTCACTATATGAATTTTTCCACAGTGCTGCCTGAATGTCCTTGTGATAAAGCAAGTAGCTTCCCCAGAATGAGCTATATAAGAGCAAGCAAGAAGGAAGCTTCAGTGCCTTTTATGACCTAGTTTCTAAAGTCTCACATCACCGTGTCTACTCTATTCAATTTCTTAAAAATGAGTAATTATGTACAGATTATACTACAGAAGAAGAGCTTTAGACTCCAACTTTTGAAAGGAGGAATATAAAATAATTTATGATCATGTTTTAAAACCACTGCACTCACATATGTGCTATCTTCAATAAACTAAATACAAAGCCACAGATAGGTTAAAATAAAATATAAAACAAGTACTATGCTACCACTAATTTAAAAAATCTAGGGTGGCTATATTAATGATAGACAAAGCAAGAAACATTACTAAAGATGAAGAAAGTTATTCCATAGTAGTAAAGCCATCAATTTGTCTAGGGGCCATAATGATTTCATTAGGGGAGCTATTATAACCTTAATAAACCTAATAAAAGACCTTCTAAATACCTGAAACAAACAATGAAAAAAGCTAATAGAGAAATAGACAAATCTACAATTATAGTTAGCAATTTCAATATGTCCTCTCTCAGTAAATTATAGGATAACTAACAGAAAGTCACTGGAAAAAACAGTGTGACAAACTGACCTTATTGACATTTATAGAAAACTACACCCAATATCGTTTTTTGCAAGCACACATGGACTATATAACAAGACACACAAAGTTTTAGTACAAAAACAAAACAAAAAAGCCCACTATTACTCAATAGATTTAAAAGAAATAACATGCGTATGGATTTGGAAAGGAATACATAAAACTGTCTTTAATTATACATAGCATAATCATAAATGTAAAGACTTCTGTGGAATCTTCCCCAGAAAAACAAAAAAAAAGAAGCCGTAAGAACTAATAACTGAGTTAACAAGGCTACAGGACACTAGATCAATATGTAAAATAAGAACAATTCAATTTCATATAATGGCATTAAACAATCAGAAAGCTAAATTATAAATACAATATTTAAAATGACATCAAAACTATGAAATAGAGAAATTTAATAATAGGCATGAAAGACCTACACATTGAAAACCACAAAACATTCATAAAAGAGATTTCAAAACTAAATAAATGGAGGATATATGTGTTTACATAATCTGTAAGAATTGAAATTTGAGTCAATGTAATAAGTGGCTTCAAGCCCATGGGGTGATTAGATTTTTACTACAAAATGGTAAAAGGAAACTTTCTGGGATGATGGAGACATCTGGGCTGATGGATACAGAAGTGTACATATCTGTCAAACTTTTGCATACTAAAAATGTACAATTTTTCTATGTAAATTATACCTCAGTAAAGTTGATGTTTTGAGATATAATTCATATACTCTAATCTTTATCCTTTTAAATACAATTCAAATTTGGTTTTTTAATATATTCAGCAAGGTTGTGCAACCATCACCATTATCTAATTTTAGAATATTTTCATCAGCCCAAGAAGAAATTGCAACCCAGTAGCAGTCACTGTCATTCTCTTCTGCCTGCATCCCCTAGTAACCAGTAATAAACTTATCTCCAGGGAATTTCCTATTCTTGGCATTTCATAAACATGAACACATACTTGGCTTTTTTGCACCTCACTGCTGTCACTTCGTATGATATTCTTAATCTTCTTGCATGTTTTAGCAGGTATCAGTATTTTATTACTTTCCTAGCAAAACAGTATTCCATTATATGAGCATACCACAATTTTGTTCATCCATTCTTCACTTGATTGACCCTTTTAGCTCTTACCAACAGTGCTATAAAAATTTGGGTACAAGTTTTGTTGTGAACATATGTTTTCACTTCTTATGGGTATACAACTAGAATTGGTATTAGAGAGTCATATGGTATTTTTTATTTATTTTATTTTATTTTTTTTAAGAGTTGGGGTTTAGCTCTGTCAGGCAGTCTGGAGTTCAGTGATACAATCATGGCTCACTACAGCCTCCATCTCCTAGTCTCAAGTGATCTTCCCACTTCAGCTTCCTGAGTTGCTGGAAATACAGAAATGAGCCCCTGTGCCTGACTCTGTATTTTTAACTTTTTGAGAAACTGCCAAACTGATACCCAAATGATTGTACAAATCTACAGATTCATAAGCAGTGTATGAGTGTACCAATTTCCCTACATCTGTGTCAAAACATGTTATTGTCTTATTATTATTAATAGCCATCTTCATGGGCATGAAAGAGTATCTCAGAATTTTGATTTGCATTTTCCTGATGACTAATGATATTGAGCATCTGCTCAGGTGCTAATTGGTTATTTGTATATCTTCTTTGAAGGAATGACTATTCAAATCTTTTGGGACTTTTTTGTTGTTAATGTTGAGTTGTAAGAGTTATTTATATGTCCTGGCAATGACATACAACAGATATAATGATTTTCAAAGAATTATTTCCATTTCACATATTATCTTTTCACTTTCTTTATAGCTGATTTAAAGTACAAAAGATATTAATTTTATGAAGCCCACTTTATTTTTTATTTGGTTGTTTCCACTTTAGGTGCCTGAGAAACCCCTGCCTAATCCAAGTTCACAAAAATGTTTACCTATATTTTCTTATAAAAGATTTATAATGTTAGCTTTTTCATTTCCAGCTTTATTCTTTTGTGTGTATCTAGTTTTTCCAGTACTCTTTATTGAAAGCATTGTTTTTTCCATATGGAAGATCTTGCCAAAAATCAATTGGCTATAAATGTATGGCTTTACTTCCAGACTTTCAATTCTATTCCATTGACCTATATGTTTTTCCTTATGGCTTATCTTTATCACACACTCTCTTGATTACTGAAAATTTAGGGAAGTTTTAAAATTGGGTAATGTGACTCTTTTTTGTTCTGCTTTTTCAAAATTGTTTTTCTTAATCTCACTTCATTGCATTTTCATATGAATTTTATAATTAGCTTCTCAATTTCTGCAAACAAAAGAGAAGCCAGTTGGGATACTGATAGGGAGCTTTTGAATATGTAGATCAGTTTGGGCAGCATTTTGATCTTAGTGATATTGTCTACCAATTCATGACCATGGAATATTTTATCCATTTATTTAGATCTTATTAAAATTTTTCAATGACATTTTATATTTCAGTGTAAAAGCCTTGTACTTCTTTTGTTTCATTTATCTCTAAATATTATATTTTTGATATTATAAATGAAATTATTTAATTAATTTTATTGATGGATTATTTATTGCTTTTTTTTTTTAATTTTTTTTGAGAGTCTCACTCTTTCTCCCAGGCTGGAGTGCATTGGCAGGATCCCAGCTCACTGTAACCTCCACCTCCCTGGTTCAAGCAATTCTCTAGCCTCAGTCTCCTGAGTAGCTAGGATTACAGGTGCACACCACCATGCTTGGCTAGTTTTTGTATTTAGGAGTTTCGCCATGTTGTCCAGGCTGGTCTTGAACTCTTGACTTCAGGTGATCTGCCTGCCTCGGCTTCCCAAAGTGTTAGGATTACAGGCATGAGCCACCACACCCAGCCTATTGCTAGTATATAGAGATATAATTGATTTTTGTTTATTAGTCTGGTATCTAACAATCTTGATATTTGTGTTCATTAGCTCTAATTGCATGCGTGTTATGTATGTGTGCACCGTAAAATGTTATATATAAAAGATTTTTTCATCTGCAAAAAGAGTTTCATTTCTTCCTTTCAATCTTTATATTTTTTACCTATATTCTTGCCTAATTTCTTTTACCATAACCTCCACTACTATGTTTAATTAAAGTGGCAAGACTGGCCATTCTTATCTTTTTCCTGATCTTAAGAATAAAGCTTTAACTATTTAACTATTAAGATAGTATCTGTAGATATTTTATAGGTGCTCTTTGTCCTTAGTTCCATTCTACTATTATTTCATTGAGTAATTTTATTACAAGAAAAAGTTGAATTCTATCAAATGCTTTTTTTTGCCTGTATTGTTTTTGTCTTATAGTCTATTAATATGTTGTATTACATTGATTGATTTTTGTATTTTGAACATTTTTGAATTACTTGAATAAATTCCACTTAGTTATAGTATATAATTATTTTAAATGTCACTCAATTAAGTTTGTTAGTTCTTTAGTTGAATATTTTTATGTAGAAATTTATAAGTAATGTTAATCTGTAGTTTTTGTTTTCTTAGGATGTCCTTCTCTGTTTCTGAAATCAGGGTAACACTGGCCTCATAGAATAAGTTAGGGAATACTCCCTCATCCTCCTAATTAGGAAGAGTTTTTGAAGTATCAATATTAATTCTTATTCACACATTTGGTAGAATTCACCTGAGAAACTGTCTTAATTATTAACCATCTATCTTCTTGTTATAAATCTGTTGTACTTGTTATAAGTCTTTTCAGACTCTTTTTTCTTGGGTCAGTTTTGGTAGTATCTCTTTTTAGTGATTTGTCCATTTCCTCTGGGATATCTAATTTTGTCATACAGTTGTTCTTAGTATTCCCTTATAACCAATTTAATTTGATTAACTTAAATTTAAGTTCTGTAGTAATGCTACCTCTTGTATTCCTAATTTTAGTACTTTGAGTCTTTTCTAATTCTCTTTTTCTGTAAAGATATAACTTTGTTAACTTGTTTTCAAAGCACAAAATTATAGCTTTGTCGATTTTTTTTCCTACTTTTATTGTTGACATTTTTATGTCTGATCTGATTGGTTTTTTTTTATACTTGATTTTGGTTTACCTAGCTCTTGCTTTTTACATTTCTTTAGTTGGAAAGTTAGGCCATTCATTGGATCTTTTTTACTAGGCATTTATAGAAATACATTTTTCTTTAAATATTGTATTAGCTTCATTCTATAACTTTTGATATGTTTATGTTTATTTTATTCATATCAAAATATTTTTAAACTTTTCTTGTAATTTTTTTCTCTCATTGCTTATTTATCCATTTGTCACTGAATTTTCAAATATTTTCAATTTACCAAATTTTCTTCTGTTATTGATTTCTGATTTATTTCCATTAAGACCAGATAAGTTATTTTGTATTGCTTCAATCATTTTAAATATATTGACTTACTTTGTTGACAGCTAACCTGTATCAACAGTGATTTTTATTTCTTCATGTAGATTGAAGTTACTATTTAGCATTTTTTATGTCAACCAGAAGGACTCTCTTTAATATTTTTGATAGGCTATATGTTCTAGCAACAATTTTTTTCATTTTTTCTTCATCTGGGAATGTTTTAATTTCTCCTTTATTTTTGGAGGTTACTTTCACTGAATACAGAATTCTTCCTTGAGAATCTTTTACATTCAGCACTTCAAGTATGTTATCCCAATGACTTCTAGCTTTGATGATTTCTGATAAAAAATCAACAGTTCATGGGTTGATGGACATGATATGTTGTTTCGTTCTTTCTGCCTTTAAAACTTTTCATTTGTCTTGACTTTCAACAGTTTAATTATAATCTGGCTTTCTTTGAGATTATCTTCTTAAAATTTGTTGAGGTTGTTGGATGTACAGATCCATTTCTTTCATTAAATTGGGGAAGTTTTTGGCCATTTTTTTATCAACATTTTTGCCCCCTGTATGTCACTCTTTTACTGGGAAACTCAGTATGCATGAGTTGGTATACTTTATGGTGTTCCAAAGGTATTTTAGTAACTGTTCTTTTTTCTTCATTTTCATTTTTTTCTGTTCCTCAGATTTGAAATTTTCAATTGACTCATCTTCAAGTTTTCTGATTCATTGCTCTGCCTACTCAAATATGCTTTTGTGTCTCCTTTAGTGATATCTTATTGCAAGTATACAATTCCAGACATTCTATTTAATTTTTTCCTTTGTAATTTTCTCTCTTTATTAATATTCCCCATTTGGTGAGACATTACTCACATACTATTCTTCAGTTTTTAGTGACAATTTCCTTTAGTTACTTGAACATATTTAAAATAGGGATTTAAAATTTCTAGTAAGGCTAATGTCTGTACTTCCTCAGGGATTGTTTCTATTGGTTTCTTTTCTGAGTTTGAGCCATACTTTATTGATTTTTTTGTATGGCTCATAATTTTTTGTTGAAAACTGAACATTATAAATAACAACATATGTCAACTCAGAATATCAGAATCTCCTCCCTTCCTGGAGCTGGTTGTTGTTGTTTGATTGATTAATGAGTTTTCTGAACTAATTTTGTAAAGCCTGTATTTTTTGTTATTTGTGGCTATGGAGACTCTGCCTGGTTATCTTTCTGTTCAGCTAACGACTGGATGAAGATTTTCTATAATTGTTGGAAAGCATAAGCCTCACTGTATTTGTTGAAACTCTAGGTTCATGTTGGTCCACGCCTCCAACTTTACCTCATCAGTGAGTTAGCCTTCACTTCCTGCATGTGACAACCTCGAGATCAGTCAGAAGTGAGAGCTCAGTGCCCTCTCAGGACTTTCTTTAGCATGCACCACTTTAGGCATGTTTGCCACTCCATGCATGTATGTGGCCTTCCAGGGTCTCAGAAATATGAGAGTATTTCAAAGCCCTTACGGACATAATATTACTCAAGTTTTCATTTTAAGCTCTTTAGTAACCTGTCATTGGCTTCAAATGTTATTCAATGTCTCAGATAGTTGAACATTTTTTAAAATGCTTGTATTTGTTTTTAACAACACCCCAAGGGAAAATGCTTCTCCTGTCTCACATTCTCTTTTAGAACTTGTATCTTGTGAAAATTTGATGACTTTTGCTTATTCATCTGTTTCTCTTTATGACCTTTAACTGCCAAAGAAAGACTGAGTGAAGAGAAAATTTCTATGGGTCAGATCTGTTCTCCATAAAGCACCAGGCTTAGACCTCTTTTTGGCAACTTCACTTCTCTCCATATTCTGTACCTGCCAGTATAATTACAAGAAATTACTATGTGGTAAGAAATTATTGGTTTCTTCCAAATATTTCCCACCTACTTTATAGCAACTCCTCTTCTATCTTTTATGTCCCAATCCAGAATGCCATAATTTTATTTCTCAGAATAAATTTAAAAGTTAAAAAATTATGTAATATACCTATCCTCAATATTATTTACTCCTTATAAGATTAAGTATGGAAGAAAGCAAAACATAGCTCCAAAGAAATTAAATAGAAATTTGTTGCCAAAATGTATATGTATTCTCTCTCTGACTAGATAGCTTAAAAATCTATTTGTTTATTTATTTATATTTTTAGTTTTTCTAACTCCCTAAACTTCTTAAGAATTTATTTCAAGCCAATTATAGTAGCCAATATATTTATATTCTCTGGATTCAGTTGTCTACCATCATTAAGCAATTTCTTTTTGTTGTTGTTGTTTGAGACGGAGTCTCACTCTGCTACCAGGCTGGAGTGCAGTGGCATGATCTTGGCTCACTGCAACCTCTGCCTCCCAGGTTCAAGCGATTCTCCTGCCTCAGCCTCCCAAGTAGCTGGGACTACAGGCACGCATCACCATGCACAGCTAATTTTTGTATTTTTAGTAGAGATGGGGTTTCACCATGTTGGCCAGGATGGTCTTGATCTCTTGCCCTCATGATCCGTCCTCCTTGGCCTCCCAAAGTGCTGGGATTACAGGTGTGCACCAGTGCGCCCGGCCTATTAAACAGTTTCAATAGTAGCACAACTTTTCCATTCATTCATAATTCTAAAAATGTTATAGGTTTGGTTTTATTGCATCTTCATTTTTCAAATTATCTTTGAAATAAGACATATTAAACACTAAATTCAAAAGCAAACAGTGTTTAATATTCATTTTTTAAGCAAATATGTCTGAAATACCAACTACATATGAAATACCTAGCTAGGCACAAGAGATGCAGAAACAAACATAATAGTTTTTGAGCAAAGAGTTGTGCAATTTGAATTTTAAAATATGCATTGGGACCTCAGAAAAAGGAAAATCAAAAGAAGCTGGAGTAATCTGGAGAAACAACATGAGTGAATGAGGGTAGAAAATGAGCCAAGCATTAAAGAATGAGTAGGATTTAAGGAAGCAGAGGGAATTCAGAAAAGCAAAAATGCCCCAGAGTAAAGTCATGCAGTCAGTCAAATAAATCTCAGACCATCAAGCCTGACAGACCCAATGTTTCTTTCCAGAGTAAATGTTGAGAATGTATAACTGTTGCTTCGGGCTTGCTATAAGCTTTTGTGGACTGGTATTCTATCATTCCTCTGAAATGAATAGGGGGTTGCCCATACATAAAAAAAATTTTTTTAATCAAAAAGAAAAAAGAAATCCTTTTTGTTCCCTCAGATTTATTCTTTCTTCCTCAGGCAGCTGGGTAAGCTACTCCAGATTCTTCATAAATACTTATTACATTCCTTTCCCAGCTCCTTTAAGTAATCCGGAAAATACAAAATTAACCAGAGTGCTTCATGCAAAAAGACTGCTATCGAGTTGAAACAAATTTTTTAAGAAAAACTCAGTGCCATTTTGCCAACACAAAGCTATTTGTTTTGAAGAGAATTATGCATATTATTTATATTTGGTGATGTGAAGATGTAAAACAGATGTGTAGTATTCCAATATTTTCTCAAACCTTCCTCTTCATACCACTCACTCCCTAAAAAGTTTAGGGCAGTGCAACATGTGTAACAGCATAAAGCTACTGAGTTAGGAAGAACCAGTTACTGAATACTAAAACGTGCCTATAATTGGGCACTGTTCATTGCTTTTGAAAAAGGTTTGAAAAAAAAAAAAGAAAATTTAGGGGATATATTACTAAGGAGCATTAATATTAAACCTTTACATGGTAGAGGAGAAAGATTTATCATGAAATTGTGTTAAATTGTACTGTTGTAATATACCTGGAATTTCACAGCAAATGGGGATTTGCTTTTATGAAATTGTTTATAAATAATGTCAGTTGATATTAATTATAATAAATATTAACAAATTGTTTCTGAATCTAAAAAAGGCATTATTGCATCAACATGCCTACGACCTATGTCTTTATGGTAGGTGATTTTTAGAGTATTCTAATGTACCAATGTGAGAATGTTTGTCTCTTGATGATTCATACATTTGAAAATATATAAAGTACTGGCTACCAGTTTATCAATGTAAACAGTACATGTACTTTTGAAATTGTGGTTGACTTGAGGGAGACCATCGATAGTTGACATGTAAATATTGCTGTTCTAGCATGACCTTTTTCAGTTGATACTGAAATGGGAAAGGCTCCCTTGTCCCCCTTGCAGGGCGTGCGATGGGGATGTGGCTCGCTTCTTCAGTGCCCCGCTGCTCAATCCTCTAGTGGAGCACACAGACGGGCAGGTTGTGGGGCTCCGAACCCATGGCAGTCTCTAGGGGTGAATGTTTACAGCTCCTGAAGCCCCAGTGTGCGTGTGATACAGGGTGCTCTCTTAGTTTGCTGCCTATAGGTGGCTCGTGTTAACCAGCTCAGTTAGACCCTCTACCTTGTCGCAAGGACAAAGGGCTTTCTGTATCCCGGGTTCTTGCCTTGTACTGGAAGAGTTGGATCACATGTGGGCTTGGGGAATGAGTGCAAAGTTTTATTGAGTGGAAGTAACTCTCCCTGGATGTGGTAGCCAGAAGGGAGATGGTTTCCCCCTGGAGTTGGGCCACTTGGAGATCCAGGCTCTTCTCTGACTGCCCCGGGCCAAACTGCACCTCTTCCCACCGGTGGATGGCCTGCCGGCATGCTGGCGTCTGTTGGCCTGCTCTTCCCCTGGTGTGCACTTATGACCAGCGGCTTGTGTTTTCTTCCGCTGATGTGTTCCTCAAGACATCCAGCCACTTGTGTGTGTGTGCCTGCTAGGGTCTTGGGTTTTTATAGGCACAGGATGGGCGCATGATGGGCCAGGGTAGTCTTGGGAAATGTGACATTTGGGCGTGAAGGCAGGAGTGCCGGTCTTCAGCTAGGTCCGTGTCCGTGGGGGTAGAGCCCTAGCCAGCGACCTCGCCCTCTCTACCCAGCACTTCGTTCCCCGCTTCCGTATCATTTATTTAAAGGGACCACACTCTTCCATTCCCAGCACTTCCATATCAATACTGGCATAAATAAGATTTCAAAGGAATTTCAATGCCTTTTTGCATTCTTTTATAGGAATAAGAAATTTTCAAACAAGAGAAATTCATTCTTCAGGTTAAATCTGCTAAAAGTTTCAAATATTTTGTTATCACTGGGTATAAATCTAATGATAATTTTAGTTTATGTAAAAGAATTACTAGATTTTTATAAATATAGCTAGTTTTTTAAAGTAAAACCAAAGATTTGACTACTTCATTTCATATATCAGTAAGTAAAAAAAGTTTTCCACAGAGCAATATGCTTTACTGCAGTCTTTCATATACATATTAGTATATGTAACTTTACAAACAATGTAATATTAGAAAGTTATTAGATTTATATTGGAATGAACTGAATGTATTTAAATATTTATTATTTATATAATACCTAAATCCATTTATTATAATTTTTATATTTAGAATTTCTGTTTTTCAAATGCTGTTTTAGATTTCATTTATTTTTTCTTTGGGCAATTGTATGCATAAAGAGGCATTTTTTTCTTACAATTTTTTAGTATAATAGTATTCCATCCAACTAAAATACCATAAAAAGATTTCACGCACACTGGTTAATGGATGAAAAAAGAGTGTGTATACAGTTAGCAAAGAACAGCAATGAGTGAAGAAGAACAGCAGGAGTAATAGAAAGAAGTGGCCACAGCAGGAAGTTCTTCTTTCTTCACTGACATTGCTTTTGCTCTTTCTCCTTCACACCAGTTGTCATTTGTTTACTTTGTTTTCCTCTTCCAACCCCAACCTTTTTACGTCTTCTTTTTTCCCATTTTGAATTTCTCCCTTAATTTCCACATTCCCAAATATTTTCAGTGATTTAAAGTTACATCCAAGTTAATTTATAGAGCATATTTCAATTTATCTCTTGAAATGTAGCCAATTGTTGAAACAAAAATATTTCCAATTTTTGTTGTGAATGTATTCTGAAAGGCCTATCTTCTATCAGAAATTTGTTGGGCCTGCTGCCTGTTTATGTGAATAGAGTTTTATTGAAACACAGCCATACCCATTTGTTTATTTATTATGTATGGCAGTTTTTAGCTACAATGGCAGAGTTGAGTACTTGCAACAGAGACCATATGGCTCACAAAACCTAAAATATTTACTGTCTGGTCTTTTACAGAAGTAGTTTGCCAGCCCTTGATCTACAACTGCTAAGATTCTAAGGTGTAGAATATCCACACTGATTTCCTTTTTTATATGTCCGCCGTGTGCTCTACATTTTTGTTTTCAAGTTACTTAGCAGTTCTCTGCATTTCGCATTCACAGGCTAAAACTTTATCACCTATTTCATAGGAAAAATAAATGAGGCCATGCTGAACCTACTATCTTAATATTTGCTCCTACCATACCTACAATAAAATCTAGGTCTATATTCATCTTCATCTCTTCTTTCTTTCTTCCTGTTTTCTACTTTCTCCTGCTGACTAAGGATAATACTGTACTCTCATTTACCTGCATTTTCAAACTTTTCATTGCATTTACATCTTTCCTTAGAAAACAAATCAGTTCACGTTTAAAAATTTCAAGAGTCTTGGCCGGGTGCAGTGGCTCATACCTGTAATCCCAGCACTTTGGGAGGCCAAGGCGGGTGGAGACCAGCCTGGCCAATGTGGGGAAATCCCGTCTCTACTAAAAATACAAAAATTAGCTGGGTGGGTGGTGCCTGCCTATAATCCCAGCTACTTGGGAGCCTGAGGCAGAAGAATCACTTGAACCCAGGAGGCGAAGGTTGAAGTGAGCCAAGATCGCGCCACTGCACTCCAGCTTGGGCAAGAGAGCAAGACTCGGTCTCAAAAAAACAAAACAAAACAAAAAATTCAAAAGCCTTTTTTAGTCAAGATAGAAAGCCCACAAATTCTAAAGATTAAGTTTAAAAGTTCTCAAAATCTCCTTCTAGCCTTTGGCTGCTTTTTTTTTTTTTTTTGCATCCTTTATAACAATTTACTAAGAATATGGTCAGGTTCTCTATCTTGTTTCTTAGTCTCACATTTCTCTGGAATCTCCAGCGTCTTAACTTTTTATCTGGAACATTTCAGGTTGTCAGTAAACGTTTAGTGAAATAATGATTTAATTAACAATTTGATTAAATAATTCAGCAAGTTAATATTTATCTTCTCAGAAATCTGTTAGGCAGACAAGTAGTTGATTTATTGTGTCTATAGGTCACCTCTAGTCTCTGTATGTCATTCTCAAAAGAAAAATACATACCAAAAGTATAATGTAACAAACAACTCAGTCCAATAAAAAGCAATACCCTCAAATACTGTTTTGTTATTCTAGGAAAAATTATTCAGTCTATCAGATTACCTTCTCTTTCCTCAGCCTCCAGTAGGGAAACTTCATGGAGAAAATCAAGGGACTTGAAATCTCAAAGCATAAAGTTAAGATTTTTGTCATGATATCATGAGTTCCTTTTTTCATAGCAAAAATTTCATTTCTGCTGAATATCGTGCTCTGCTGAATATAATGCTCAAAATTCTAGTTGATCAGGTTTGACATCTTTCCTTCTTGCCCTCTGGCTCCTCTCTTTATCTTTGTCTCTTTGTCCCTCTGTCTCTGTTTCTCTCTCCCTCCCTTCCTGGCTGTCTCTCTCTCTTTTCTTTCCTCACAAAATTTCACACCTGTAAAATGAAAAGATTTATACTGCTACTCTTGCTTTCTACTTTTACTGTGCACTATTGTATTATAGACCAATGGCAGAATTTTCACTACAAAGTTTGAGACAGGTTTTCTAGAACTGGTCCTTTGTATTTAAGGAGGAAAAGGGCAGGAATGAAAACAACACGGGGACTCCTCTGTTGGGAGACAGTTATTTATGGCTCTGTTATGCATATAAATACATAAAAAGAGAGTGTGAAAAATTTGATCACTCATACCATGCTAGTGAGAATATGAAACAGTACACTCACTCTTAAATTGGTCTGGCAGCTTAGTAGAAATTACACACTTCGCTTATGACCCAGCAATCACATTCTTGGACATTTATTCTAGAAAAGAAAAACTTATGTTAACAAAAATGTTGTAGATAAATATTCACAGTGGTATTATTTGTAATAATCAAACACCGGAAATAGCCCAAATGTTTTTCAATGGGTAAATAGTTAAATAAACTTATTTTGTATGATAGAATACTACTCAACAAGCAAAAGGAACAAAGTATTAAACACACAACCCATTGCATAGATCTTAAGGGCATTATGCTGAGTGCAACAAGTCTTTATCAAAAATATTACATACTATATAATTCAATTTATATAGCATTCTCGAAAATGACAAAATTAAAGCTATAGAGAGTGAATAAGTGACTCCAGAGATTAGGGAGAGGAAGATGTGATAAGGGGCAGTATGATAGAGTTACTCTGAAGTGATGTTATAGTATCTTATCTTGATTATGGTGGTGATTATATTGATATCTCAATGTGATATTGTATCATAGAATTATTCCTAAAATGTATGAAAAAATATTGTATACACAAATTTGTAACTTGTAAAGGTTACCCATAGTCTAATGAATAGTAGTGGGTCAATCAATTTTCTGAATTTGGTAGTGCACTATAATGCTGTAACATACCACCATTGTGTAACCGGAATGGTGGCTACACAGGACATTTCTATCAGATTTTTGTAACTTCTCATGAGTTTATAATGATTTCAAATTAAAAGGTTAAACTATTAAATAGAAAATGAAAGCAGGATTTAAATATAACAATTAAAGACATACATTGTCAGAATGGGAAAAGTATCAGCTGTTTATAAGAAATTCAAATATTATAATATTATGGGTAAGTTAAAAGTATAGGGATGTATACCATGCAAAATGAATCAGAAGAAATGTGGAGTGGCTATATATACTAATACAACAAAAAAAATTACTTCAGGAATTAAGAGGTAATAAAGAGTGACATTACATATTGATAAAATGTAACTATTTTTAGTTACATTTTATCAATAGTCCTAACTATTAAAACAATGTTAGAAATGAGATAAAAAGTATAAGCATAATTTGGAGATATTGTGGATTTCATTCCAGACCACCACAATAAATTAAATGTCACAATAAAGCAACTCACACAAATTTTTGTTTCCTAGTGCACATAAAATTTGTGTTTATACTATAACATAATCTATTATGTATGTAATAGTATGTCTAAAAATGCAATGTACATATCTTAATTTAAAAAGACTTTATTGCTTGCCAGGTGCGGTGGCTCACACCTGTAATCCCAGCACTTTGGGAGACCAAGGCGGGCGAATCACAAGGTCAGGAGATCGAGACCATCCTGGCCAACGTGGTGAAACCCCGTGTCTACTAAAAAAATACAAAAATTAGCTGAGTGTGGTGGCACATGCCAGTAATCCCAGCTACTCGGGAGGCTGAGGCAGGAGAATCACTTGAACCAGGCAGTCGGAGGTTTCAGTGAGCCGAGATCGTGCCACTGCACTTTAGCCTGGCAAAAGAGCGAGACTTCATCTCAAAAAGAAAAAGAAAAAAAAGAAAGGTTTATTGCCAAGAAATGCTAACGATCATCTTCCGTTTTCTAGAAAAACCTGTCCATTGTCATATGTCAGAAGATAAGAGCTATGAAACAAGGGTTGATGTGCCCCAATCAACCCAACTGAGATCATCTTAAATAAGCTGATAATCTACCAAGCCCCAATATGTGAGTAAGCCCTGTCAAAACTGGCAGAACCAATCATGAGACACTACAAAGGACAAGCTACTGCACAGAAGCAAGAGTAATAATAGCCCAACCAAGTATAGATCAGCAAAAGTCATTGGACGTGCCAGACATAAGCATTTCTTGTATGCTTCTGAGTTGTGGATTGTATGTTAGGCCATACTACTGTGTCAATATGTAACTGATTTACACAGCTTATGACTAACAAAAGGAAATGTCCTTTAGTCACTTCCACAGAGTAGCTAGATCTGAGCCTTCAATGAGTTGTAATCCCTTTGCTGGCAGAAGATCTTGCCTCAGTGTTGATGGCTGCTGCTGACTTCTTTTCATAGGGCATTAATCCACTCATGAGAGTGGAACCCTTGTAATCCAAACACCACCTATTAGGTCACATCTCCCAACACTATTGCATTGGGAGTTCAGTTTCTAACACACAAATTTGGGGGGACTCATTCAGACCATACTAATGATCAAGTATAGACCTGGCACCACGGAAGACCTACTCTTACATAGGCAGGGTTCTGCAGGATGTGCATGATGAACTCACTGTGGTTCAGGTACACATTTAATCACACAGGTTTAAAGAATCATTGTCTCAAAGATTATTGGATTTGGAATGCTCACTTGATAACAGAGTGCACAAGAAACTGATGAGTAGCATAAGCAACGTGTATAGTTATTCAATCAGAAAACAATGGCCAGACAGACCAGGCATTAACAATGACTGACTGCTATACTCTTTATGAAAGGAAAGTTCATGAGAACTCAAATTCTCATAGGATGGGTTTAAAGATGATAGTGGGAGCATAATTCCAGAAAAATCACCCCAGGTCCAGATTTTTGTTAGGCTTTATATACAGATAAATGAAGATCATTTGCAGTCATTAGACTCCTTGCTAAATTAATACAGTCCTGAGAGTTGAAACACAAAAGTTTTTGTCTGGTAAGATGAACTTGTATTTTGTTTAACCGGAATTTGAAACAAGTTAGGATATATCTGAAATCCATTCTGTGGTAGAAATCAAATATAGCTCTGATTTTCATCTCTGCCTGGATTCATGGTGTAATATAGTTTTTGTTTTGTTTTGTTTTGAAATAAAATCTTGCCCTGGTTTTGAGGCCCTGACTCAAGTCCACACCCCTATCATTTTTGTTATCTGATTCTCATACTCTTGGACCACTAGGAACCAGCCCTAGTCACCCCTGGGACAGGTATCAGACAACTGGAGACATTCCTGGAAACTCAGAGCCCTAAAAATTATTTAAATTAGTCAATCCTCAAGAAGTCCATGAAAGCTGGCTAACCCCAGGCACTCTGGTTGCTCTGCAGAAGCTGCCTCTCACAGCTTCAGCTTGTTGCTCCCTGTCCTGAGTGTAACTCCCTGTACAGCCCTATCTAGAGCTATAAGTAACAAAGAGTTCTACCTTTTGTTGATTGGAGGGTCACTGTGTTGTGCTCTGACAAGAAAAGAATCTTTAATCTTATTCCAAATGTGACCAATTCTTCTAAGCCTTTCGTGTCTTCCCATCTGACTCTATGTTTAGACATGTGATTTTCTTTGGCCCATGGGATGTTAGTAAATGTGACACATGCAGAAACATGAAAAATGCTTGAACAGAGAGACTGGCTCTTCTTGCTCCTCCCTTTTCTAGGAAAACCTGCCCATTGTCATATGTTAGAAGATAGGAACTATGAAACAAGGACTCGTGTGCCCCAATCAACCCAACTGAGACCATCTTAGATAAGCTGATAATCTACCAAGCCCCAATATGTGACCAAGCCCTGTCAAAATTAGCAGAACAAATCTTCAGACACTACAAAGAACAAACTACTGCACAGAAGCAAGAGTAATAATACCTCAGTCAAGTATAGATCAGCGAAAGTCATTCATTGGACATGCCAGACATAAGCATTTCTTGTATGCTTCTGAGTTGTGGATTGTATGTTAGGCCATACTACTGTGTCAATAAGTGACTGACTTACACAGCTTATGATCAACAAAATGTCCTTTAGTCACTTCCTCAGAGTAGCTAGATTTCGCAAAAACTAGAACTTTCTGCCCACCCATAGCTGCTGCACTCCTGTAACACATTAACGGAATGGCTTGTCTTACCTAACCAGAGCGCTTTCAGGAGGCAGCTAAAAGATACTACAAATTTCCTTAAATATGAACTGATTACTACTGGGTTGTTAAAATTTTATTTGTTTTATTTTGTCATCATTTTCATTTTCTTGTTCTCAAATAGAAAAGAGAGAAGAAAATAAAATAACAGCCACATCCCCATAAAATTTGAAGAAATGATGGAGAAAAAAAAACTTCATACTTTGAAATAATGAAATAAAATATATGTTTTCTTAAACCCAGCATAATTCACTCAGTTGTGTTATTTACCTGATTCTTAGAGGCATCTGGAGTTTTCTTTACTATATTGCTGAGAATTCTAATGGTATGCCCATCCTGTGAAGTCTCTTCTAATATCATGTACATGTGCATGACAGGTGAAATAGAAAGGTATTTACCTAGACCTTTCCTCTTCTTCTCTTAGAGTCAAATGATAATGTATGTGTGACACAAGTTATAAAAATTAGTATGCACTAAACATCTACCAAGGGGAAAGACATAGAGGAGAAACAGAATTTTCTACTATTAGGAAGAAATAGCCTAAGTAGTCTATTCATCTTAATAAAGCTCTCATTGAAGTCTGCTCTGTTACCCCTTTACTCTTCTAAATCCTCTTTCCACCCTTCTCCATGTTTATCTCTCCAACCAAAGGCCATTCTTTCCTGACTACATTAATATATACAGTGCATTTAGGTATTCAGCCAATAGGGTAACCCTGGCAGGAGATTATGGAGAGGACAGTGAAGGCAGGGTATCTATCCACTTACACCTTCTCTACAAGAGTTCGTTGGCTTGCCAAAGTTTGCTTTTTCTTTCCACAATGGAAGACCCTCATCTACTTTCCTAGTCCCAGGATCTGGTATCAGTCCCTTCTGGTATAAAGTGGTAAACACCTGGCCACTGCACTATCTCCTGTTTCTCCTTACCCCATATCTTTACAAATTCTTGTAAGGAAAGCCTCCTGAAATTATAATTATCCTGTATTGATTTTGCCATATGTTTCCTGTGGCATCACTAACTGGTACACTGTTTAGCCACAATCATCAAAACTTTACTTATTTATTAAACAATTAACTTTCTGTAGAAGGTCTGAATGCAAGTCTATGTTTGTGGGTAGACAGAACTTGCCTCACTATTGGAAGGATAGTAAAAAAGATAAAATAGAAAAAAAAAAAAACAGTATGCAGGTAACTATTCCATGACCTGAAGTAGAGAAAAACAAACTTTATGGCATAATGTGCCATGGTATTAGAGTTGTAGTTGTTAAAATGCCACTATGAACTATGTTCTGACTGTATAATCTTGTTGGTTGGTGACTTAAACCTCAATTTCCCCCTTTGAAACATAAGCATCTGACTACCTGCTGTACTCACCTTCAGCAGGATTCTTGAGGGAATCAAGTAAGATAGCAAGTAAAGATACATAGACCTAGAAAATTTCAAAACCAATGTTTATTAAATATTTTGAAATATTTTATGTCTTTTTGGTCTAATTAGACTAAAATGAATAAGATTTGGAAAAATCATAATTGAATCACTTATATCTAGTTTTTTTTGCTTATTGAAAATTAGAATGAAACTTCACATGTGTTTGCATATCTCCATTAAAGGAGAAATCCAATAAACGAGGTAGCCTTCTAAGATTAATTTCACTGAAAACATCTAATTTCTGCAACATAGTATTTTGACAAATCCAGGTAATTTCCATGAGTAAATATATTATAGGAATCATGTAGATACTATTTAGGGCAGCTCAGTGAATGTCCCATACACATCTAGAAGGCAATTTCACCATCTATCTGTCTATCTATCTATCTATCTATCTATCTATCTATCTATCTGTTTATCTATCATCTATCTATCTATCTAGGTTAATTAAGTAAGCATAACACATATCATAGAACATCATGTGTGGTCTATTTGTCTTTATCCACTGACTATGAAACTTAGTAAGCAAGTCTTCCGCTACTGTTCTCCTTGCGCTGTGTGGTGGCTGAGTCAGTGATTCTTATCATGTCTGAAGAAATACCACCCATCAGGGGTCACATTTACATGCTCTATTGAAAAAGAACTTCAGCTGAAAGTGTTCTAATAGTTCAGATCCTGCTGTGAAACATATGTGAAGAGACATTAACCACCTACATGTGTTAGGAATGTAAGAAACATGGAAACACTGTGCGATTTTACAAACTGGAAAAATAATTGAAAGTTAATGAGGAGGTTCTCTGGGCTGAAAATGACCTCTTGTTGCGGTGTCACTGAGTTCCCACTTTGTATCTAGTAGCTGGAAAAAAACAGATGAATAAGAGCATAAAGAGCAGTCTAAATCCCATTGAGTCCATTTTTCGCTCAGCATTGATTACCTTCTAGGTGTTCTTTTGTGATTTGGGCATTCAAAACAGTTTTTTTGCTTGGCTGATTTGAATGTTTTAAGTTTATAAAAAGCTAAAAGAGAGAAACTTTCTTCTAGTGTCTCCACTCAGTATTCTGAGCATAGAATCTGTGAGCTTATAACTAATCCTAACTGAATCTTAGTGACACAATTTCAAAGAAATCCCTAAATTCTAAATTTGTTGAATTTGAACCAGTGAGCCCATTATTGTAAACTTCAGAAACAATCTGTCTTTTTATCTTTTTAGATAGTATTTTTCTACTAAGAAATCAGAGAATTTTAGCACTGTATTTCTTTTTCTCTTTTTTTTTTCTTTCTTTCTTTTTTTTTAGATGCAGTCTCATTCTGTCGCCCAGGCTGGAGTGCAGTGGCATAATCTTGGCTCACTGCAACCTCCGCCTCCCAGGTTCAAGCAATTCTCTGCCCCAGCCTTCTGAGTAGCTGGGATTACTGGTGCCTGCCACCACGCCCAGCTAATTTTTTGTACTTTTAGTAGAGACGGGGTTTCACCATCTTGACCAGGCTGGTCTTGAACTCTTGACCTCATGATCCACCCGTCTCGGCCTCCCAAAGTGCTGGGATTACAGGCGTGAGCCACTGTGCCCGGCCAGCGCTGTATTTCTTTAGAGCAAAGTCTGTCTTCAGTTCTTTCTACTCATGCTGTCAGGTCATCAAGGTCTTGTAGACTGTTCCCTGGCAGGCCAGGTTTTTCACTCCTCATAGCCATCCCCCATACTGAATTTTCTCATAACCACCCTTGTTCTGTCATCTTCCCAAAAATGTTTTTGTAAAATCTGTTTACCTAATTTTGTTTTCTCTTTTCTCACTGGGATAAGATTCCTCATTCTAGCTAAACCATAATTTGCCATGGTAATATAATTGTTAATGGGAGAATCTCAAGTCCATTTCTATTCTACTAGTGTACTTTAAAACAATCCCACTTATTTTTGTTATTATCTTTTAGTGCTCTCTGATCTTTTTGGATTTTGCTACTTGTCACGTTAGAGAGATAGTGTATTTTGTCTTTAATGGACTAATATGCTGCCTCTATCTCCAATTTTCAAGAATTGGTAAATTGTAACTACTGGAAAAAGTCATCAAAGTTACACATTATTTCAAGTTAGTAAACTAAAGTGATAGTGTGAATGTGGGCCATAAGAAAGCCCCAGGCACTGTAAATGGGAATGTAAGATTGTACAGCCATTTTGGAAATCATTCTGGCTATTTCTTAATAATGCTAAATGTATACACACTATATTACCCACCCATTCAACTTTTAGGTATTTACTGAATATTAATGAAAGCATATGGTAATATAAGATTGTTCATGAATGCTTATAGTCACTCTACTTAAATTCAGCAAAATCTGGAAACACCCAATCATTATCAAAAAGGTTCATGGATGCACAAATCATGGTATATCCATACTATACAATGCTACTAAGCAGTAACAAGAATGAACATCTGATACAACATGGATGAATCTGAATATAACATTGCTGAGTAAAAGAAATCAGAGAAAAATGATATGCATGTTATGATTTCATGTATTAAGTTACTAGAAAGTAAAAAATTAATATATTATGACAGAAAACAGATCGACAGTTTCCTGGAATTGGGTGTGAATGAATTGAAGAGGATGATTATAAATGGTCCCAAGAAAACTTTGGGGTGATGTTTACATTCATTATCTTAATAGTAGTGATATCTTCACTGTTACATACTAATTCAAAATTGAAAATTTGTATCATTTACACTTGTGCAGTTTGTTAAATATCAATTAGACTTCAATAAATCCACTATAAAACACAGTATAAGAAAAATAGAATAAAGTGGGCTTTGTACTTAAAATATTGTTGAAAGACAGTGTTTATTTTTATAGAACATGATGAATCCTTTTGTGGGGAGATTCTGAATATCAAAGAAAAATGGAGGAAACAAATATTTCACATAGAATGTAAGTTAACATTTATAGAACAATATAAATTGAAGAAATATTTCTGTATTTTTATAATATAAATCCAAATTTAAAGATTATGACAGATTGATGAGTCTTGTGGTAATTGAAGGTCTGATTTGATTAATTTTCCATTTTTTTCATGACATCAATCAGAGATTATTTGAAGAAAAATGTGTGACCACATGTAAATTGCAACATTGAATTGAGTAGAAAATTTTGTTGATGAGACTTTATGGAGGTTATATTGAAAGATTCATCACATACTTTGAATTTTACAGTTTATTTCTAGTCAGAAGGCAAATAATTTAGAAATTCCGTCAGTGTTATAATGTGTATTAACTCTCTTTTTGTATGCTTGGTAGAATGACAATTTTTCAAAGAATTTAAAATGCAACTGATGCCAAAACATACAAAAGTTTATATATTTTGTCAAAAGTCAATAGACTTACAGTCTTATATATTAGTATTCATTGCTTGCTTTAATTAAGGAATTTCCCCAAGTTGTGGAACCACTGGAAACTTGTGCTGCAGAAGTGAGAGATTTTGAGAAATAACACTTAAATCAGAATTTATTTGCACTTCTAAAAGTCTATATTTGCTCCAAATTTTACAAATTCTTTTCAACATGGTACGCACACAAAAATTTTTTTTTCATTTTTGACCTTCTAATAAATATGTACCTATTATTTGGGCTACACCATCAATACGTAAAAACCACTTAAAGAACATGTTAAGAATTTTCTCTAATCTTTTCAAAGTTAAAAAACATTTCCTTTAAAGATGAATAACTCCATTATATGTTTTTTCTGTCTGTCATACACATGCACACATATACATTCTTAAAACTAACTGATGCTAGCATTGTACTTGGAAGTGAATTTTGGCAATGTTGTAATATATAATGGGAATTAAATTATTATTTTATAAAAATATTTATCTTTATAAAAGTATTATTCAAACATGGGTACTTTATTTGCATTTTATTAATTTGAAATTATACTTTATGCTTCCTGATCACTTACTGAAGTCTCAGGAAGAGACCTTTCCTACTCCCACTATGCCTAACTCCTCTGTTCAATAACAGGTCTTAATAACTCTCTCTATATTTTTAATCAACAAAATTGTTATATTAGTTTGCTACAGCTCTCATAACAAAATATCACAGACTAGGTGTCTTAAAGAGATTTTTTTTCTCTCACAGTTCCGAAAACTAGAAGTCCAAGATCAAGCTGTTGACAGTGTTGATCTCTCCTGAGGCCTCTCTTCCTGCCTTCTTGCCATGTCCTCATGTGGCCTTTCTCTGTGTGCACATCCCTGGTTTCTCTATCTCTTTATAAGGACACCAATCTTGTTGGATTAAATCTCTACCCCTATGCCTTCATTTATAATAACTTTAATTACCTCCTTAAATTCTCTATCTCCGAATACAGTCACATTGGAGGAATTTCAGCTTATGAATTTGCAGGGGACATAGTTTAATCCATAATAATTGCTGAAAGTCAGAATACCAGTACTGTCTGAGATATTTACGATCATCCATCTGTGGCAGCTGGTTTTCCAGATGCCTTCCATGCAATGCTTTTTTCTGCTCTTTGGAAAACTATTAATATCAGAAATGTTTTATTAAACAAAATGTACCTTAGAACATAGTAACTCTTTTTCTTTACTATATCTGCATTTATTTATTAAGGGAAAGAGATTCCTATGCAAACTCCATGCTGCTGCCTAACATCAACAAATGGCTATCTTGTTAATCTCTTTAGGGAGAAATTGTCTGTTTCTCAGAACTGAAGAGATTGCCTGGTTTAGGACTTGGCTCAAGAAAGTTTAGCGGGATTGAGGTAGAGTGAGTAAGGGAACTGTGATTCAATTTTCTCTTCGTTTCACAACCTTGCTCTCTCAGATCCCAGAAATTCTATTCATCAGAATAAAAAATCTCCTTCTACTGGACTGGATGGACAGTTTGCCTGGAAGTCACAGACACCTTTTCATAAACTACCTACTTAAATAAGCAATGCCAGCTGGGATTCAGAACCAAGTTATCACTTGATATTTTCAATCTTTAGGCAGATACTAGGTAAGCACGTTGTGAATATTTATTTTAGTAAGAATTTAAAGTAACGTGAGCCCTATAATAGACTTTCTTTCTGGGTATCCTAAAATTTCCTTTTACTTATAATTAAAATAATGTTTTAACCCAAAGGAAGAGAGCACTCTTATTTAGGGCTGTTTAGAAACAACTATATGATGATGTATTTTGCTATACAAACTTCCTCAGAGGAAATTAGGGACAAAGTGGATTTAGCCCCAGTCAATTCCTGAGTGAAAGATGGAGTACATGTTATTTACTCTTTAGAAAACAGAGATGTTAACAAAAGATATGTGATTTTGTTCTTAAGCTCCCAAATGAGTTACTAGCAAACCCAAAGCTATAATATGGCCCTTTCTTTTTTTTCTAAAACGAGGAATCTTTCCAGTGATCTCATTATTGACTTTAACTGTGGATTGAACTGCTCAGCTGAAACTTCTGAGAGATTATTGGTTGAAACTTAAAGTAGTTACCACTACTTAGTAACACTGCCATACTTATTTAGAAAATCCAGAGCATAAATCTGATCATCTGCAAATGACTATGAATTAGAGAAAGAAGAAAAATCCCTGGAACTAAAACAAAAAGTAAATCAAAGTAATCATTATATACATATACTCTTCATAGCAGTAAAATAATTATAAATAGCACTTAATTTTAAGAAATAATCATTGTTCCTATGTTTTTATAGTTATTAATACTAAAACTGGATTAGACCTTTAGTATCATCCAATTCCAGTGGTCTTATTTCTAGACATTAAGTAACAACTACCAAATTCATGGAATCTTCTGATTTTCAAAATGAAGAAATACGGCCTATATGGGGTTTAGACAGTTTTTGACTATAGGTTCTCTGGCTCCTAGATCATGCTGATACAGGAGTGCTGGGAAGGGAACAGCGTGGTCCTGTTAAATGATAATAAAAGTGCTGAGTGTTGAAAGGCAGGTCCCTGTCTAGGGCTTCACCCCCATGACCTAGGTGAGGAGAGGGACTCCTGCCTTCCCGCCCAAACGTTGCATTTCCCAGGACCACCATGGCCAACCATGACCCAATCCTGTGGCTATGAAAGTCCCCGAGACCCTAGCAGGCAGACAGAAGCGTCTGGAAGTCATGAGGAACACATCAGCGGAAGAAGACACGAATGGCTGGTGGTAGAGAGCAGACCAGCGGAAGAGCATGCCAGCAGGCACCGTCAGGCCAGCAGGCCATTGACAGGAGGAACAACGCAGGTTTGGCTGGAGCGTCAGAGAAGAGTTGAGCCTCAGAGCTGCCCAACTCCAGGGGAAAACCATCTCCCTTCTGGCCCCATCTGCAGAGAGCTACTTCTACTCAGTAAAACCTTGCACTCATTCTCCAAGCCCACACGTGATCCAATTCTTCCAGTAGACCAAGGCAAGAAACCCTGGGATACAGAAATTCCTCTGTCCTTGTGATAAGGAAGGGGGTAAAATTGAGGTGGTTAACACAAGCCACCTATAGATGGCAAATTAAAAGAGCATCCTCTAACAAATGCCCACTGGGGCTTCAGCTGTGAACATTCAGCCCTAGACACTGCAGTGGGGTCGAACCCCACAGCCTGCCTGTCTGTATGCTCCCCTGGAGGTTTGAGCAGGGGGGCATTGAAGAAGCGAGCCACACCCCAATCTCACACCCTGCGAGGGAGACAAGGGAACTTTGTCCGCTTCAATGCCTCTTTTTACACTATTTTTTCTCAGTTGTTAGCATATGTGATTGGAGCTTGTGCTGCAATTGAAAATTAAAGCTTGTTTGCTTGCTTTCAAGGTGGTCTTTAGCAATTCATTGGCTTTTGAAACAATAGTCCTTAAAAACAGAGACTTCAGGATTCTTGTAAAACCAAACTTCTGAAATTATGATGTCTTAGTGGTTTAGACGACTGTTTTATATATTTTCCTACATCCTCCTCCCCCTATCACCCTACCCATTCTCACTCTTTGCAGGTGATCTTGCTTTTTTACTTTTCTGAGAAAATTAAAGCAACAGAGGAAACTTCCAGTGTTCCATCATGACACGTACCTGCCTCCAAGCATCTGGAGCCACACACTCCTGCCCACACTCGTGTCTAGAGAGTACCTTTTGTTGTGCTTGGTCCTTATCACCTTTGACAACTCAAAGCCATCACTACAAAATTCTATTGTCTTCTTCCAGTAGTGTTTTTTTCTTTCTACTAAATTATTCTCATCTATTGTGTCACGCCATTTTTTTCTCTCTGAAAACAACATCTTGCCTTGATCTCATTTCCTTTCCCAATTATTGCCTTATTTCTTGCCCTTTGCAACATATTTTCTCAGAAGAATTGTTTATGCTAATCTTTTCAATTCCTTTCTTCCCATTTCCCCTTAACAGCAAATAGACATTCATTCTGAGAAGTGTTCTGTTCAAAACAATCTACTCGACATCACGAACAACCTTCACTTTGCTAAATCTATTGTCCATTATACAGATGTAATTTTTCTGAAACCACTAGCAGTTTTTATATAGCTAAATACTTCTTTCTTTTTAATGTATGTATTAGTCAGAATAAGTTAGGTTATACAACAGTAAAAACCAATCCCCAGTAGGGCCAATTTTATGTTACATACATTTTATAAAATGAAAAAATTAGAAAAATATTAAGTAACATCATATCATTTCTGTGCTTACCTGGCTGAAGGCTCCCAGTTTCATTTACCTGTCCACACCCATAACCTCTGCGATTATCTCTCTTACTATTCTCTCTCTCGTTCACTTTGTTCCAGTCAGACTAGCCTCTTTGTTATACTATTACCTTATGCCTGTTGCTCTGACCATGGCTAATCCTCTCTCTACCTTGTATTCATTCGTTAAATCTCATCTTTTCAATGAATGACCTTGATTGCACTATTTAAAATGCAACACATCTCTAGATTTCTACCGTTAACCTACTACACATTTTTTATAGTAACTAATACCCAATAATATTATTATGTAATTTGTTTGGTTATGTTTGGTTGTTTGTTGTTCCTACTTGTGCTAGAATGGAAGTTCTACCATAGTACAGAGCATTGTTGTTTGGCTTGCTGATGCAATACAAGTGCCAAGGACAGTAGAAGGCTCATAGAAGAGGCTTAATAAATATTTGTTGAATGTTGACTAAATAAGTGCCACTCTACTACCCCCCAATCTATGCTCATTTGATATATCAGACTTTCCAACCTTAACATTACTTAAAAAATATTTGCTTTCATTTTACAGGTAAACTTCACACACCACAATCATTTCAGTTTTCTTCTAGGCCTTCATAATCCATTCCATGTAGTTAACAATTACTTGAATTAGACCTTGCTTTTCGCTGTTCAATTGCTTGTTTTTTGTCTACTTCTCTGTGTATTAGTATATCTCTAAGAATGAGAACAATAATCTAAAAAGCAGTAAACTTTTATGACAGTTTATTTTCTGCTTTTATTGTCTGGTAGTTATAAATTATATTTATATATAACTATGATTTATTTATAGGGCAATTTAACATCACTAGTAGAAGTGCTATATGGGTATCATCCAACATTTTATTCTTCACCTTATTACAATTAGAGAGTTTCATCAATATTTGGTAGTAACTCCAGGCACAAATTTTTATTATGTATCTGAACTATGAATGTGAGTAGCAGGGACGTTCAAATTTAAAACAGAGAATAATAAATAATTAGAAATAACAAGAATTTTTCATTTAAGAATCTCTCTTTCAGAAATATAAACATGGTTCAAAATATCTAAGTTATCCTTTATGATTTAGCATTTAAGACAGTTTATAAGGAAACTTGTTTTCTTACCACTTAAGGTAAATGACAATAATATTTCTACCTGGATTTTAAGACCATTTTAAAATTGTTGTTAAAAAACAACCCACATATATTTCATGAATACATTCAATGCACCTTCTCTGGACTCACATGTACAAAGGATTATATTCATTTTATTTCGTTTTATATTTTTTGAATTAATTAAAATAACTCTGCAAATCCACTTGAACACCTTCCTAAATTTATATATAGGCAGACACTTTACACAATAAAGTCAGAGTAAATCTTAACAATTTGGTCTTGCAATTATGTTAGCACTTTGCAAAAATAGGCTTTTAAGCAGTGGCTTACTGATTTAACTTCCCACTCCCTGCCCAATTCTTGGGCAGCAGTTTGCTTCCCTGAATGCTGTTTCAGTCACTGCTTTGAGTAACCCAAGGAGTAGGTCTTTGCAACCCATACATTTCTGCCATTAGTCAATTCAGATTCCACAGAAAAGAATTTTTTGATCAATTATACCACTTAATGATACTGTGCTTTAACTTGAAAATAATGTAGTTGCAATATTTGAAAGCCCTGATTATTTTTAAACATGCAAATAAATACATGGCCCATTTCTTCAAATTTCTTATTTCTACCCTCTTATTTCAAAATACAGCCCAGGATTTGAATGGAAAGCTGGTTTTGGCAATGGCTTTCTCTATCATTCTAAAGATTCCAGGGCATAGTCTCATACTGTTGGGTATCAAATCTAAGATTTATAATTTTTGTTTTATTGTTTTTTTAATGGTATGCTGGCAAATGTTGAATAATGGGATCTCAAAAAATGTATACATGTAAGCATGTAACGACAGTTATTGGGATTTTCACTTGCATAATAATGTATAGCACAGAATTAAGAAATAAGAAAATATACTAGGTTTAAATATATATACTTGAGTGTACAATGTGATGCTTTGATATACATATACATGGGTAAGCAATTACAACAATAATGCTAATTAACATATTATCACCTCATATTGTTACCTTTTTTTAAATGCTGAGAAGCCTTAAGATCTTCTCTCAGAAAATTTCAAGTATGCAATATATTATTATTAACTTAATATATATAATATATATTATATATTATTACTATAGCTACCATGCTGTACATTATATCTCCAGAACTTATTCATCCTATAACTGCAAGTTGGTACCCCTTGACCTAAATCATCTTATTTTCACCAGCCTTCAGCCCTAGGACAAAATATTTGCAACCCATATATCTGAGAGGGAACCAATAAATATAGAAAGAACTCCCCAACTCAATAGCAAAAACACAAATAACTATATTAGAAAATAGGTAAAGGACCTAAATAGGCATTTTTCCAAAGAAAATATACAAACGATCAACAGATATACGGAGGTTTCTCGAAAAACTACAAATAAATTACCATATATTCCAACAATATCACTTCTGGGTACATAACCTAAATAATTGAAATCAGTATTTCAAAGAGATATCTGCACATCTGAAGCATCATTTACCATAGCCAAGATATAGACAAATGTACTCTATATTTTAAATTTAATATAGCCAACTGATTCTTACAGAATGCTTTCACTGATTTTTTTTGCCAACCTCTCTAAACATAGAGAAAATATACAATTGCAAATTGATTCGTGAATGTATTTCTGACATGAATAATCATTAACATTTGGTTTACATTAATATGTAAGAGAAAAATAAATCAATAAATAAAATAAAGCCATGATTTGTAGCATTTGCTTATAGCCACTATAAAATCTACTCAATGTTGCCAATTTCAAGATAGCAATGTGACATCACTCAACAAATATTTGCACCTTACATATAGAATAGACTGGATATCTACTGGATCATCACAAAAGCATCTATAAGAACCAACTCGACTGTTTCAGATACTTTTTCCATACACTCAGCAAGATTCAAACTTTTACTTTAGTCCCCTAATAAAAATTCTAATTAGCTTATTCCCCCTGCATTTTTCCATCTTTAACATACCACTTACTGAGTTTTGCTAAAGGAGGTAATCCTATCCAGCTGGTCTCTGTGGTTTTTCTAGAATGGCATACTAAGTATGCTTTGATATTCAGGGTGTGTAGGTTGTTTAGAACCATAATTGTTTTAATGGGCTGCTCTCTTCAAAAACACAGTTGGTTACTAAACACAGCAAACCAAAGAGTTAGGCTAATAAAAATTAGTGAATTTATAGACTGACAATAAATAAAACTTTGTTTAATGTGGATAATCCCTTACATTCATTTTTAATTCTGCAGTATACTAAGGAACATTTACTACCCTGCATATCATCCTTCAGTAGTGATTTGAAATACTGTCTGACAATAGTAAGCTGCCAGAATAATGCAACAATAAAATGCCCTTTTTATTTAATGATTTCACTTTGGCAGAGGTTTGTTTACATACAAAACGACTCCTGTTTAAAGCAATCAATAAAGAAGGCATTTCTATTTATGACAGAAATGATCTGGCTCATGCCAGGACAGTCCTTGCCTTATATTACATGCACTTTGATAATCATCACTTTTGCAGAAAATCCAACACTGGCAGGGCATACATAGGTGAAATAAAGTACATGTTAAAGGAATTATCTGGAAATTTTTAGAAAAATTAATTTGTAAAATAAAAAACAAATCACTTTGGGGATGAATTATGAGGAGTCAATATTTTTCATTTTATGGGTTTTCTTAAACTGGGTATATTCACTTGTCTCTATGAAAATAAAGTGTAAACTTAGGACTTTTAGGGTGAGATGGGATAAGAAAGCAAATTATTTAAAAGTTCAAAAATTTGAGATGGTGAGTTAATATTTTAAAAGTCTAAAGCTTGGCATTTACTTTGATAAAGTTATTCCTCTATTTCTTCCTTCAAAAATCTTTACCTTGGGTGTGTAAGATGTAACTTTGACAGGTTTTGAGGAGATTCAGTAATTATATATAACTACGTTTAATGGGTTTGAATTCATTTAAGGTGAATATATTTTCCCAAGGATGTTTTTCCTAAAATCTCAGTGCAGATGTATCTCAAGAGGAAAATTCTTGTATGTGATTCTATTTATTCTATAAACATGCCATTAAAATATTCCATTGCAAAGGCCAGCAGATAGCCAAAAACCACATAAACTGCTTTCCCATAAAAAAAAGTTTTGGGGCCAAGTGTAAACAAATATGATTCCAGAATATTATGACACCTACATAAAAAAAGCTTCATGTAATCTGCTTACATTTTTTCTATGCATTTGCCATTGTTCTTTCCAACTATTTTTCATATTCTCTGTATTATTCTTTAAACACCCCTTCTCCAACTCTTTTTTTAAAAAGCAACTGCCTATTTTCAATGTCTTCTAAAACAATGTGTGATGTATCTAACTTGGTTAGAAACAGAAAGTTATGGGAAAGATAAAAACTACAATCATATGGCCCTCACAACTTGTGTATCTAGTTTACAACTTTAGAAAGAGACTTAGGACAACCAAAGTTTAAAAATGTGGGCATTTATCAAATGTTTGAATTTAAAGCACTTGATAAATATTTTTGTAAGTTTATGCTATGTCCAAAAGTTTACTTCAATAATTCAGGTAAAATGTTTTCTGAAAAAGGATATGGTTTCCCTTACTTAACCTGAATTTGTTTCTTTAGCAATCTAATAATATTAAAGAAATTTGACTTTTATTCTCTTTGTCGTTCTCCGGTCAGTACCGATTTGAGGTTCTAAACCTTCCTGTTCTCTATCTACTGTACAATCCAAATTCCAATACTAATCAGTTACTTGTCATATATTTCCCTTGGTGTATGTTGACAAAATATTGGACATAGAAAAATTATGGATATGAAACTATTCACAAACACAGAAGTCAGGACCATATCTCTATGTCCTACAGACCTCAGCCACGAAAGGGCAGAATGAATCAGTGGAATTTTCCAAGGCCAATCAGCCTGATTTAACCAGAAGCACCACAGATGAATCAACTAGGTGGTGATCTATCTGTGAACTGCACTGACTATTCAGTTTTTCCATGGTCCATTAGGTTAGTTACAGACCTGTGTCTATGATGCAAAATAAAACGGACAGTTGAGGCAATTATCTGAACAATTCTGGTGAAAAAAAAAAAAAAAACTTGTTACTAAGGAAAAAGTAAGTTGGGGCGGGTACCTCAATTATCCATATTGAATTTCTATATTGATCACATCCACAAGACAATTGCTTGACTCAACACTTCATTTTGCTTGGGTAGGCATGGGCTAAGATAATTGAAAGCAATTAAACAGCAGTGTCTAAGGAACCATAAGTGACAACTTAGGTCAGTATTGTGGGGGCAGGGTAGCTTCATCAACTTGTATTTTTCAAACACCTACTGTGCTAGATACTGGGAATATCACCAGTTAAATAGAGAAGAAAATAACTATCAGCAAACTAGTAGAAACAAGGCATGCATTCATGAAAAAGGTAGGTGGTAATGAAACACGAATTCAACATTGAGTTTCAAAATAAAAAGTTGTGTTTTGGGTAATAGATTGGTCTCTTTCCAAAATCTAGCAGGGCTCATGACTTGCAGTTAGATGTTGGATTAACTTTATAAAAACGCAAGCCATTATTTAAGGAATAGTGGGAAGTTTTCTGTCTAGACACATGCACAAACAGATACCTGAAATTCCACCATCCATTGAATGAAGAAATAGCACTCTAACCATCTTTCTTTAAAAGGCAAATATATCTAGGAAGAGTAAGAAATTGTAATAAGTACACTAAATCCTTACAGCCTTTCCTTAAGGAAAGTGAGTTGTCACTTTCCTCCAGGGTGCCAGGTGAGAACAGTAGCATGAGACCACTGGGTGCCTTGGGGAGATCACTGCATGATGAAAAAAGAATAAGTAAATACTGAAAATAAATTCTGCATTCACATAGCAATTTTGCCCCGAGCCAGCAAAGTGGATTAACAAGCCCTTTAGGACTAACTAATTATTGCAGTGAAAGTGGCAAAAAGATTACCAGCCTTTACCTAGACATTGAGGGAAGACCTGTCTAATCCATATTTATCTGGACACTTTATTTTTTAATGAGAACAGTATAATTGGAAGCTTTTTCTAGAACCACATTTGCATTTCTCGAAATATATATATATATATATATACATATATATTTTTTTTATTTTTTTGAGACGGAGTCTTGCTCTGTCGCCCAGGCTGGATAGAATGCAGTGGCATGATCTCAGCTCACTGCAACCTCTGCCTCCAAGGTTCAAGCAATTATCTTGCCTCAGCCTCTTGAGTATCTGGGATTACAGGCGCCTGCCACCGTGCCCAGGTAATTTTTGTATTTTTTTGGTAGAGACGGGGTTTCATCATGTTGTCCAGGCTGGTCTCAAGCTCCTGACCTCAAGTGATCTGCCTGCCTAGGCCTCCCAAAGTGCTGGGATTACAGGCGTGAGCCACCACGCCTGGCCATATATATATTTCTTACCTGAATCCTATATTACCATATAAAAAGGAGGTATGTTTGAAGGTTAAATGCATTATGAAGTTTCAGGGGCAGATTCTACATTTCTAAATTACAAACACATTCAGTGTTTAAATTTAAAATCCTAAATAAGATATCTTATTTTCCATAATTTAAAATAATTATGTATGTATTTATTTTTTAATGAACACATTTTAACTACAATATTTATGGGCTATAATTTGATGCTTTGGTGCATATCTATGTTATATAATAATCTAATCAGTGTAGTTAGTATATTGATCACCTCATGCATTTATCATATTTCCATGGTGATAACATTCAAAAGCCTGCCTTCTAGCTATTATTATCCATAGTCACCTGTTGTGCAATGGAGCACTATATTTTAGTCCTCCCATATAATGGTAACTTTGTAGTCATTGGCCAGCCTCTCCCCATTCTCTTTTTGCCCATTCCCTCCCAGTATCTGGAAACTACTAATCTCTCATTCTATGATAGCAACTTTTTTTAACCTAAGTGCCCAACAATGGTTGAATGGCTAAAGAAAATGTGGTATATATACACAATGAAATACTATTGAGTCATAAAAAAGAATGAAATCCTGTCATTTGCCACAACCTGAATAAACCAGGAGTATGTCATGTTAATTAAAGTATATCACAAGTAAGTACATCACAATAAATAAAAACAAATACCACATGATTTCATCACACATAGAATTTCTTCATAATTTTCAATGCATTTGTGCAGCCATACATAAGCAAATATGTGAGAGAACAACATTAAATATTTTATACTACCTATGATGTTAATAGAGCATTAAATATACATAACTGCTGGATCAAATATAACCTGCTATCACATAACAATTGAGATTTTACTTATAAATTAAAACTAGTTGTATTTAAATACAAATTAATATTAATTCAATCATGTAAAAATATACATGGATACTTTTTGGCAATATCTTAGCCTGTTCAGGCTACTATAACAAACCACCATATACTGGGTGTCTTAAACAACAATTTATTTCTTCACATTTCTGGAGGCTAAGATATTCAAAATCAAGGCATCAGTAGATTTGGTGTCTCCTGAGGGCCTGCTTCCTAGTTAGACAGCTATCTTTTCCTTGTGACTTCACATGGCAGAGAGAGGAAGCTCTCCAAAGACTTTATAAGGATGCTAATCCCATTCATGAGGGCTCCACCCTCATGAGTTTATGTAATTCCAATTGCCTCCCAAAGACCCCACCTTATACTATCACATTAGAGGACAGGGTTTCAAGATATGAATTTTACGTAGACACAGCATTGATTCCATAACAGGCAATATTTTAATGATTTAAAAGAGAGAACAGTATACCATTAGAATCACACCCTCCAATGACATATCTTTTCATCATCTTTAACTTCATCACTGAAGTTTAGAACCACTGCTGAAAAGCAGAAGTAACAGAAATAGGTTCTAGTTTACATGGAAGCTGACTGGACCATTTTTACGCAACCACTCGTCAGTATACATACACACAGTTCCTTAGGTATTCCCACACTCACTCCTGCAAACAAAACCCACTTCTATTTAGAACTAATCCCAAAGGTACTAGGGTTCGAAGGCAACTTGTGGTAAACTCATTTCCTGCTTCAGACTTTCCTTATTAAAAAAAATTGATCTATTTCATTTGTCTCTCTGATTTAATCTATGACATCAATTAAATGAAAGATTCCTACAAATATACATATAAGCTACAGCGATTCTACTCTGCTGTAAAGATAAAGCAATTGTTACCCTTTACCATAATTGTATCTCATCCTGAATCAACTTGAATTATAACTGAGAAACCAGAAAAGTTACAATTGGCTTTACTTGCTCATTCAGCTGTTACTCTTCTGAAAGATCTGAACCTTCCCACAAATCCTCAGAGGCAATACAATTCTCTATTTTAATGAATTCACTTGCACCCTACTGAGAATTAATTGCTTTGGAAGAAACCCAATGGTCTGACATGCTGAGAGGCCCACTGGTATTATTTTTTTCTCTAATAAAGAGCTCTAAGGAATTAACCAACCTCCTGACCAGGTACAATATCTGCTTCTGTTATGCCCTTCTACCTCTGTCCCTCTGTCCCTCTATTCCTCTCTCTCTCTATCTCTCTCTCTAAACACACACACACACACACACACACACACACACACACACACAAGAAAGACTTGGGGCATCTTTGACATTATTGATAAAACTTAAAAACTTTCTTGTATAAATAAAACTAGAAGATTTTGTGATATGTAAATCCACAAGTAACCTTTCCATTGTCTCTTTATCTTTGTGAGAAAAATCAGCAACAAAATTCTCTTTTTGAAGATTTCTTGTTTGTTGAAATCTATAACATAATGAATATTTGTCATATTTACTTGTATGTAATAGGATGCGTCACCCCATGATTCCCATATGGGGCTATAATCTCTAATTGAATTAATTCACTAATTAATTAATCAAGCATATATTTATTCAGCAACAATTATATGCCAACGTTTGCCCAAAAGTCAGACACTATAATGGGAAGTCTGTTCTAGGAGAGCTATTCAAGTACACTGGTAACTCATATGACACATAAGGACTGGGAAATATAAGAGCACAGCTTAGATAAGTGGTTGATTTCTATGAAAATCCTACTTTTTAAAATTTTTATTTTCTACACTCCCTAAATCCTTAAATGTCATAACAGAGAGGATAGATAAAGCTAATATGTTCCTATTTTTTCTCACATAAAATGTGAAGAAACATTGTTCAGAGACTTTTACTTCCAGACAAGTTAAGAGTAATAGGAATCAGAATTACTCTCATATCTGAAAAAAAAAAAAACATTGAAAAGAAGAAAAGAGAAATATTAAACCAGTAGATTTCATTGGACATCAGGAAAGAAAGGATAGTGAACTCTGAATGATGCTCCATCCTACTGCCTGGGGAAGAGTTTTCACACTGTGGTATGGGGAGCAGGAATTTAAGCAGAATATGCATGAATTGAGGAGATAGATCTGGGAATCTGGGGAGGCCAAGGTGACTGGATTAGTTGGGATAAAATACTAGAAAGGAGAGAGCTACACACATAGACATAGACACACACACACACACACACAGAAAGAGAGAGAAATTGCTCTAAAGATCTGCAGATAGTCTGGCTCAAGCCTTTGAATGACTACTTATGAGGGAACACATGAAGAAAATACCTGAGACTGGGTAAAGAATTTACTTGAAAAAATTGGAAAGGACAACTCTCAGGTCTCATACAGGGCAAGGCAGAGTGTGTATTTGGAACAGCCGAAGTAAAACAAATTCATAATTTATAAGTGGAGTACTCTGTATAGTTTTGCTTCAGTAGGGGATACAAATTTAGCCCTAAACTAAATACTTATTTGGTCCTGCCTAAAAATCTTATAGCAATAACCAAAAAAGATCACATTGTTTTATATAAAATCACTGTATCCCTGAAAAAAATCTCATGAATATTAATAGAAACATAAAAATATCCAGCACCCAGCAAGGTAAAATTTTAACATCTGGCATTTGATAAAAATTACCAGTTTTACTAACACTTGTTAGTAAATCATACTTCAATTGTGAAAGAAAATTCATCAGACCCAAAATAACAATGCTTACAATTTGATTTTACTGCAAGAAAAGCATAGAATATAGCAATAGGATTAAAGCAAGAATATGCATTACAGCTAAGAGCTAGCTTCCAGTAATGTTCTGCAAGAAGGATTGAATTGTCTCCCTCTATATAGAAAGTGCTTTCTCTCTCTGTAAGAACCACCACCATGTGCACATAATGCCTCAGATCCAGGAAGTCCAAAACAGTCTCCACCTAAGACTCTTGGTATTCTGCTGGCCAGGTTCTTACTGTGACCAGTGTCAAACCCTAAGGATCTTGGCAAAAGGAGGTATACACCATCAATTATGATTTACCAGAATGTAATGTTACTAAGCATGTTAAAACCCAATGAAATAAGTAATAACAACAAAACACCTCTTGAAATTTGAGTATGACCCAGAGTTATAAAACAAAATCATCAGTATGTTTCAAGCTTTGTCTGAGAATTACTACAACAACAATATATCTTTTTGAACAGCTCAAACTTATTTCCAGGCCATCTAGAGTAAGCTGTCATAGCACACCAGTCATGTGAAGAAGCAGGAAATCAAAATTGTTAATGAGGAGAAAAAGCAAACAATCCAAAACACCAGAATTGAAACAGATTGTGTAATTCTTAGATAAGCACATTGAAACAGTTATAATTATTCTGTGTGTTCAAGAGCTACAAGAAAGATTGAGCTTGTGAACTAGTGACATGGAAGATGTGAAAATGACTCAAATAAAACTTACAGAGATGAAAACTACAAAGCCTAAATAAAAACCTAGGGAATGGATTTAATGGCAGAATAAACATTGTTGATGAAAAGATTAGAAAACTGGAAGACATAGCAATAGAAATTATTTAAAACTAAACATAGGGAGAAAAAAAGACTACAAGTAACATAGAGATGAAGCAGGTGGGCATTCACAGGTCAAAATGTAAGTAACCCCAAGTAGATCATAGATCGTAAATAAACATAAATCATGAATGTAAAATCTACAATTATAAAACTTTTAGAAGAAAACAAAGGAGAACATTTTTGGACTTAGGTTTGATGGAAAGTTCTTAGACATGACACAAAAACATGATGCCTATAAGAAAAAAGAATTGTAAACTGGACTGCAACTGAAAACCTTTGATGTTTGAAAGATCCTCTTATGAGAATGTAAAGAAAAGATATAGACTTTGAAAAAATATCTGAAAACCATATATCTAACAAAACACTCATATCTAGCATTTATAAGGAATTGACAAAATTCAACAGTAAGAAAAACAGACAATTTAATTAGAAAACAGGGAAAAGGCACAGACATTCCACTAAATATGATACAAGATGGCAAATAAACATATGAAAAGTACTAGCCATTAGGAAAACACAAATTAAAACTACAATGAGATACCACTACATATCTATTAGAATAGCTTAAATAAAAAATAGTAACACTACCAAATGCTTGTGAGAATGCAGACAAACTATACCACTCATACATTGCTGGTGGGGATATAAAAAGGTATAGTCACTCTAGAAAATAGTTTTGACAGCTTCTGAAAAACTAAATATACACTTACCATATGACACAGAAATTTCACTCCTGGGCATTTATTCCATAGAATTTAAGGCTTATGTACACTCAAAAACCTGTGCATAATTGCTCATGGTAGGAGATTTATTTAAAATAGCCCCGAACTGCAAAGAAATAAAATATCCTTCAATAAGTGAAGGTTTATAAACAATCTGTAGTACATCAGTTAAGTCCTATCTCTTCCATTCCAAAACCTTTTTACCATACACTGTGATAATAATATTATTGAGGAGAAAAAGTGATTTAAAAATATGTAATTTGTTTGAAGGAGTGCCAGCTATCTAATTTGTCTCTCACTTGGGAAAAATATACTGTTTCCCATCTTATAAATAGAACAGATGACAAGAAGCACAAAATTTTGGAAAACATCCATGCCTTGTAGCTAGAAGGCCCATGTCTATTATATGTTTCTGCTATGAGCTTAGGTGGACACGTTCTTTAGTGTCTTGCACACTCACATTCCTCATGTTGGTGATAGAAATAGCTCCTGGAAAGGTTGTTGTGAAAATGAAATCAGTTTAAAGTGCCTATTAGAAACATATTTCATTAAGATTTGAGTTCCTGCTCAGACATGTGCTTGTTAGATGGAAGTTAGGTAGTGCATAGTTTACAGCCTGTTCTCAGGCTTAAAGAAACCTGGGTTTAAACTCAGATTGTTCCACTTGCCCGTTGCATAAATTTGGGATGTTTACTTTGAGCTTTAATATTATCATGTCTGAAGAAAATGAACAGTATCATACCACAGATTTTAAGTTAATGATAAAATGGTATATATTTTATGTATACTCTAAACTCAAAATCTTTGATGTCTTTACCAAATATATTCATTTAGGCATGTGGTAGTTTGGGTTAAAACTCAATCTATTTTTGTTGTTTTTGATTAGATATAATAAATTCATAACATATTAAGCAATGAAAGTGATATAAATCAACTGAAGTGCCAAATAATCAATTTTTACCTAATTGACGATGTTTATTTCTTGAATAGAGATAAGAAAGAATCTTAATCAGATTTGGATTTTACTTAAACTATCTCACAGATTAACACTCTCAATTTGTATTTGACATATATATATATATATATATATATATATATATACACACACATATATACATATATATATAAACAAATACAACTCTTGTATGAAGACTCTTAAAACAATTTTTCTGAAGTTGTGAATTATAGAAAAAACATCTGTGATTCAGGGCATCTAAAATCCATACAAAAAAAGCACTGGAAACCCTATAATAGTATTTATATTTTCAAAAATTGATATCAGCTAAATTGTCTCTGCCTAATTAAATTAAAAAACAATTAGAATGTAATATGAAAACCATCCAAGTAGCCACTTGTATATTGAAAAAGATGAAAGAGATTAAAAAGAATAAATACAAATATAAAATAATATGTATTCTATATACATATATATCCTCTAGAGCTAATAGAGTTAATCATCTTTGCTTTTATTAACATTATGCTTCAGAATTTCTGAATGAAAGACAAAATTAATAAAGGGCTCAACATAACAGAATTATCTTCTAAATATAATCTTCTAGTACACAAAAAATATTAAAGAGAAGAGTGTTTTTAAAATTGTTTTCTATAATTAGATTTTCATACATCCCACATTCAATTTTTTTTGAGATGGAATCTCACTCTGCCACCCAGGCTGGAGTGCAGTGGTGCAGTCTCAACTCACTGCAACCTCTGCCTAGCAGGTTCATACGATTCTCCTACATCAGCCTCCCAAATAGCTGGGATTACAGGTGCGTGCCACCACGCCTGGCGAAATTTTTTGTATTTTTAGTAGAGATGGGGTTTCACCACGTTGGCTAGGCTGGTCTCAAACTCCTGACATCAGGTGATCCACTCGCCTCGGCATCCCAAAGTGCTGGGATTACAAGCTTGAGCCACCACACATGGCCTCAATGTTTTAATGTCTTTGTAGAACATTAGAAAGTCTTCAGAATCAAGAATGTTATCAGTGTTTTTCACTTTATTAATTCAGTATTTTATATTTCTACAGTTGCTTTAAAATAACCCAAATATGAGAGAGTTGATTCAATGTCCATATTTAGTTTCTCAGTTTAAACTGGGAAAATTTGCACAGTTTTTCAGTTGGTTTATCTGAATAAGGGAAATTAACACTGACAAAGAAGCTAAAATATCAGAAAGATATAGTTAAATTTTATGTTGAGTAATAAAGTAAAAGTAATGCCACATGTTTTTGACATGCAACAAAGACAGTGAGCTTTGAAAAATTAAATTAGCACTATTTATAATATTGAATATTTTTATTTTGCGGTTCAACGCTATTTAAAATTTTAAATATTTTTCCTTTGCAGATCATTTAAAAGAGTCATTCAATTTAAGTGCATCATTTGTGTTACTTCTAAGGAATAATGATATTACAGCATTTAACTGAAGTGCTTGTTTCAATAGTTTTATTGCTAAAATTATGTTTGGAGATCAAGACGCTCAAGGGGGCCTTCTATTTTATGACCTTCTGTTTCACCATGGCTTGATGTATCTGCAGTAGCTAGCATGATTTCTCTCACACAGGAAAACCTCAGTATATTTGCTTGGTGATATGATAAATAATGAGGAAAATATGCATACAAACATAACCCCCTACATCCACACATATAGACAAAGTGCCATGTCATGTTGAAGAATTTTAATTGACTTGAAATAAGTGCATAAAGTATGTATGTGGCATCTAAAATAGAAATGCAATTCATAGGCATGCTGAAACTTTTCTCATTTGAAAATTGATAGCAACTTTTGGAAATTAAATATATGATTAGTACGTATGATTTGTTATGATACAGAAAAATTATTTTCATTGGGAGAACAAGAAAACCATCTTCTAGTTATAAATCCTATTTTATATTAAAATTATCCCCTAACATTTTCATGGAATATGGACTAAAAGCCCATTCCTTTGATACCCTATAAATGTAAAAGAGACCCAAAGTACCATTTATTGCCTGAGTGCTAAAATAGCTCCAGTTTCTTCAAGTAATTGAAAGAAATAAGAACTGTAGGGGGATGAAAGAAGATGTGGTAGATTTATTATTGTTCCTGATTATTTAATTTCCTGGAGTTCATAACTTTTGTTAGGTTATTATTTTTCAGTTCTTCCTACTAATAGGATAAAGTTTAATTTCTCACTCTTTGACTTTGGTCTGGCCATGTGACTTGCATTAGTCATGGACGGAGAGAGAATTGACAGTGTGCAGTTATGATAATAGAAATTAAATTATCACACACTTTTGTGCTTGCTCTCTTGCAACTCAAATATCATTGTGAAAATAATATGCCCTAGATAGCCAGTCTGCTAGTCCATAAAGAAGAGATATGGTGTCTGGAGCTACCATAGGCCACTCATCAAACTGCCCACGGAGAACAACCTGGCAGCCAAACTCATCCTGAAACAAACAAAACCCAGCAGACTTGAAGATAATATGCAAGAATATTTGTTGTTGTTGTTGTTGTTGCATCCACAAACACAGATGTTGTGACTGTTTCTTAAATGACATTATTTGACAGAGTTAACTGGCATAAGCTAACTCCAAAAGATGATAAATTCACAGACCCATAATTAAAGTGGGAAGAACCAATACAGGGCTGCAGTGAGATTCAAGAACTCATACGTTGATGGAGATGAAGAGTGGCATTGCTTGCTCCTCTGATGTGAGTGTCCCTGGAGAGTAATTGTTTTATTGCTATTAAAACATTTTAAACAAATGTATTGTAAGAAATAATTAAAGTGACAGTGATTATATTGGCAGATACATATTGGAAAAGTCCTCAGACAATGAGGTTTGTGTATGAGCTTGTCTCAAACACCAAGGCAGAGGACACCCCTTCCAACCTCAAAACATGTCAGACTGACACATTTTGTTGTTAAGCCCTGACTATCTCTTTGGGTTGCAGTGAAAAATTATGAGTCACTCAGAAAGTTAACTCCAAGGGCTGTTTTTAATGTATTATGTCCATTTTTATTTGGCAAGCACTTTGGTATTATATGTAAGTTGTAGTTTGCTCTATGACAAGGAAGAGGGACCCTAATAAAAACTCTAGTGAACAAATTCTGCTGGGATCTCTGGATAGCTTCTTACACTCAGAGACAAGGTGACACAGAAGTAAATTGAGATAAACTTTATAAATAAAGAAGCTCAACTCTGAATTAATTCTGTCCCTAATTAAGTTGAAATAAACTTGTATTTTAACTGTCAGAATTAGAAGTAATTTCTGTTTCTGGAGGAAGAAAACATCATTTGGGATAACTACAATTTTTCATGCATAATAGATAACAATTAAAAATAACCATATTTTCTGGAAAACAAAAAGATGGAGAATTAACCAGAATAAAGACAAAATTACAGTAGGGAAAAATACAACAATAATACAATTAAGAACGAAATAAATGGTTTAACTTTGTATTAAGACACAACTGAAGACAAGGTTACTAAACTTGAAGACCACTCACTAGAAAATATCCATACTGAAGCATGAAAAGCAAAAAAAAAAAAGAGAGAAAAAAAGTTTAGAACATTGACAAAGGAATTTAAGATATATATGAAACATCACAAAATATTATGAATATGAGCATTTGGAGTTCAGAAGAAGGATGTCAAAAAAGAAGTGTTTCAACAGAAAGAGGAAATGATTAATAATTTTCAAAAGGTAATGACAGTAATAAAGCCACACACTTAAAAATCCCTATTATCCCTAAACTGAATAAAGCAGTTTGAGAAAAACACACATTATACTCAAAGAACCAGCGATAAGACTTACAGCTAATACCCCCACAAAACAATAGAAACTGGAAGACAATGGAGCACCACCACTGAATTCCTGAAAGCAGCTGCTGAGTAAACATTGTGGAACACTGGATGGCATCCCCTGCTAGAACTGAAGTTCTTATTCTCCGTTTAGAATTGAAGTTCTCAATTCCCCCAGGAATGCTGTTGGTTCACATCTGGGTCTTCATAAGAAATGCCTCCAGCTAAAGTTAGCTGCATTACTCAATCTTCTACTACCTCAGCAAGAACAACCCACATTCAAGAACTCGTTGATGGGGTGAACAAATATGCATTTTATTTGTCTCAACTAGGGATGGCTCAATGGCACCAGAGGCTCTGTTGAATTGGCTAAGGCAATTCTTGCAATATTATTGCAATTTAGTTTCTTTTTCTGCCACTTTCTTTTTTGCTGCCTTTCAATTATTCCTCCTAAGAACACTTCCTAGTAAACATCTCAGAAGCAAATCACATTCAAGAGGTTACACACATTAAGATAGCTGCCAAACTAAAATTCAGAAGTGAAGGTGATGTAAAGGTATTTACTCTTTTCTTGTGCCCCCTCAAATTTGTCACTTGCAGTATCTCACTAAAAGGAACGGAGGGAAGTTATTAGAAGAAGGAACATGATTTGATTCCCAACAATGAAACAAAAAAGTAAATCAGAATAAAGAACACTAGAAAGTGTATGTAGGTAAATGTAAATGTCTTTTAAGTTCATACAATAATAAAAATAATGTCCTCTGGGTGTTAAAAATCTATGTATCATAAAAATTATAAAAAAAAACAGAAACAGGCAAATAGAGTTAAAAATATTCTACAATCTTAATGTTTTCTGTTAATTGTTAGAAGCACCAACATATATTTGACTGTAATAGTTTTATTATGCCTGCTGTGAACTCTAGGGTATATACAAAATGAAAAACAAAAGAATACAAAACTAGGTAATAAAAGAAAATGTAGATCATGGTGGACAGGAAGTAGGACTGGATTGTAGCTCAGACTCAGACAGACAGAGCAGCGTGTGGAGGCTTGCATAGTGAAATTTAGCTCCAGAACGACTACAAGAGCAAACCAGGAATCCTAAGAGGAACCACAGACCGTCTGAAGCAAGCAGACTGCTCCTGCAGGGCCCGAGAGACACCCCAAATATTCTGAGTGCCCAAACTGTGGAAGTGGGAAAGAGAGACCCTCTGACCCCGATCACACACTCACACTGAGGAAAATGAAGGTCTAGTTTGTGGCAGAAGTTTCTAACCTTACCTGGATCTGAGTCAATTTAGAGAGCTAAGCAAAATACAGGGGTAGAAGAAGCAGCAGGAAAGGCCCTGGGAGCTCACTGGGTCCTCAAGCACTCCATTCCTGCCTGGCATCACAGGTACCCTTTGGGAGGGCAGCCAGAGGCACGGGGGGAAATGCCACAGGGAGAAGGAAGTCTCCAGCTGAACTTTGTAACAATTTGAACAGGATGAGAATCCTCCTGGCCAGAACTCAGGGGAGGGCATGAATCCAATGTGCAGACTCCACAGGTGGGGGAAGAACCAAAGCCCTGTTATTTTGCAGCTGGGTGGCAGGTAGCCTGGGGCAAGTTCTCAAGCCCTGCTAGCCCACTGCCTGGAAACAGACTCAGGACTGTTGGGGAGGCATGGTGGGAGTGACACCAGCCCTTTGGATTGTGTGGACCCTAGGTAAGGCCTTGACTACCGGCTTTCCCTGACTTCCCTGACAGCTTGCATGACTCAGCAGAGGCAGCCATAATCCTTCTAGATACACAACTCCATTGACCTGGGAACCTCACCCTATCACCCACAGCAACTGCAGCAAGACCCACCCAAGGAGAATCTGAGCTCAGATACGCATAGCCCTGCCCTCACCTAAGGGGACTTCCTTATCCACCCTGGTAGCTGAAGACAAAGGGCATATACTCTTGGAAGTTCTAGGGCCCACCCACTGCTGGTTCCTCTCCATACTACCATAGCTGATGCTCTCTGGAAAGTGCCATCTCCCGGCAGGAGGCCAACCAGCACAAAAATAAAAACATTAAACCACCAAAGCTAAGAACCCTCACAGTGTCCATTTCACCCCTGCTGCCACCTCCACCGGAAAGTGCTAGTATCCACAGCTTAGAAACCCATAGATGGTTCACATCACATGACTCTGTGCAGGATAACCCCCAGTACCAGCCCAGAGCCAGTAGACTTGCTTGGTGACTGGACCCAGAAGACAGATAACATTGGACACACTTATAGAAATGCAAAGTTCTCTAGAAAGTCTCAGCAATAGAATTAACAGTAGAAGAAAGAAATTCAGAGCTCAAAGACACGGTCTTTAACTCAATCCAACAAAAACAAACAAAAAAGAATATGAAAATATGAACAACGCCTCCAAGAAGTCTGGGATTATGTTAAGTGACCAAACCTAAGAATAATTGGTGTTCCTGAGGAAGAAGAGATATCTAAAAGTTTGGAAAACATATTTGGGGGAATAATTGAGGAAAACTTCCCCAGCCTTGCTAGAGACCTAGACATCCAAATACAAGAACCACAGAGAACACCTGGGAAATTCACCACAAAAAGATCATCGCCTAGGCACATTGTCATCAGGTTATCTAAAGTTAAGCTGAAGGAAAGAATCTTAAGACCTGTGAGACAAAAGCACCAGGTAACCTATAAAGGAAAACCTATCAGATTAACAGCAGATCTATCAGCTAAAACTCTGCAAGCTAGATGGAATTGGGGCCCTATCTTCAGCTTTTTCAGACAAAACAATTAGCCAAGAATTTTGTATCTAGCGAAACTACACATCATACATGAAGGAAAGATACAATCTTTTCCAGACAAATGTTAAGAGAATTTACCACTACCAAGCCACCACTATAAGAAATGCTAAAAAGAGCTCTAAACCTTGAAACAAATCCTGGAAACACATCAAAACAGAACCTCTTTAAAGCATAAATCACACAGGACCTGCAAAACAAAAATACAAGTTAAAAAGCAAAAGCGAAAAAGCAAGGTACACAGGCAAAAAATACACAATGAATGTCATGGTACCTCACGTCTCAATATGAACATTGAATGTAGATAGACTAAATGCTCCAATGAAAAGCTACAGAACTGCAGAATGAATGAGAACTCACCAACCAACTATCTTCTGCCTTCAGGAGACTCACCAAACACATAAGGACTCACATAAACTTAAAGGGGTGGAAAAAGGCATTTTATGCAGGTGGTCAGCAAAGGCATGCAATGGTAGCTATTCTTAGATAAAACAAATTTTAAAGCAACAGCAATTAAAATAGACAAAGAGGGACATTATATTATGGTAAAAGGCCTTGTCCAACAGGAAAATATTACAATCCTAAACATATATGCACCTAACATTGGAACTCCCAAATGTATAAAACAATTACTAACAGACCTGAGAAATGAGATAGACAGCACCACAGTAATACTGGGGGACTTCAATATTCCACTGACAGCACTAGACGGGTCATCAGGACAGAAAGTCAAAAAAGAAACAATGGATTTAAACTATACCTTGGAACAAATGGGCTTAACAGATATATACAGAACATATCATCCAACAACCACAGAATACACATTCTATTCAAGAGTGCATCAAACCTTCTTCAAGATAGACCACATGATAGGCCATAAAATGAGCCTCAATAAATTTAGGAAAGTTGAACTATCAAGCACTCTCTCAGACCACAGTGGAATAAAACTGGAAATCAACTCCAAAAGGAATCTTCAAAACTATGCAAATGCATGGAAATTAAATAACCTGCTCCTGAATGAGCATCAGGTAAAAAATGATATCAAGATGGAAATTAAAAATTTTTTTGAACAGAACGACAGTACCGACACAATCTGTCAAAAACTCTGGGATACAGCAAAGGTGGTGCTAAGAGGAAGTTCGTGGCCTTAAATACCTACATGAAACAGATTGAAAGAGCACAAAACACTGCAGAAAGAAATTATGGACAACACAAACAAATGGAAACACATTCCATGCTCATGGATGGGTAGAGTCAATATTGTGAAAATGACTATAGTGCCAAAATCAATCTGCAAATTCAATGCAATCCCCATCAAAATACCACCATCATTCTTCATAGAATTAGTAAAAATAATTCTAAACTTCATATGTAACCAAAAAAAAAGAGCTCACATAGCCAAAGCAAGACTAAGCAAAAAGAACAAATCTGGAGGCATCACACTACCTGATTTCAAGCTATACTATAATGATATAGTCACCAAAACAGCATGGTACTGGTATAAAAACAGGCACATAGACCATTGAAACAGAATACTGAACCCAGAAATAAACCCAAATATTTATAGCCAACTGATCTTCGACAAAGCAAACAAAAATATAAAGTGGGAAAAGGACACCCTTTTCAACAAATGGTGCTGGGATAATTGGCTAGCCATATGTAGGAGAATGAAACTGGATCCTCATCTGTCACCTTATACAAAAATCAACTCAAAATGGATTAAGTACTTAAATCTAAGTCCTGAAACTATAAAAATTCTATAATATAACATTGGAAAAACCCTTCTAGACATTGGCTTAGGCAAGGATTTCATGAACAAAAATCCCAAAGCAAATGCAATAAAAACAGAGATAAATCATTTACACTTAATTAAACTAAAGAGCTTTTGTACGGCAAAAGGAACAGTCAGCAAACAGACCACCCACAGAATGAGAGAAAATCTTCACAGTCTATACATCTGACACAGGTCTGATATCCAAAATCTACAACAAACTCAAGGCAATCAGTAAGAAAAAAAAAACAATCCTATCAAAAAGTGGGCTAAGGACATGAATAGACAATTCTCGAAACAAGATATGCAAATGGACAACAAACATATGAAAAAATGCTCAACATCACTAATGATCAGGAAAATGCTAATCAAAACCACAATGCAACACCACCTTACTCTTGCAAGAATGGCCATAATCAAAAAACAGTAGATATTGGCATGGATGCAGTGATCAGGGAACACTTCTACACTGCTGGTGGAAATGTAAACTAGTACAGCCACTATGGAAAACAGTATGGAGATTCCTTAAAGAACTAAAAGTAGAACTACCATTTGATCCAGCAATCCCACTACTGGGTATCTACTCACAGGAAAACAATTCTTTATCCAAAAAGACACTTGCACACAGAGTGTTTATAGCAGCACAATTCACAATTGCAAAATCGGGGAACTAGCCCAAATGCCCATCAATCAACAAGTGGATAAAGCAATGGTGGTAGGAGAGGTGCGGTGGCTCACGCCTGTAATCCCAGGACTTTGGGAGGCTGTGGTGGGTGGATCACGAGGTCAGGAGTTCAAGACCAGCCTGGCCGATGCAGTGAAACTCCATCTCTACTAAAAATATAAAAATTAGTCAGGTGTGGTGACATATGCCTGTAGTCCCAGCTACTCAGGAGGCTGAGACAGGAGAATCGCTTGAACCTGAGAGGCAGAGGTTGCAGTCAACTGAGACCATGCTGTTGCACTCCAGCCTGGGTAACAGAGTGAGACTCCATCTCAAAAAAAAAGCTGTGATATATATATTTATATATACCATCATATATATATGATGGAATACTACACAGCCATAAAAAGGAATGAATTAACAGCATTTGTAGCAATTTGGATGAGATTGGAGATATTATTCTAAGTGAAGGAACTCAGGAATGGAAAACCAAACATCGTATGTTCTCACTTATAAGTGAGAGGAAAGCTATGAGGATGCAAAGGCATAAAAATGATACAATGAACTTTGGAGACTTGTAATAAGTGCCTTTCGCCCTCTGCCATGATTATGAGACCTTCCCAGCCATGTGGAACTGTGAGTCAAATTAAACCTCCTTTTCTTCCAGACTTGTGTGTGTCTTTACCAGTAGCATTAAACAGACTAATACATCACCTGTAAGCCAATAACCTATGAGAAATGAAAATAAAATAAGAATTTAAAAAAAGGAAATGTAATAAAAATATTTTATTTTTGCAAAAGAAGACAATATAGAAGAAAAGTAACAGAAAACAGCTGGGCCACATAGGAAACAAATTGTAAGATGGAAGATATAAACCTTAATATGCCAGTAATTTAAGTATAAATGAACTAAATATTCCATTTGTAAGACTGAAATCAAGATTTTTCAGACTTAATTAAATGATAAAATTCAAATAAATCTCTATATATTGCTTAAAGAAAAAAATCTAAGATATAGAGGCCAAGAGCTGTTGAAAATTCTTAGAAAATGAAATTAAATACCTTTACATCACCTTTACTTTTAAATTCTAGAGTGGTAGTTGTCTTGATGTGTATTACCTCCTAAGGGTGTTTTGCTTGTGAGAAGTTTTCTTGGAAGTGTTCTCCAGAAGAACACTTGAGAGCGAGCAAAGGAAGAAAGTTTGGTAGAGGGGAAGGCTAACCTGCAGTGAAGTTTTCTAAGTGAAATAAGCCAGGGACAGAAAGATAAATAATATATTATCTCAATTGTATATGGAATCTAAAAATGTTGAACTCATAGAAGCAGAGAGCAGAATGGTGGTTACTGGGTGTTGGGAGCTGGAGAGATGTTGGGGAGTCGGGGAGATGTTGGTCAAAGAATATAAAATTTCAGTTAGATAGAAGGAGTAAGTTCAAGAGATCTATTGTATAACATGGTGACTATAGTTAATAACAATTTTATATTTTGAAAATTGCTAAAAGAGTAAATTTTAAGTGTTCTCACCACAAAAAATAAGTATGTGAGATAATGCATATGGTAATGCATATAGTTCTACTGACCCATTTCACAATGTCCATATATATATTTCAAAACATCTATTGTATAGGATAAATATATACAATTTTTATTTGTCAATTAAAAAGTTGAATTACATATGAAAATAGAAAGTTTAGAAATGCATACATCATTAAAAATTCTACACTGAAAAAAGCTAGTGTGAATATACTATTATTAGATATGGTAAATTTCAATGCAGGAAGTAAAGTATATTACACAATAAATAGGCAATCGATTAGAGGTGTTCAGCACACACACATATGTACAATAGCTTACCTTCATAATGTAGAGAAACAGAATTTCATAAAACTAAAAAGAAAATGGACAAATGCATAATCATGAAAGGGAACATTAGTACATACGTCTTTACTCTCTTGCACTCAGGGGATCTAGATTTGATAATCTAGGGGAAGTGTAGCTATCAATATTTTCAAAGCTCACCAGATAATTTTATATGTGTTCCTTGTCTTTTGTAATAATTTCCATAGAATTATCACCATGGATAATCACCTTCCATGGTGATTATCATGAATTACTGGATTAAAAAGGCTTATTAGATATTAAATAACAAAATGCCCATTTTTTAACATCACAGAGTTGAAATCTTAGGTTTCACTCCTTTCTCATCATATTCCTAATCTTTTCTGTCTATATCTTTTCATAGATAGCAGCAGATTGTAGCATTGAAAGCAATCAGAGGTTAACTTCTGACTGCCTGGACAACGTGGAAACCAAAGTGGGCTTTAATAAAGAAATATAGTTCTGCTACTGGATGTTTATTTCGTGTCTAAAGATTTACTGAGATAAGTGAGCCGAGGTTATATATTGAATTATTACATGGGGAATCACAGGCTATCTTTGTAAAAAAGTAAGAGCAGCAACATAGAAAAAATTGTTTTCTAATACTATCAAGTTTACATAAGTTTTTTTTATTATTTTTGATTATACTTTAAGTGTGTGTTTTTGTCTTTTGGGAACAAAGAACCAGAGAGAATCACATCAGGGTATGCCATGCTTTGTTTTTACTCTGATGATGACTGAACTCAAATCCAGACTCACTGTTAGAATTTTCACAATCCCATTATTGTTACACCATGTAATATGTTTACTTCACGGCCATAGAGATTATGTAGCTTAATTTATTTGAGTCATCAAAGTTAGAGTTTCAAACTAATTTTATGTCATAAGTTAATGAAAACACATTATGTAACTATCTCTGGCTCTGTCCAAATAAGGAAAGTGATGATATCTCCCCACTCCACCACCAAATATATATTTATATACATTTTAAAATGGTACTTTCTACAAACAAAATTTTTATCTACATGCTTGTAGCTAAATTGTCTTGAATTTAAACAAATTAGCTTACATTTATGCTTTTAAATTTAAAATCAATTATTCAAATCAAGAGAAAGACAAAATGTTGGGTACCAGAATTGCACAAATGAAGCTGTATAGGAAAAATATGGCAACATGGCACTAAAAATTCTTAGTAAATATGCTTTTTTTCTAAACTGTAAGAACTTATAATTCATTTCCGGTTCTCTAGTTTGCAAATATACGCCCATAATATATTCTATAGGTGATTAATAATTGGTTAATTTGACAATCTCACATTTCTGATAAATTTCTCCAAAACTGAAGGCAAATAGAAAGTCTATACATTTTTTTCATAATAAGTAATAAGAGCCAAATATATGACACAAAAGTTGTATGGAATTTCACTATATGAGTATCCTGAAGAAGTCATAATCTTCGATGGTAGAGAGGAAAGAAATTACCACAAATGATTTTACTCAGATCCTTAACAAAACCAATTATATTTGTGGATGTAAATGATTAACAGTGATTTATCTTGTAAATGCCTTTACCCACACACCCTGTCACAATTTAGCATCCTGGTGTGGGTAAAGCATGGGCTATGAAGAACAGAGACTTTATCCAAGCATAACATGCAGTATAAATGTGGATTTAGCTTTTCAATTGAATCGCTTTAAGCAATGTTAGAAAAAGATATTATTCACTAACAAAGGAGTAATTTGCATTAGCAATATGTTTGGTTTTTTGGTATTTCTATGATTTTTACAGGTTTATTTCATTTAATAGAGATTCATGCAATTACGAAAATGTTATTTTTCAAATACTTATCAGTACCAGACAGTATGGCTAGTTTCAGGCTAGGGCAATTATCAGTTAATTTGGCATCTATCTAGCAGATTGGTTCCCAAATCACAAGGCTTTTCAAACTAAATAACATTTATTTTGTGAGTTGCTCACAAGTGCTCATCTGCATGTATGAAATTTCTCCTCTGATTCTGGTTTCTGAATGTGCATGTTAAGAAAAATTATAAGGTTGAAACTGTTTAATATATTTCAGGTTCTGACTAACTTATTGTCTTCTGAGGCCATTGTTATGGTTTTTAACTCATCCAATTAGGAACTAATTATTCTAGTAAGGATTTGTATCATTGACTTACTACACTGCCCTCAATTTGAAAGCCTGAACTATGAATGGAAATGTGGAAAGATTCTACTAAAAATCTGTTTCACTTGCACACAAACCCATGTGTAAAAAAATGAAAAACAAAAAGTGACAAAAACACAACAAAGCATTCAGTTGATTTTTGCAAATTAGGAAACCTTATGTATAGTTTAGCTGTCGTAATAATGTAATATACTAAAACTCACCGAGCAATCTAAAAACAGATATAACATCTATGAATATATATATATATATATATATATATATATATATATATATATATATATATATATATTTTTTGATACGGAGTCTCCCTCTGACGCCCAGGCTGGAGTGCAGTGGCAAGATCTCGGCTCACTGCAAGCTCCGCCTCTCAGGTTCACGCCACTCTCCTGCCTCAGCCTCCGGAGTAGCTGGGACTATAGGCGCCCGTCACCACGCCCGTCTAATTTTTTTGTATTTTTAGTGGAGACAGGGTTTCACCGTGTTAGCCAGAATGGTCTCGATCTCCTGACCTCGTGATCCGTCTGCCTCGGATCCCAAAATGCTGGGATTACAGGCATGAGCCACCACCGCGCCGGGCCTATGCATTTATATTTTTTGGTGTACTCTATTTCCTAAATTGTGTGCACAATAACAATTCACTCTAAGATTATATATAATATTTTGTCCTTCAGCATGCCTTGGAAAAGCACATTTATAATTTATGATATTAAAAATAATGTCGCTTTTAATTGTAACAAAGCAATTGGGTATGTTCGCATTTATATATTTCTTCTAGTTGCCCATTTTGTTTTTCTTTTCTTTTTTTTTGAGACGGAGTCTTCCTCTGCTGCCCAGGCTGTGGTCCAATGTCAGCTCAATGAAACCTCTGCTTCCCTGGTTCAAGCGATTCTCCCACCTCAGTTTCCCAAGTAGCTGGAATTACAGGCACACACCACCATGCCCTGCTAATTTTTGTATTTTTAGTAGAGACAGAGTTTCATCATGTCGGCCAGGCTGGTCTCAAACTCCTGACCTTAAATGATCCTCCTGCCTCTGTCTCCCAATAGTTCCCAAAGTTTAAAGAAAAATAATCAATTGTGATGCGTTTATATTGGTTTATTAGTTTTTGTTTGTTTAACATGAGATATACAATCTGTGCCATTGCATTCTTTTTTGTTGTTCTTGGTTTTTTTGTTTTGTTTTGTGTTGTTTTGTTTTTTTCAAGAGACATAATGTCAGTCTGTTGCCCAGTTTGGAGTACAGTGATCTCTTAGGCTCAAGCCATTATTCTTCCTCAGCCTCCTGAGTAGCTGGAACTATAGGTGCATGCTACCACACCAAACAACTTTTTAAATTTTTTGTAGAGACAGGCACTCACTATGTTGCCTAGAATGGTCTCAAACTCCTATCTTCAAGTGATGCTCTCATCTTGGCCTCCCAAAGTGTTGAGATTACAGGCATGAGCCACAGGGGCTGGCCTGCATGCTTTATATCAGTTTTACCTAAAGTAGGGAAAAATTTAGTTCAACAATATTTGATATGTTATTCTTCACCTTCATATGTTATTCTTCATTTATGTGTATATAATTTACACTTGGCATTTTCTGAAGTGTTATAGTAATTTTATAATATCTTTTTAATCACAACACAATAAAGGAACTCAGCAATTCTTCCATTTTACCAATAATAACAGAAAAATTACTTTGAGTAATTTTATTTCATTTTTTGAGACAGTCTCACTGTCACCCAGGCTGGAGTACAATAGTGTGATCATGGCTCACTGCAGTCTTGACCTCCCCCAGCTCAGGCGATCCTCTCACCTCAGCCTCTTGAGTAGCTGGAACTACAGGTGTATGCCACCACACCCAGCTAATTGTTTGTTTTGTTTTGTTTTGTTTTGTTTTGTAGTGATGGAGTTTCACCATGTTGCTCAAGCTGGTCTTGAAATCCTCGGCACAAGTGATCTGCCCACCCCAAAGTGTTAGGATTACAGGTATGAGCTACTACACATGGCCTTATTCTTTTTATTCACATTTATAAAAGATTTAAGATGATTAATTCATTTACTTCTGTTTATTGACCACACAAATCAAAAGTGAATTTGGTATTTTGTAGAGTATTGAACAAGGGGGTAGAAGTATTTAGTCTGTTGTAGTGAAGCTAAAGACAAGTAATTTAACTATCTCGAATTCTTAACATTTGTTTGGCATTATTAGCCCAAGGCTCAAACTATGCTAAGCCATGTAACTAACCATTATCTGAAAAGTTTATTTTGACTTTTGGCACACAATAAAACTACAAAAATTTCTTTGTTGGGTCCAACTGTGCCGATAATCTGCTGATACACATGAGTGCAGTCATTCTGGTTGATTAGTTGTTTATGGTTAGTATCATAAACATACTGCTGTGTTATAATGACTGTAAAGTAACATAATTCTTGGTCTGATGTACTGTTCACACAGTTTAATATTCTTATGAAAAAGTTTTTCAAACTGAAGTGTTTCAATTGACATTTTTTCAAGGTTTTGTGTTATCTTTAAGAATATGGCATGGGAGGAGGAGCCAAGATGGCCGAATAGGAACAGCTCCGGTCTACAGCTCCCAGCGTGAGCGACGCAGAAGACGGGTGATTTCTGCATTTCCATCTGAGGTACCGGGTTCATCTCACTAGGGACTGCCAGACAGTGGGCGCAGGCCAGTGTGTGTGCGCACCGTGCACGAGCCGAAGCAGGGCGAGGCATTGCCTCACTTGGGAAGCGCAAGGGGTCAGGGAGTTCCCTTTCCGAGTCAAAGAAAGGGGTGACGGACGCACCTGGAAAATCGGGTCACTCCCACCCGAATATTGCGCTTTTCAGACCGGCTTAAGAAACGGCGCACCACGAGACTATATCCCACACCTGGCTCAGAGGGTCCTACGCCCACGGAGTCTCGCTGATTGCTAGCACAGCAGTCTGAGATCAAACTGCAAGGCGGCAACGAGGCTGGGGGAGGGGCGCCCGCCATTGCCCAGGCTTGATTAGGTAAACAAAGCAGCCGGGAAGCTCGACCTGGGTGGAGCCCACCACAGCTCAAGGAGGCCTGCCTGCCTCTGTAGGCTCCACCTCTGGGGGCAGGGCACAGACAAACAAAAAGACAGCAGTAACCTCTGCAGACTTAAGTGTCCCTGTCTGACAGCTTTGAAGAGAGCAGTGGTTCTCCCAGCACGCAGCTGGAGATCTGAGAACGGGCAGACTGCCTCCTCAAGTGGGTCCCTGACCCCTGACCCCCGAGCAGCCTAACTGGGAGGCACCCCCCAGCAGGGGCACACTGACACCTCACACGGCAGGGTATTCCAACAGACCTGCAGCTGAGGGTCCTGTCTGTTAGAAGGAAAACTAACAACCAGAAAGGACATCTACACCGAAAACCCATCTGTACATCACCATCATCAAAGACCAAAAGTAGATAAAACCACAAAGATGGGGAAAAAACAGAACAGAAAAACTGGAAACTCTAAAACGCAGAGCGCCTCTCCTCCTCCAAAGGAACGCAGTTCCTCACCAGCAACAGAACAAAGCTGGATGGAGAATGATTTTGACGAGCTGAGAGAAGAAGGCTTCAGACGATCAAATTACTCTGAGCTACGGGAGGACATTCAAACCAAAGGCAAAGAAGTTGAAAACTTTGAAAAAAATTTAGAAGAATGTATAACTAGAATAACCAATACAGAGAAGTGCTTAAAGCAGCTGATGGAGCTGAAAACCAAGGCTCGAGAACTACGTGAAGAATGCAGAAGCCTCAGGAGCCGATGCGATCAACTGGAAGAAAGGGTATCAGCGATGGAAGATGAAATGAATGAAATGAAGTGAGAAGGGAAGTTTAGAGAAAAAAGAATAAAAAGAAATGAGCAAAGCCTCCAAGAAATATGGGACTATGTGAAAAGACCAAATCTACGTCTGATTGGTGTACCTGAAAGTGATGGGGAGAATGGAACCAAGTTGGAAAACACTTTGCAGGATATTATCCAGGAGAACTTCCCCAATCTAGCAAGGCAGGCCAATGTTCAGATTCAGGAAATACAGAGAACGCCACAAAGATACTCCTCGAGAAGAGCAACTCCAAGACGCATAATTGTCAGATTCACCAAAGATGAAATGAAGGAAAAAATGTTAAGGGCAGCCAGAGAGAAAGGTCGGGTTACCCTCAAAGGGAAGCCCATCAGGCTAACAGCGGATCTCTTGGCAGAAACCCTACAAGCCAGAAGAGAGTGGGGGCCAATATTGGGGGGCCAATATTCAACATTCTTAAAGAAAAGAATTTTCAACCCAGAATTTCATATCCAGCCAAACTAAGCTTCATAAGTGAAGGAGAAATAAAATACTTTACAGACAAGCAAATGCTGAGAGATTTTGTCACCACCAGGCCTGCCTTACAAGAGCTCCTGAAGGAAGCACTAAACATGGAAAGGAACAACCGGTACCAGCCGCTGCAAAATCATGCCAAAATGTAAAGACCATCGAGACTAGGAAGAAACTGCATCAACTAACGAGCAAAATAACCAGCTAACATCATAATGACAGGATCAAATTCACACATAACAATATTAACTTTAAATGTCAATGGACTAAATGCTCCAATTAAGACACAGACTGGCAAATTGGATAAAGAGTCAAGACCCATCAGTGTGCTGTATTCAGGAAACCATCTCACGTGCAGAGACACACATAGGCTCAAAATAAAAGGATGGAGGAAGATCTGCCAAGCAAATGGAAAACAAAAAAAGGCAGGGGTTGCAAACCTAGTCTCTAATAAAACAGGCTTTAAACCAACAAAGATCAAAAGAGACAAAGAAGGCCATTACATAATGGTAAAGGGATCAATTCAACAAGAAGAGCTAACTATCCTAAATATATATGCACCCAATACAGGAGCAACAAGATTCATAAAGCAAGTCCTTAGAGACCTACAAAGAGACTTAGACTCCCACACATTAATAATGGGAGACTTTAACACCCCACTGTCAATATTAGACAGATCAACGAGACAGAAAGTCAACAAGGATACCCAGGAATTGAACTCAGCTCTGCACCAAGTGGACCTAATAGACATCTACAGAACTCTCCACCCCAAATCAACAGAATATACATTTTTTTCAGCACCACACCACACCTATTCCAAAATTGACCACATACTGGGAAGTAAAGCTCTCCTCAGCAAATGTAAAAGAACAGAAATTATAACAAACTATCTCTCAGACCACAGTGCAATCAAACTAGAACTCAGGATTAAGGATCTCACTCAAAACTGCTCAACTACATGGAAACTGAACAACCTGCTCCTGAATGACTACTGGGCACATAACGAAATGAAGGCAGAAACAAAGATGTTCTTTGAAACCAACGAGAACAAAGACACAACATACCAGAATCTCTGGGACCCATTCAAAGCAGTGTGTAGAGGGAAATTTATAGCACTAAATGCCCACAAGAGACAGCAGGAAAGATCCAAAATTGACACCCTAACACCACAATTAAAAGAACTAGAAAAGCAAGAGCAAACACATTCAAAAGCTAGCAGAAGGCAAGAAATAACTAAAATCAGAGCAGAACTGAAGGAAATAGAGACACAAAAAACACTTCAAAAAATTAATGAATCCAGGAGCTGGGTGTTTGAAAGGATCAACAAAATTGATAGACCACTAGCAAGACTAATAAAGAAAAAAAGAGAGAAGAATCAAATAGACGCAATAAAAAATGATAACGGGGATATCACCACCGATCCCACAGAAATACAAACTACCATCAGAGAATACTACAAACACCTCTACACAAATAAACTAGAAAATCTAGAAGAAATGGATAAATTCCTGGACACATACACTCTCCCAAGACTAAACCAGGAAGAAGTTGAATCTCTGAATAGACCAATAACAGGAGCTGAAATTGTGGCAATAATCAATAGCTTACCAACCAAAAAGAGTCCAGGACCAGATGGATTCACAGCCGAATTCCACCAGAGGTACAAGGAGGAACTGGTACCATTCCTTTTGAAACTATTCCAATCAGTAGAAAAAGAGAGAATCCTCCCTAACTCATTTTATGAGGCCAGCATCATTCTGATACCAAAGCCAGGCAGAGACACAACAAAAAGAATTTTAGACCAATATCCTTGATGAACATTGCTGCAAAAATCCTCAGTAAAATACTGGCAAAACAAATCCAGCAGCACATCAAAAAGCTTATCCACCACGATCAAGTGGGCTTCATCCCTGGGATGCAAGGCTTGTTCAACATATGCAAATCAATAAAAGTAATCCATCACATAAACAGAACCAATGGCAAAAACCACATGATTATCTCAATAGATGCAGAAAAAGCCTTTGACAAAATTCAACAACCCTTCATGCTAAAAACTCTCAATAAATTAGGTATTGATGGGACCTATTTCAAAATAATAAGAGCTATCTATGACAAACCCACAGCCAATATCATACAGAATGGGCAAAAACTGGAAGCATTCCCTTTGAAAACTGGCACAAGACAGGGGATGCCCTCTCTCACCACTCCTATTCAACATAGTGTTGAAAGTTCTGGCCAGGGCAATTAGGCAGGAGAAGGAAATAAAGGGTATTCAATTAGGAAAAGAGGAAGTCAAATTGTCCCTGTTTGCAGATGACATGATTGTATATCTAGAAAACCCCATTGTCTCAGCCCAAAATCTCCTTAAGCTGATAAGCAACTTCAGCAAAGTCTCAGGATACAAAATCAATGTACAAAAATCACAAGCATTCTTATACACCAATAACAGACAAACAGAGAGCCAAATCATGAGTGAACTCCCATTCACAATTGCTTCAAAGAGAATAAAATACCTAGGAATCCAACTTACAAGGGATGTGAAGGACCTCTTCAAGGAGAACTACAAACACTGCTCAAGGAAATAAAAGAGGATACAAACAAATGGAAGAACATTCCATGCTCATGGGTAGGAAGAATCAATATCGTGAAAATGGCCATACTGCCCAAGGTAATTTACAGATTCAATGCGATCCCCATCAAGCTACCAATGACTTTCTTCACAGAATTGGAAAAAACTACTTTAAAGTTCATATGGAACCAAAAAAGAGCCCGCATTGCCAAGTCAATCCTAAGCCAGAAGAACAAAGCTGGAGGCATCACACTACCTGACTTCAAACTATACTACAAGGCTACAGTAACCAAAACAGCATGGTACTGGTACCAAAACAGAGATATAGATCAATGGAACAGAACAGAGCCCTCAGAAATAACGCCGCATATCTACAACTATCTGGTCTTTGACAAACCTGAGAAAAACAAGCAATGGGGAAAGGATTCCCTATTTAATAAATGGTGCCGGGAAAACTGGCTAGCCATATGTAGAAAGCTGTAACTGGATCCCTTCCTGACACCTCATACAAAAATCAATTCAAGATGGATTAAAGACTTAAACGTTAGACCTAAAACCATAAAAACCCTAGAAGAAAACCTAGGCATTACCATTCAGGACATAGGCATGGGCAAGGACTTCATGTCCAAAACACCAAAAGCAATGGCAACAAAAGCCAAAATTGACAAATGGGATCTAATTAAACTAAAGAGCTTCTGCACAGCAAAAGAAACTACCATCAGAGTGAACAGGCAACCTACAACATGGGAGAAAATTTTCGCAACCTACTCATCTGACAAAGGGCTAATATCCAGAATCTACAATGAACTCAAACAAATGTACAAGGAAAAAACAAACAACCCCATCAAAAAGTGGGCGAAGGACATGAACAGACACTTCTCAAAAGAAGACATTTATGCAGCCAAAAAACACATGAAGAAATGCTCATCATCACTGGCCATCAGAGAAATGCAAATCAAAACCACTATGAGATATCATCTCACACCAGTTAGAATGGCAATCATTAAAAAGTCAGGAAACAACAGGTGCTGGAGAGGATGTGGAGAAATAGGAACACTTTTACACTGTTGGTGGGACTGTAAACTAGTTCAACCATTGTGGAAGTCAGTGTGGCGATTCCTCAGGGATCTAGAACTAGAAATACCATTTGACCCAGCCATCCCATTACTGGGTATATACCCAAAGGACTATAAATCATGCTGCTATAAAGACACATCACACGTATGTTTATTGCGGCACTATTCACAATAGCAAAGACTTGGAACCAACCCAAATGTCCAACAATGATAGACTGGATTAAGAAAATGTGGCACATATACACCATGGAATACTATGCAGCCATAAAAAATGATGAGTTCATGTCCTTTGTAGGGACATGGATGAAATTGGAAACCATCATTCTCAGTAAACTATCGCAAGAACAAAAAACCAAACACCACATATTCTCACTCATAGGTGGGAATTGAACAATGAGATCACATGGACACAGGAAGGGGAATATCACACTCTGGGGACTGTGGTGGGGTCGGGGGAGGGGGGAGGGATAGCATTGGGAGATATACCTAATGCTAGATGACACGTTAGTGGGTGCAGCGCACCAGCATGGCACATGTATACATATGTAACTAACCTGCACAATGTGCACATGTACCCTAAAACTTAGAGTATAATAAAAAAAAAAAAAATTAAAAAAAAAAAAATATGGCATTTACCACACAACTTCCCACTGTTTGATTCATTCATGTATTTATTGATTTATCAAACATTTAATGAGTAACTATACTGGACACTGGGCTCTCACACACTAGTGGAAAAGAGAGAATGTGAGCAAATATTTTAAGTGCAAAGATATGTGATAATAAGACATGCATTATGCATATATAATTTTTTGCACTCAGGTAAGTACAAACATTTGGTGAACTCTTTGATTTTTAGCTTACATGATTACTTTGCTGGAAATGATCACCATAAGTTTACTGACTATTTTGCGAAATATCTCTTCATTTTATTTCTATTATATTCACTAATCACTGTTTGAACAGGTTCACACAAAGTTGAAGGTTTAAGCCATTTGTTGTATTCACTCAGTAACAATTCTTTTCTAGGTTAAATGCATTTTCATTAACCTCTTGTTTGAAGATTTGTTTCATTTGCTAATATACAAATAGGTTTTCTGAAGATCTTTTTATAGGTTATTATTATTCATGTGCTGTTGCACTGACCCAAAAACCTGAGGGTTATCAGCAACTGAAAATTTTATTTGTTCACTTTATTTTTAATATTATGGCTATAGCTTGTGCGTATGTGTTTGTGCAGGCAATTTTATAATGTTTTCTAGAAAAATCTAATTAACTTCTATTAAGTTGTTTTAATGTATAAAAGACTATTCTTTTTTTTTTTTAAATGTCCAAGTCAGTCTTGTTTTTATAAGAAGTACCTTTCCATTCCCCTACTTTGCCCAGTGTCCTGGTGATTTTCTTCTACTAAGCCAATTAACCTTGTTGTAGAGTTATTTTTCCCATATATCTAGCCCTCCTGAGTCTAGCAGATTACCGAGCCACATTTTCCATTACAGAAACCAAATTCCTTTCCATAGATGTGCAGATTTCAAAATAATCTCTCTTCATTTAAATATACACATGGACAGCTAATACTCAAATATCTAATACATACAAGGAATTATGAAATCTTGTGCTGTCTCATAAAAAAAGGTACCAATAAACTTAAATTTTGAAGGAATTCTTGAGAAATCATCGTTTGTCCCACGTAGAGACAGATAGGAAAAATTAAATTATGGAGGAACTATTTACAATGGATTCTGAAGGTTGGCTATTTGACATTCAGAGATCATCAAAGACTAGATAAAGGACAATGTCATAAACAAAGACACTGAGGAAGGTATCCAGAGGAGGATTCTTGGGTACGGGGAAAATTTATTTTGGCAGGAGTATAGAATAAGACCGAAATTTCCAGTGGAGAGTAGCTTAATTAGGGGCATACTATAGAAAACCTTTTATGTAAAACTGGCAAAATCTTATTTTTTTAAAATCTGGTCAATTGGAAGACAATTAAAGTTTTGGATCATATTAATAAAACATTGTACAATTATCTGTATTTTCTAAGTTTATATGAAAAGAAAGTGCTATTTATTAAAAGGAGATACAATATCAATTATTAAATAATTTGCATTTATGAAGTCAAATATAAATAAATATGAAGCAGTATTCTGAGACAAAACAAATGTTAGAGTTAATGGGTATGTATGTACACGGCTAAGAATTAATAACAGAAGGAAAATGCATTGTCATAAAATATTATGCACAAAACCAAGAAAACAGCAGCTTTTGGACTATTTCATACAATGTGATAGAAAACCACAGAACACAAGGGAGAAGGGGATAATTGTAAATGAGAGAGGGATAAGGAAAGACAGATTTCAGGGATTTCATGAAAATAGATTTTGATGTGTTAGGCAATAGTGAATCTAGTTAGTATTTTGAAGGCATAACAGAAGACCGAACTTCATTTCATATGTTGACTTGCTCAAATACATGTGTGAATTCAAATAGTTCTGACTTAGCGTGAAAACTGCAAGTTGAAAACATTCCAAGCTGTCTGTAGTTTCATGGCTCCAGATTCACTCAGAAATAATAATGGGGGTTATCTCATTGTAATAGAAAATGAAAGAAGATAGGTGGTACCGAGGTAACAAGAGATTCTTCATTATTCACTGAAGTTTGTAATTACGCTTGAAAAGAGATGCTTTTATTCTACAGACTCTCCTTTCTTGGCACAGCCATGCCCTTTTCTTGGATCTAAGGTACTTGAGATTAACAAAGATGAATGTGACCTCATTTTGAAACTTCACTGATGTGCATTCTGCTCACAAATTTTTATGTAGTCTGACAAATCTCACTTCTGAAAATCTGAGTTATTTTAACATATATCATTTTATTTTATCTCCATCTGACAGATTTTTTAAAATGTTCATTCTTTAATTGGCATGTGGCCCAAATAAGTTGTACGAAAAAATAATAGAGAAGATCTTCAGAGTTTTTAATTAGGTCAAGACAATTTTCTCTTCTTTTTCTTAAGCCAAGGGCATCATTATTAGAAAGTGCCTAATGTGATACAGGATTTCAAAAGCAGCACAATCAATGACTTTTCCATTGTCATGAAATAATAGGACTGAAGCTTAATTATATTTCAAAAATGAGAAGCAGAAAAATTTTAAGCCTTTTATCACAGGTTTTCTGAGGTTAAAATTTATAAAAGTAGAGATAACAATCAGTAGATTTTCTGTTTCGTGTACATTGTAGACTCATCAGCCCTTTGCTGTACATGGCCTTAATGTTGTGATAGCTTGATATTGTGAAGTCATTATGACTTCAAATATGTACGTTATTTTATTTTAAATATTTTTTCTGTCTCTTTATACGCACAGAAAGCTTAATTTACCTGAAATATTTTTCACTATACTGCTTTCAACATTGCATTTTGTTATATTTCCTTTACTGTAGAAAGTTGCAAACGATAGATACTGTAAAAGTTATATTTGTCTAAATTTCAGTTCATTAAAAATAATGTTCTGAATTTAGGTAATTTAAAGCTCTAGTGACAGGCTGTTGTCTTTGAACACTGGTAGAATCACTATAATAAAATCATGTATAGAGACTTGTTGTTTAAATGTACTCTTACCTACAGTATCTCATGTGTTCTCCTCACTATATATTACAGATTTTGGAGCCAATGTTACTTATTCCTGTTATATAGATATATAGATATAGAAATTGGGACTGACAATATTAAATGCTATGCCATGACTATACAACATGATTAGTAAGTCCGTGTCTGTATGTATGCGTGTGTTTAACAGAAGTGGTGAAAAACACCGAATACCTTAAGACTTGAAACCAGTCCATATGATATTTGCCTGTGAACATTTCGATCCAGATAGAGATCAATCGTTTTTGGGGGGAGAAATGAGAAGAGAAATCGAGACTCTGATCTAAAGAGAAAAGCCTGGTGAGAATTTTCTGTGTAGAACAAAGACAAGCCTATCTGCTAAACAGCACTGCAGCTAGAGCTGATTCTTTCAAAGGGTGACATTTCTCAAGAGGCAGAAAGAAAGCAGAAGTTTGCCCCTCTGCTTTATTACGTAGATTAAGTGTAACTCCTCCCACAAGAAAAGGAAGAAAAGAAGAAATTCAGAAAGAAAGAAAAAGAAGGAGAGAGAGAGAAGAAGGAAGGAAGGAAGGAAAGGAAGGAAAGGAAGGAAAGGAAGGGGCATCAGATTCCATCTGCCTTGCCACTCCCACCTAACTTCCTCCTACCCCACTGTTTCCAACTCCTGTGAATTTCTCTGGCTTCTCTATAGACACAGGCAGCAGACAGTTCCTTCCTTCCATTTCTAGAATCATAAAGTAATATCTTAAAAGCGGACTGTAGTTTCCAAAAGGAAAGCTGTTATAATTAAAATAGCATTCCTTAAGATTTTGATAAAATATAAAAACAACTATAAACGTCCATAATTTTAAATGTTGAAATAATGATTCAAACCCATAAAAATAAGAACATATAAATACATATCTATATTATAGATATGCATTTATTTTGAGAGGATCCAAAATAAAATCAAATGTTTAAAAATGTTTATTTTGTATTATGTGTTTATTTTTTATGGTTCTATATACATAATTATTAACAATTAGACAAACAAAATTCAGAGAAATAAGCAAAAATGTCTTCATAAAAGTTGCCACTTTTATTATTAAATGAACCTCAAAATTCTGTGTTTGTTTAAAAGACTTATTAAACAAAACATGAATCAAAAGATAAAATAATAAAAATATTTTATTTTAGTCTCACATTGCCCTTTAAAATCCTAAGTGCTCAATAAATTCTTAACTTTAAATGATAACATGCACAAGCCTATTGAGTCTTTTGTTCACTCTAAGGTAATATCATATGGTTACTTTAAAAAGCAAAATTGTCCCAATTCAATAATTAAAAATGCATACTGCTATGTAATAATCAAAATTTGAAAGTGATTTAACATTAAGTCATCTTATCTGTACATGAGGCTGAAAGTTGGCTGCAGGCTCCTCTCTTGCAGAAGCTTCTTGATCAGACTCACATCACTTTTAAGTGACCCCAAGCTCCAATTTATCTGCTATCCTGGTCGCTCTAGTGAGTCTCTCCACTTTCAGTTTACTAAGAAGTGAGTCACATCTCACACTGTGTCTAGTGGTTGTACAAAACAAATTTCCATAGAAACCCTGCTCAGCTGACTTGAGGTGAAGGACCGTTTACTCCCTCCTACCCTCCAAAGTAATCCTCAAGGTATTTCAAACAATTCCCCCTCAAAACCCCCAAACTCTCCAGGCTCAAAAATCCTATCCTTACATAATCTCCATGCTAGTGAGTTTTTTTTAACAGGTTTGTGGCCACTTTGTATAAAATTTTCCATTGTTATCTGTTTTACCATTCACTTTGAAATGTAGTGGCATCTATTGCCTCCATAAGTTAGCTGAAATTGGGTTGGAAGAATTTCATGTTAACTTGTTATGTACATATAAACAGATATAGAAATAATCGTAGTAAAATAAAGTAGAGCATCTATTGGTTTTAAACAAAACATTTTTTAATGTTTATAAATAATTTTAAAAACATTAAAAGGCATTGAAATGTTAGAAAAAGAAATGTTATGCTTTGTAGGTTGATACTATACATCCCCTATATTTTCAAGAGCTCTAATTTTACTTTTGACATTTTCCTTTTTCAGAAATCATGTTTATTCTTAACTTTGATGTAAGGAACATTTCAAATAAATTTGGAGCGTGTGCATGCATGTGTATCCTCCCTAGAGTCAACAATTGTTACTATTTTACTATACTTTATCTAACTTTTTTTTTTAACCATTTAAAAGTCAGTTGCAAATTTCTACCAGATCCAGGGTATGGAATACCCTAGAAGTCTTCATTCTCTCTTTCTCAAGCCTCAGCTCTTTGTCATGTTTTCTTACCAGAACAGCCTTGCCAAAGGCTTATGTCACTTCCAGAATTGTAAAATTATGGACATTGGTGCTGCTGCTGCCCCTATTACAGTCTGAAGATTCCCAATACACCGGTCCCTGCAGGAAGAGGCCCTGCAACTACTCCTTGGCCAAATGGGACTAAAAAGACTCTGGCTTCACCATATGCTACATGGTGGTCAGGTGTTACAACCTGGAAATTTGGCAGCTAAGATTCATAGGATTGACTTTGATAATGGGACACAGGAGTGGAAAGGAAGAAGCAAATGACAGATTGCTTTTCCTCCCTCTTTTCCCGCCTCACAGACAGAAGATGCAGTAGATTTGCAGCCTCTCTGGAAGAGGCTGTGAAGCCTAATGACCATTTGTGAAACTGTGGCCAATTCAAGATCACAGCCTCTAGTAATTGTTCTCCCTCTTTTTCTGCCTTGCTTCCCCATTCCTCTCATGCTTGCTTCTCTCAAATTTTCCCCCACACCCCTTATTAAGTGTTAGCACACATACTTTTTTTCTCAGGCTCTGCTTTTTTAGAAGTTGGTACAGTTGGTACCAGGAATATCAGTCACTAGAAAATAGACCCTTGGAGCTGGATTTTGTAGTTGGGTTGCTTTTCAGTTTGAATGCAGTTGAAATCACATTGTTCTTGGTAAAAGGAAGGTCATGATCCTGATATGCAGTGACATCATTATGATATAGATGTGAAAAATATGTAGTGAGAGATAAGTGGCTGCTACTTGTAACTTGCCTGGCACAATTATAATTTCAAAGACACAGATGTAGAGTGACATTTTCTGATGGCAATGAAAGTCTTCAAAAGACAGTGACAGGTAAATGGCAGCTGCTGTCAACTTAAAGGCATACAGTGAAAGCTGGAGGGCTTCTGTGGCAGCTTAAAGGAGAGTCACATAAAGGAGAGCCACATCTCGTTGCTGTCTCTGAGCAACTGTACTCCTGGAGTGCTACCAGGCCCTAACAGAGACTGAGCAGCTGAACATGGGACACCTAGTGGCTGTGGGCAGGAGCAGCCAATGATCAGCTTGTTCTCAGATGAATTGAGTCAGATATTTTGCAGGAGTAGAAACAGCAACAATCCATTAGAAAATAGAAATGGAACATGAGGGATCAGACTCAAGTCTGTCCAGATAGCATGAAAAAATTAGATGAATCAATGTCCTGGATTCTCTTGTCACCTACGTGTATTGCTCCCTGAACAAACACTGGCCTCTTAGGACATCCTCTATGATCAACTGCACTGGAGGAAGGGACTTGGGCCAGGCTCACAGATGAATAGATGCAATATGTTGGTGCCACCAAAGAAAAGGCTGCTGGTATATTAAGCTGCACTCATTGCCATGTAGGGTGGCAGTGAGAGAAAATCCTCCAAATTGCAGAGCTGGCAGCAGTACACTGGGTCACCCAGCTAATATGGAGAGAGGTGGCCTGAGGTAGAGATAAGGACTGACTCCTCAGCTGTGATGGATAACTGAGGAAATTTGTCAGAAGCATAGAAAAATAACACTAGAAGCTCAGGGAATGTATCCCTGATACATACATGTGTGGATAAACTTGAAAATGGGAACAACCTGTACTGATCTTTATGTCTTATTTTAGTGGCCACAAGTGAGCATTTATGAAAACCTAAAAACCAGGTAGACAGGAAGACTCATCTAATGGACATCAAACGTCCTTCCACCTTGGCTATCCATGAAGAAATATATGGATTATCCTACCAATAGAGTCCTCTTTAGCAAGATTGAGGTAGTTGTTTTCACTACTGAATTCCCAAGTAACTGGAATTGGAAACTAATTTTTCCCCCTTGAGGCTTTCTCAGCAACACCTGCTACTCATCTTGGGGCAGAACAGTTACTTTGAATCTCTTCCATTCTGGAGTATATCCTTATTGAAATAACTATCTACTCTAGTTTTGGGCTATTCTTCTGTGACTTTGAAACATTGAGCAGTATTACCATTAGAAGGTTTTACACCATGACAGACACATCCATATTATATCCCATAGAAAACTGCCTCAGATCAAAGGGCTTGTTAATGGCAAAGGAGAAGCAATAGTTGACTCACAATATGAGATTTACTGATTTTACCACATTACACTAAATCCCAGAAACAGGTGGCTTGAACAAATGATGAAATGGCCTGTTGATGGTACAGCTAAGATTCCAACCTCAGGTAACACTTTGCCTTTTTAGAGTATAGTCATAGAGATTGTGGTATATGAACTCACTCAATAGCAAATGCATAGAGCTATGTGTTCTCAAAAGCAAGAAACACTAGCTTGATGATCAAGGAATACAATTAACATTGCCTCTTCCTATCATCACACTTTGTCACTTGGTCTCTTTGAAATGTAAGCTCTGCTAAATTAGAAGTTCTGATTCACAAGTGTGGGTAGTATATTTCTACTGCAAGACACAGTAAGAATTCTACTAATTGGAAAATTTCACTGTTAACTGACTACTTTTGAAGTTTTTATCCTATTGAGTTATCGGACAATGATATGAGTAGTAGAACTGGCTAGAGAAATCAATCCTCATTATCAAGAGAAACTGGTTGCCCATGCAAAATTAATCAGAAAAGAGTGTTCCTGGAGTCCATTGGACTTACTTGGAATATGATCAGTGATTAATCTAAATAGGGAGCTATAAAAACTGTGTATCTTTAACAGAGTTAAGAGTTTGGAATATTTGGGGAAGGATCACTAGAACACTTGGCAGGTAAGCAACCTAGAACACATGAAAATCTGGAGAAATGTAATTAAACTCTAGAATAAGTGATAAAAATGGGAAGTGAAAAATATCAATTTTGCTTCACAGTCACCTGCAGCATGAGGATAATAGATTTGTTTGCTAACACTCCTTGAATGCAATTTTTGGTGATTGCAACTACCCTTCACCTTGAAAGATTGAATATTCATCTCCCTTCCAAAAAGAAGTGAGAGGGTCTTGATCGCATGGAATGTATAGTCACTGCAAAATTATGTGAGACATTCTTAGTAGCATGAGCAGAGGATCATACCAGGCCCAAATTATGTTCCACGCCAGATCTGCTTGGCTCCTCCCACTATCCCCCCAACCACCTCCAGCCTGGCTGCTTGTCTTGCTTCCTAGTCAGCGTAAAGGTTACAAGTTTCCTGACTGTTTTAGTGGTAGGATTCCAGTTTATGTTGCTGGTATTGCTTCCATCAGATACCAGAGAACCCAATGTGTTCTACCTAGTGACAGAAGAAATCCATGACCAGGGCCTGGCTGGACTGGACAAACAAGAGTATTTTCCTTCAGGAAGAGCTGTCTGATGGGGCCATGAAACACAACGTGAACAGAGTTAACTCCATATGGGTTGAATTTTGACCCATACGATATAAGAGATTAGAGATAGGAAGAAGTAATAGATAGATAGCTTGCCATCTAATACCCAAAGGGTCTATTCCAGGAAACTAGTTTCATGCAGTCTCTCTGCACATTTCCTACAAAACAGGCCAAACAGCCTTGTTTTTTTTTGTTTGTTTTGTTTTTGCAAAGCTGTGTTTCTAATATTTAATCTACTCTCTTAATTTTGCATGTCCTCCCTGCTAGCTTGCATTTATCCTCATGCTCATCAGCTTCTGTCTCAGCTTCTGTTTTCTAGAAAACATGGGCTAAGACAAGTACCATGACTCGTAAGCATACATCTCTAGAAATAAAGACATTCTTCTGCATAACCACAGTACCATTATTACAGCATCAAAGATGAGTCATAATTCCATAATTTAATTGCATATCTCTTTGGATATCTTTTCAAGTATTCATTTTGAATCAGAATACAACCAGTGTTTGCACATTGCATTGGGTTATTGTGATGATTTAATTTTTCATCTAAAATACAACCTACATCTTTTTATGGAATTGAATGTTGAAATATCCAAGCTAGTATTTTTTATTGCTTCCTCAAATTGTCATTTAAGTTGTTACTCTGTCAACACTTGAGTAAGATGAGCTAAATATACAAGAGGCTTCCTTAGAATACCAGAATATGGAGGTCTTTATTCTTAAGTAATGGTATACCCACAGTAGTTTGCACAATTTTTCAATATTCAATATCAAACTATTCAATAAATGTATTTAGAGAATTCTTTAATTTTTACTTCTTGTTATTAAGACCACGTTTAGAGAGCTGACAATCCTTTATACAATCATTATTTCCTGTTTTTCGACCACATTTGTCATTCCTGCCTTTTACAAATGTCTTCAAATCTAAAGCATTTTCTAGTTTACTTTTTAAATTTCTCTCTCTCTCTTTCTGTGCGTGTATGTGTGTGTGTGTGTGTGTGTGTGTATGTGTGTATTGATGGCAAGTTCACTGTGTAACAGATAGTAACCTTTTACTGTAGTAAACATGGAGAATCTTCCAGTAGTAGATTTTTAGATGTACTCTATTTATTGTTAATATACTTTTATCTTTCTCAGATTGCAGAAACTTTTGATAAATTTTATGTTGCTGGATCAACTTCTATTCTCTTCATTGTTGTGGATTAATACATTGGTTTTGATTAATTTACTCTCATCTAATGACATCAAAAGGAAAGGTTAAAAATGTTGTTTATAAATATGTGGCCTCTAAACTGCATGTCACATTTGCTTGCACCCTTGGCACAAACATGCTCAATGGTCACACATCATTACAATGAATCCCAAGAATTGTCCAACTCCACCACACTGTGCAAGGAAAGCCAGGTTGTTCTATTTCAAGAAGAAAGAATAAAAGAATGAACCAGCATGGCACATGTATACATATGTAACTAACCTGCACAATGTGCACATGTACCCTAAAACTTAAAGTATAATAAACAAACAAACAAACAAACAAACAAACAAACAAACAAAAAAGGATTGTTCCAGGCACTAAGAAAAAAAAAAAAAAATGAATCAGGAAGAATAAAAGAATGAATCAGTAAGAATAAAAGAATGATTACTGCTTTCTTTAACACAGTTATTTCTTATTTTTAGAGAGCTTCTTGTCATGTCTAAAGATCCTACAGGAGGTTCCGTTTGTGGTTGTGTTCTATGTTTTTTACAGGACAATTATCCTATCACTGCATCATTTTGTTTGTATTCTCTATTATATTCTTTCTAGTTGCTTAAATCATATTATTTCTTATTTCCAACTTTACATTGAATTTCCTCATACTTTTCTTTAATGCCAGTAAAAATATTTTCAGAAATATTCTAATTTGCTTCTACTAATATATTTCTTAATTCTCTAATTTGTTATTTTGCAATCTATTTTTTTTTCTGAATTCAAACTCTCCTTTTTATCTTATTCTGTTGTTTTATCTTCTTATTCCAGGCTTCTAGATTTAATGAATACATTTTCTGTTTAAATTTTTCTAAGTGTACAACTTGTGGAAATTTAATTTCCCCCCCATCAATGTGCATTTTCTTTTACATCGGGCCTGTTTTCCAATTACTGAAACAGAAATTAATTAACTTTCAAATTTTAGTTTCATTTAATTAATGAAATTCTGTTACTTTAAAAATCGATCAAAGGGTACAAATCTTCAAAGTACTGGAGACATGATGTAAAGCATGGTGAGTATAATAAGAATAGTCATTATATAATTAATAATAATGTATGGTATACCTGAATTTTACTAAGGGTGGATCTCAAGTATTCTCCCTACAAAAATAAAAAAAATAATAAAAATAAAAGCAACCAACAAATGGTAACTATTGGGGTGATGGATATGTTCATATATGATTAGCTTAATTTTGGTAATCATTTTACAATATATAGAGAGATTAAAACATCAGAATTGATGGTAGGAAGAAGCAATGTTACTTCTATTTCTTGATCCTTAAACTAGTGTTTCTAGTTCTTGAGGGCACATTTTATACATTCGCTATTGACTGAGTTTATATACCACAACCTGTAAGATTATACTCCAATAGGCAAAGTGTTACCTGGAGTTGGAACCTTAGCTATATTATCAACAGGCCATTTCATCACTTTTTCAAGCCACCTGTTTCTGGGATTTAGTGTAACATGATAAAATCAGTGAATCTCATGTTGTCAGTCAATTATTGTATCTCCTCTGTCATTAACAAACCCTTTGATCTGAGGCAGTGCTCCATGAGACATAACATGAACATGTCTATCATTGTGTAAAACCCTCTAATGGTAAAGCTGCTCAGTGTTTCAAAGTCACAGAAGGAAAGCCCAAAACTGGAGTAGATATTTATTTCAACAAGGATATATTCCAGAATGGAAGGGATTCCAAGTAACTGATTGAGCCCAGCAGGGCTGTGCTCCCTGCTGTGACAGGGCAACACCAAGTTAAATTTAAAGTCCCCATAACTACACTCTCCCTCTCTCAAGGGCACACGCTCTCCCAGCTGCACAGCTGCTGCTAGGGAATGGAGGAGGGATGCTGTTGGTGATTCAAGACTGTCACTCCTGCCCTCTTCAATGTCTCTTTCAGTAATACAAGATTAAAAACAGGTACTATGTTTGCTCACCTGTTTTTTGGTTTTGTGATTGTGCTTTTTTGTGTGCAGATAGTTGTTAAAATTTGGTGTTCCTGCAAGGGGTGGAGGGGCAGTGAATGCTGTAAGCTTCTATTGCAGCATGTTGCTTTGTCCTCACAGTACAAATTATTTAATCAGAATTTTAAGTTTCTTCGAAAAACATTTTCTCAAGTAAGCCAAATTAAATCACTTTAATGCATAGACACTTATACAAGTTAACAACAGGTAAAACATCAGAATTTTCACTCTAAATATATAAAACTTTTATTTGTCAATCATACCTTAATAAACCTGGAAAAAATCACTCTTGCACTTCTCTATGCCGCACATTTTAGTGTTCTCAAAATTAATAAGGTAAGCTTTGTTCAAATCTTTAAATTGCCTCAACTTAATATGTGTGTTCCAACATGATATACCTCACAGTATAACTGAGAACTCTGTCTTGCCCTCTGAGTGACAGTGGGAAGACTAGGTGTTGTGCTTTATATATTTTGCTGCTGTGAAGTAGCAAGGATGAAATGGGAGGTGAAAGACCAGCAGGTGTTTTGTATTGTCTTTCTAACACAGTTGTACAGTACTGCTATGGGCTGAATAGGCAGTGGCCATCTACATGCCAATGAGAGAGACCTCAGAAGAAACCAACCTGCCTGACACCTTGATTTTGGATTTTTAGCTGCTGAAACTGTGAGAAAATAAAATTTTATTGTTAAGCCACCAGTCTGTGTACTTTACTATGTCAGCCCTAGCAAACAAATGCTTTCTGCTTTCTCTTTTGAGATTGTGTCAAATATCCTTTGCATTGTTTAATCAACCATATTGGATGTATTATCCTCCAATGAATGTGCACAGTCTTGTGATTTAGAAATTCAGCTCAATTCACTAAGGATAAATGAAAAAGTGATTTTTCTTGTCTTTGCTAAAATGTTGAATCCTGTCATAGGAACATCTCTTACAAAGGTTTTTTTTTTTTTTTTAATCGTTTTTGACAAGCCATCTATTCCTTTCTGTGTGCCTATGTTTATATTCAAAGGAATTTATTTTAATTTTCAGAATTTTGTGAATTAAATTGTGTTGCCTAATGCAACTCTTCTCAAACTTAAATATGTAGTGAGGACATAATTTTCTGTTGCCATCTTTTACAAATTTCAAATTAGAAGCACAATGTATTACTTTGTTGATTGCTGCTTTTAAAAGTTTTCTTAATTTAATTATTATGCTCATATTTTACCTGTTAGAAGCAGATAGCAGATAGTAGAATTTAACCAGAAATAAGCTACACACAGCATTTAAATACAACTTTATGACATCATAATCTTTACAGAAAATTATTAGTTATTTTTGCTACAGTTAATATTAAATATTAATTTACTTTAATACAGCCTTCCTAGAAGTTTGATATGAATGGAACATGATGGCGTACATATCATTTCTTTCAAATATCAACAGAGAGTGAACTAATATTTTTCCCACTTCAGAAAACAGAGGTGTTCACAATCATTCTACTGGCCTTAGAATTATATCTACACTAGTAAAGTTAATAAATCTTTCATTGTCAATATTGATGACAATGTTTATCCCAGTGAAAATCATTTATTTTTACAGTAAGGGTTGACCCAGGATCCTTTCTCTTTACCTCCTTTCAATTCCACAACGAATTCAAAGGTACAGGTGCCACTTTTCAGTACAAGGCCAAAGCAGCTCCACTAGCAAACAGTACAACCTTTTAAATATTTTTCAGTCATTGCATCTGCAAGCTTCCTGCTCTTAAAGTGTTTGCAATTTCACTACAAAGACATAGAAAACCTAGTATGTGATTAGCATGGAATCTTTATGAGAAGAGCTTTGAATACCCTGCACAGGTTCCTCTTAACCAGTGAAGAGGAATATCTTCACTATGCATCTTTCTTCTGGTGATGTTCAGATATTGGTGAAACTTCCCTTGAAAAAGAATCTTCAAGTTTTGATGTAATCAGATTTTGATTCACTTTTGTGCAAATAGATGATTTCCCCTCTTACTACTTGGAGGCAAAATATTTGGATATATTTTGGTCAATAAAGTCTAGGATATTTGAAAGAAATTGCTCATACATTTTTATAGATTTAATATGAAATAAATTAAAACATTCCTATTTTTATCCAATATATATACTGATACCTAAAACACCAATATCGATGTTAAATTACACACAAAAAGATCATTTGGTAGGCAACTTTAAAAACAGCAAAATTTGCCTTGGAAATATTAATAGGAATAATGGCTTTGATTCTTGGCAGTAATTCTATTTACTATTATTTGAATTGGGCACACATATGAACAGTGATAGGCACCTTCACTGAAGTTTATAAATAAAAATTATTCTTATTAAATAACTATAGTGATATAAAGTAGGAAAATTGAAAATATGTTTTAATCGTGTTGTTAAGTTGTATAAGTGTCTATGCATTAAAGTGATTTAATTTGGCTTACTTGAGAAAATGTTTTTTGAAGAAACTGAAAATTCCGATTAAATAATTTGTATTGCCAGGACAAAGCAACATGCTGCAATAGAAGCTTACAGCATTTATCCCCTCCCTACCCACTGCAGGAACATCAAATTTTAACAACTATCTGCACACAGAAAAGCACCATCACAGAACCAGAAATCAGGTGAGCAATCACAGTACCTGCTCTTAATCTTATATTGCTGCAAGAGACATTGAAGAGGGCAGGAGTGACAGTCTTGAATCGCTAACACCACCCCTCCTCCATCCCCTAGCAGCAGCTGTGTAGCTGGGAGACAGTCTGTGCACTTTGGGGAGGGAGAGTGTAGTTATGGGGAACTTTACATTGAACTCAGTGTTGCCCTGTCACAGCAGAGAGCACAGCCCTGCTGTGTTCAACCAGTGCCTGCACACAGAGGGAACATTTGGACCAGATGTAGCCAGAGGGGAATTGTCCATCCCGATGGTCGGAATCTGAGTTTGTTGGTAAGCCTTACTGCCATATGCCAAAATGCTCTGATTTCCTGCTCAGACTTGAAAGGCAGTCTAGGACCCAAGGACTACAATTCTTAGGCAACTCTTAGTGCTGTGCTGGGCTCAGAACCAGTGGACTAGGGTGGCATGTGATCTAGTGAGACACCAGCTGGGGCAGCTAAAGGAGTGCTTGCACCACCACTCCCCCCAAACCCAGAGGGAGTGCAGCTCTCAGCAACATAAGTGACACCTTCCTTCTGCTTAAGGAGAGGAGAACAAAGGGTAAAGAGGGTTTTGTCTTGCATCTTGGGTACCAGCTCAGCCACAGTAGAATAGAGCACCGGGAAAAGTTGTAAGGTCCCCGTTCCAGGCTCCAGCTCATGGATGATGTTTCTAGACACACCTTGGGCCAAAAGGAAATCCACAACCTTGAAGGGAACCCACAGTCTTAATGAATCATTAATGAACATCTGCTCATTGTAAATTATATATAAGGAAAAACTGAATATATATATACTTAAATATATACATACTTAAAATAAGCCAGCTTTCACTTATTCAGTTCTTTCCATGTGCAAAGTGTATTAGATATTATTACATAAGTAGGAAAGTTTTCCCAGTTTGCCACTTTTATCATTGCCTATATGAAAAACATTTAATAATTTTAAAAATCTCAATTGTGATAAAATACATCTAACATTAAATATACCATCTTAACTATTTTTAAGCATACAGTTTTGTAGTATTAAGTACAATTGGCATTGTTGTACAGCCAATCTCCAAAACTCTTGCAAAACTGAAACTATATCCCATTAAACAAAAATACTGTATTCCTCCTTACCAGACACTGGTAACTACCCTTCTACTTTCTGTCTTTATGAATTTGTCTACTCTACAGTATTTGTGTTTTTGTGACTGGCTTATTTCATGTAGTATTATGTCTTTAAGGTTCATCCATGTTATAGCATGCATTATAATTCTATTCATTTTTGAGCTTGAATAATATTGCATTGTATCTGTATGCCACATTTTTATGCATTATATCATTGACGCACTGTATCATGCATTTTGTTTATGCATTGAATCATTGATGAACATTTGTGTGGCTTTCATCTTTTAGCTGTTTACAATAATAATGCTGTAAACATGGGTAAAACCCAGTTTTCTATTATTTTGAGTATCGAGCCAGAAATCGAATTGATAGATGATACGGTCATTTTATTTTTGATTTTTTGGGAACTCCCAAATTCTAGACAATAGAATTTATTTTTGATTTTTTGGGAACTCCCCAAAAATCATAGCTGTACCATTTTACACTTATGCTAACAACACACAGAGGTTCCAATTTATCTATATCCTTATCAACACTTGTTGCTTTCTCTTTTATTAATTTACTTATTTGATAGTAGGCATAGTAATTGGTGGGAGGTCCTAGCTCATGGCAATTTGCATTTCTCTAATGGTTACTGGTGTTGAGCATCTCTTTGTGTGCTTGTTAACCAAGCTACTAAATTCATTTGTCCATTTTTAAACTCAGAGTTTTTGTTATTGTTGCTGTTGTTATTGAGTTGTAAGAATTTTTTATACTGAATCTTAACTTTTTATTGGATGTATGAATTACAAATATTTTCTCCCCTTCTCTATGTTACCTTTTCTTTGTATCATTTCCTTTAAGCACAAAAATTTTTAATTCTGATATTGATATTGTCCAATTTTATCTATTTTTACTTTTTTTCTTGTACTTTTTGTGTCATGTCCAAGGAATCATTGCTAAATCCATTGTCATATTTATTTTCCCTTAGGTTATTCTTCTGGGATTTTTATATTTTTAGCTCTTATGTTTAGGTCTTCCATCCAATTTGAGTTGATTTTTGTATAGAATTTAATGAAGGGTCTGCATTCATTCATTTGTATGTGACTATCCACTTTTCTGAGCACCATTTGTTTCACAGATTTTCTCATTTCTCCATTTAATGGTCTTCGCATCCTTATCAAAAATCACTTTACCATATATGAAAGGGCTTATTTCTGAGCTCTTTTGTCTATTCCAATTGGTCTATTTGTTGGTCTTTATGCTGTTACCACACTGTTTTGATCACTGGACTTTGTAGTAAGTTTTGAAAGAAGAAAGTATGAGACTTCCAGCTCTTTTCTTTTTTCCATGACTGTTTTGTCTATTTGAGGGTACCTTGAAATTTTATATGAGTTTTACTATGGATTTTTCTATTTTGTAAAAATTTCCATTGGGATTTTAATAGGGGTTGTATTAAATCTTTAGATTGCTTTGCATGGAATTGATATCTTAACAACATTAAACCTTCCAATCCACGAACCTGGCATGCATTTTCATTCATTTGCGTCTTCTGAAATTTCTTTTAGCAACATTTTAGTTTTTATTATACAAGTCTTTGACCTACTTGATTAAGTTTATTCCTAAGGATTTTATTCTTTTTGATGCTACTGTAAATGGAATTTTTAAAATAAATTTCCTTTTTGGGTTGTTCATTGTTAGTGTATATAAATACAACTGATTTAGTATATTAATTTTGTACCTTACAACTTTGCAAATCCACTTTCTGATTTGAACGGTTAAATAAAGACATCCATTGAGTGGACATCTTTGTCTTCTTTGTAATCTTAGGTGAAAAACTTTCAGTTTTTTACCATTGAGTATAATATTAGCTGTGGGATTTTCCTATATGGCTTTTTTATGTTGAGGCACCCTTCTATCCCAAATTTGTTCAGTGTTTTTATCATAAAAAGGTGTTGAAGTTTTTCAAATACTTTCAGATCAATAAAATGATTATGTGAGAGATTTTCAACCATTATATTAATGTGGTGAATTACACTGATTGATTTTTATATGTTGAGCCATCCTTGAGTTCCAGGAATAAATTCTACTTGGTCATAGTGTAAAAAGTCTTTTAATGTGCTGTTTAATTATATTTTCTAATATTTTTTTGAGAATTTTTGCATCAATACTTCTAAGAGATATTGTTCTGTAGTTTCATTTTCTTGTAGTGTTTTTGTCTAGCTTTGCTATCAGGAAAATGCTAAACTTTTTTAAGGATTTTTGGATAATGCTCCCTCCTCTTGAATTATTGAAGATTTTGAGGTGATTTGTGATAATATCTTTTTCAATGTTTGGTAGAATACACCAATGAAGTCATTTAAGACTGTGCTTTTCTTTGTTGTGAGACTTTAAATTACTAACTTAGTCTCCTTACTTGCTTTAGTTCTCTTCAAATTTTCTGTTTATGATTCAATCTTGTTAGGTTGTGTGTTTATAGGAAATTATAAATTTTATATAGGTTATCCAATTTGTTTTCAAGTAATTGTTCACAGTACTCTCTTAAAATTCCTTTTATTTCTGTAAAATCAGCTGTGATGTCTTTTTCGTTCCTGAATATAGTTAGTTGTCTTCTCTTTTTCTTAGTCAATATACGAAAAGTTTTAGCAATTTTGTTGAGTTTTTTTTGAATAAGCATCTCTTGGTTTTACTGAGGTTTAGCCATACACAGCATAGACTGAATCCTACTCTCAAGCTAAAAGGTGTATAACCAGGAAACACATCTGGTACTATTCCTTTCATGCCAGGAGTGTCTTCTGCCTCTTCCAGAATTTGTATACTTTTGATTTTTCTCCAGTGCCTTTAGGTAGTGTGTGTGTATAGAAATTTTTCCAAAATGTTTAGCTGTTGTATGTGGGTGAATTTGTCCAATGGTATCTACTCAACTACAACAAAAAGGGAAAATTCACTTGTCAAATTTTGCTGCTAATTGGATTTATCAAGGAAAACTTCCTAAGGAATAGAAAATCCTATGCTTGTTTTTCACATACATCAGGCTTCTAGACTTTATAATATACTATATAATATAACCATTAAATTTGGGGATTTGGGATGTTTTGATTTAATGTGCGTTTGATTGATGTCAATAAATTTACCCAGAGTGTAGTCACTATGCAGAAAAACTGACTTTTAAATTTTAGCTCTGCACCTCTAAAAAGATACCAGGAGGCATTCTTGATTGGATATTAGCCAATCATTGAAACTTTAGTATCTTTCTTTATGCATATGAGACATAGAACCATAGAGTACAAACTTTCACAGCTGTTGAGACAATGCAGTAATGAAGTAATAAAAAATGTACTAGACAATAGAATTCATAAACAGAAGACTCACCTAAAAAAAAAAAAAGACAGTAAAGATCTCATGGTCAGGTAGTAGAATATCAAATAGAGTTAAGAAGGGACATTCTTATTCTCATAAGAATTTTCACCCATTAGAGTTGTGATAGGAGCATTAGATTTAGTATGTTATGATTCTTGCTAGCAATTTTGGAGTCCTTGTGTTAGTAAATATACAGCTGATTTAACAAATATATCTATAACACCAGTTCAAAGAAAACTGGGACAATTCTTAGACTAGATACAAATCATGAATCTGCTGACAAAATTGTTGAATAGCAAGAGGGTGAACTTATGTTAACCAGCATTGGTTATTTGTATATTCTACACATTTACATGATTCTTACAGTTACAGACTACTTTGCTTATTATCTGAATTGTACCTATGGTATTTATTTGGCATGTTAGGCTTCTATGCTTAATGAGATTTTAACACCCAGGTACCAGCGCAAAATTACATCAGCTTGTTCAAATTTTCTTCTTTTGGTCAGACTAAATCTAAGTTTAGATATTTATCCATGAAATTTATCACTTGACTATTGAAAAATTTTGCTAGCTTTAACAAAGTAAAAATTTGCTTACTGACAATTTACTTAATGCCAAATAATATAGTATCATTTGAAAGAGCTTGTTCATTAAAAATTGAATAAATTATAATTACTTAAACAGCACTTAATACCTTGCCTTAGAGTTAATAGTCAACAGAATGATCCTTGGGTTAAGTGAAGACTAATGGTTAAAATAAATGAAGTATAATTTGCAAGAATTTTTCATTCTGTTAATTCTTTCCATAGCAATTTCAGATACTGAAATGTGAAAATTTGGACTTACAGTGTTCAAGATTTTCTTTTAATGTCTATGACAATGACTAGCCTGAATTGTAATGATGTCCTACAGACATTTTGGTATAAACTGTAAGTCACTGCCTAAGGCTAATTTACTCAACTTTTTTTGTATAATAGTTTCATTGTGTTCTATTCCAACTAAAATAAAATGAATAAATTATATTTTATTAGTCCAATGGTATTTTATTTTTTGTGAATTCATATAGGAAAGAGTACTAAAATGTTTGAGAAGCCAAGCAAACTATCACAAAGTATGCTGTTAAGGAAGGAGGAAATGATTGAAATGAAAATATGACAATTAGTCTGATCTAGTATTTTTTCCCATTAGGCTGGTACTAACACTAAATAAACTGGTGATGAAGTGTTATTGTTTAGAATATAATTAACAGTGAATAGTCCTGTTCTCTATATCAATAAATCATGTTAACTGGCATAGCTTTGGGAGATGGAAAACAAACAACTCTTCAAAACAAACATAGTTTTAATGAGCTGTATTGAATAAGGGTATTCAAATCCTTCTATCACATCTAATCCAACTCTACTTGGCTGCAAGAGATCTGAGTATAATTGATAAAAACATCAAGCAAATCTTAGGACATAATTTCTTAAAAAATTATGCTGATTTTTTTTCACTCAAGTATGCTTTATGTGTATTACCAACTATATGGGAAAAAGTAAACATATTGTTCTGGGTCCTCTGGGAAAAAGACACTAAGATAAAGATAAAGATAAATGTGCAAATAGTGGAAATACCTATGAGAAAAATGAGAAGGAGCCAGTAGGTTGGGAGAGCTGTTTGATGCAAGTATGACCCAGAATGAAGAAAAGAAAAAGAAGGGAAGGTTAAACAGAAGCCATTGTAGACTTTACAGATTGAGTGCAGATTTGTGAAATTTTCTGCTAGGCTGTCAGAGAGGACTCAAGTTAAAGTCACATAACAGAGGATTCCTGTGTCTTCCAGAAATAGGCCTGCCTTACTTTCTTTGCTACGGTCTTTCACTGGCTAGGAGGAATTCATGAGAAGCATGACCTTGTTGGAAATATAGCAATGGGTTTACAGGTGCTGCAGCTGGGGTACTCAGCCGATTATACTGCCTAAATTAAATCTGAGGGGCACCTGCATTATAAACATTAAAACATAGAGCACTGACTAAATAAATGATCTATAATCTACATAACAGACCATTCAACAGTAATTAAATCAATCTACATGTATTTTTATGGACTAAAAACAACATATTTATTGGTGAAAGAATCAGGATTTGGGGAAAAATTTAGAGTGTGATCCATTTGTACAAAAAGAACACAATTTCCTTTAAAATATCTATGTATGTAACTGCATATGCACAAATAGTTTGTGGAAAGACAAATACAAAGTAATTAACATTGGTTATTTCTAAGGAAGTGGAAGAGTAAATAATGAGTATTTCATTTTTTATATCATTGTGTATTGTTGAGTATCATAAACCTACCCTAAATGAACAAACATTAAAAAACAAATTGTACTTTTGAGACTCCAGGCTGTAGTAGAAACATCACCAAGTGAAAGTTATGAGGAATGATTTCTAGTTTTCAATCTTACTGGTTGGGTGAATTATGTGAATGATTATCCTCTGTGTCTGTTTTATCACTAGTCAAAGGACAAGTTCCTACTGTATAATCTCTAAATTTTAAAATGCCTGCACAAAACAAAGTTTTGAAGTTTTTTATATGATCTTCTAGTACTTACCTAAATGCAAATAGATTTCTGCATAATTCCAGTTTTGGTGAAAAGAGCATTTTATATTTTGCTTTTTAATTTAATAGTCATCAAAATGATTTTTGGGGTGAAAAAAAATTTTTTAACTTTTTTTAATACACAGGTGCCTCATGTATCATGAGATTTGGGAAAAATTCCCACCCCTGATACTTAGACATGTATCACTCACAAGAAAACTAAAGGGAGGCTTGAAGAGCTCCACATGTTCCCACTGAGATTACCACCCTCCAGTCACACACAGGCCTTCAGGATTGCTTTCTACCTTACCGCTACAAACTGCCTGGAAATTTGGTCACATAAGAAGGCCACAGTTAGAATGAATAATCCATCTTTTCCTAATAGATCATGAGAAGTAGTAACCCCACATAACTCTATGCTCAGTACCTTCATCTTCTGTAGTTATTTATGCTTTTTAGGCAATCTCAGTTCCATGAAAACAAGCAAAAAATAAAACAAATCTTCAAAGATGAAATCACTTTCTCCACTGGGGTCTTAATTATATACTCAGATGTGGTTGCTGATATACATGATCAGTTTGTTGTACTAAAATATATGCTCCCATGAGGACAAAAATTTCTCTTTCTAGTTATCAAACACTTTGTGGGTATTATTTTATTATCACTACTATGAATAGTATTACTATCAACATCATCAGCATTGCTTTGACTGCTCACTGGGCTTGGGTAGTCTAAACTCCAGCTATCTGAGGGAACAACAATTATAAAGGGTAGAAATACCATTGTCTCTGCTGTAGGCCAGGTATGCAATATTAGGTGGGAGGGCGATTTCCTGACAGTGCAAAATCTTTCTGCTCTTCAGTCTCTTTGTATTTTTCTAGTGGTAGACTTGGAAAGGATTCAGCCAACATTTTTTTTTTTATTTCATTGACTTGAAGGTGTTTAAGAGTCCCCATACTCAATTACTGCACTCTTCTTCCAGAGATTCCACAAATCTCAGTGGGCCAAATTCAACCAAGGATCTATATTTTTCTGCTTCTCACTGCAGGACTGTCAGGGAACCACAGGTTCTGATCGAACACAAAGGAACATTTTCACTAGCTTTCTTCTTCCTGTTTCCAGCAGCATCTGAGTTCTCACTTGTCTTTTAGACCCAGCACCTGATTAATTCAGGAAAGGTAGCTCAGGAGTTGGAAGTAAAAATAAACGAGATGAAATCATATTGTCATTTTCATGAAATTCTTTGTTAGTTTATTTATATTTTAAATAGTTTTAAATTTATATATTATTTAGTTTCTTTATTGTGTCTTTTTTGTTGGTTTGATTCCTTATTCCTCTCTTAAGCATTTAATGACATGTAATTAATTTTTAAAAATATTTTAATGAAATATAATAGGACATATTCAAATCTTACACATTTATTAAACTTCATTATGTCCTATGACTAATATAGAGAGTGCTGTGACATATATTCTCACTAAGAAGCTACTTGATGTAGCTGACTTCCTCCAGATACTGTTGAAGTGAGCAATCAGAGCTCTGACCTTAACTTACCTGAATTCTGCCACCTTCATCATAGGCTCTGTTCTTGCCATCACAGATTTTCAAATATGCTTTAAATATATTTTAATAATACCTCATATTTTTATATTTCTTTACCACCTACAAATCACAGTAATAAAGCACAAGATTCTTTCCATTTTTCTTCTCTCATTCTTTTCCCCAGTCAAAAAACTTCAGATCAGTCAACCATGCTTGTCTAGCACACAATTGATATCCAGTTTGGAAAACACTTTTTTCTTTGCAAATAATAGAAGTCTTTTCAGCCTATTTGGTAAGGTAACAATTGAGTCAATTTCCTAAAGTATACCTGTTATACTTTCCAATAAATTTCTTAGTTTCAACTCACTGATATTTTCCTTGCAGTATATATTTCTACATAGTTTGCTTCTCTCCCTTCAAACTGGAATGTTGCTGCTCGTATTTTAGAAAGCCAAATTGATGACAGTTTTGTTTGTTTGTTTTCTTTTGTTTTAATTACTGACACTGGTTTTCAGGACTTTTTTTCCACTTCAGATTTCCTGATTTCTTCTTTTATCAAGAAGATATTTTGGAAACATGTAGAAAAATTTTTATATTTTCTCCTTTATTATTTCTTCTGACATTTGAAGTGTAATTACCTTGATATTTTAAATTTATTCACTCCAGAGTGCTTTGAAGAAAATCACTTCTACTTTTGCATTTACTGTGTGCTTATTTATCTCCTCCTTTTTGTCTTTTCCATTATATTACAGTTTAAATGCAGCAACAATAAAATTAAGAATACCTGCTATGTGTTCTTCCCAAAGTAAGCACTTAGGATAAAAAGTTAAGTAAAATATAATTTGTGTTCTTAGAATAAGCTCATCTATAAAGAGGAAAGATAGTGAACATTATAAAATACATAAAGTGCTTTAACTGCTGGATTTGCCGAAGTCAGAGAGAAGACTTAGGAAGATATGATAAATCTGCCTGAAGTAGATGGGGATATCATCACAGAGAAGGAATCATTTTGATATATACTTAAGAAGAAATAGCACAGAGCCTGGTAGAGATATAAACTAAAAAAGGAGCTACCTGCAAACGTGGAGCTATTTTTAAAGGACTAATGGCTCCTCAAATCTATTCTCTAAAAAGGAATAGAAGAATAAAATAACAAAATAGCAACCAAAGCGAATGATCATTCATGAGGTGCTTGCTTTCCTGTCTCTGAAGGATTGGACTAATAATAAATGTTTTCCTTTGGAGAAATTAAAGATTTTTACTTTTCCCACTGATTGTTACCATTTCTTAAAATGTTTCCTAAATATCTCCGTAAAATTGTTTCAGAACCAATTCATGAACATAATGAAACTTCTCTCATCATTTAATCAACTTATCTTATTTTAACTCAAAAAGTAGTATATAAGGCCGAGCTGGTGGCTCAGGCCTGTAATCCCAGCAATTTAGGAAGCCAAGGAGGTTGGATCACCAGTACAGGAGTTCGAGACCAGCATGAACAACATGGTGACACCTAGTCTTCACAAAAAAGACAAAAATTAGCCAGGCATGGTGGTGCACACCTGTTATCCCAGTTATTCTGGTGGCAGAGGTGGGAGGATCAGCTGAGCCCGGGAGGTTGAGGTTGCAGTGAGCTATGACTGTGCCACTGCACTCCAACCTGGGCAACAGAGTGAGACCCTGTATCCAAAAAGAAAAAAAAAAGTATTACGTAAGTTGATATAACTTACTCATTAAGATTTATTGCCATAAAATTTGACTATCTCAGGAATTTATATCTAAAAGTGAAACTGATTTCACCACGTAAAACACACCAGAATATTGTTCAGACTTAGGTCCATGAAAACGAACAAATGAAAAAACACCAAAATGTATGGAAAGGTATGGAAAAAAATGCTCAGAGTGGAATTTTAGAGAATGAGTAGGGCATGATTATCAAGATTGAAATCATGTCAAATTGGCAGGACCTTGCATGCATTTGGAAATATTTACTCAGTTTCCTAAAATGATATAACTCATATCATCTTCATTGTTGTTGAATTTCTTTGAAAATAGAAATACACTTTGATTTAAAAAAAACTGTTGATATACATGAAATTTTTCCAAAAATTTTAGAATGCTTAAATTCCAGTAGATAGAAGTATTTTAGTAGATATTTGATCAGTTTTGTATGCATGTGTGTGTGTACCTTACTTTGAAACAAAGTTTTTGCATATTCTTTAATGCCATGCTAGAAATATGTTTTGGTCTGTTAAATAATCTAGAATATCTCAAATCATAAAAAACCGCTAGAGTTGAGGTCTTTGCATATCATTGACATTGATTGCCTGAGCTCTTGATGCACATAAACCATCATCCTGTTGGTAGCTTACTAACAGAAGGCCTTTGATTGAGATAACAGCCACATTCTAAATTGAACTCTGTCAGAACACATGTGTTTTATTAATGATTCAGATTACTTACAACTACACAAATTCAAACTTATTTAATACCCCTAAGACAGTTAGTATGCTTACTGAGGACAAAGAATCATCTACATGTGCATTATTGTTTGGCTAACCAGCATAGATGTTGCTATTGTTTCTGTAATTTGAGCAGTTTATCTCCTATATCTGCTATAACTCTTTTCTTCCTGTATGGTGATGGGGGATGTAAAAAATAAAGAAGATTTATCTTAATTTCTCTGCACTTTGATATCCTCAACAAAATCTCTGTCACCCATACTCATGCCTGCCTTTGATCAAAAAGGGGCTTTACTTTTCCCTCTTTTGTTTCGTGCCTTGACTACCATTTTCTGCACATGAAGCATACACATGAAAGCCTAAAAAGAAGTTATTTACTTAAAATGTATTATTATATTGAGACCATACAGGAGAAGAAAAGTTGAAAGAAAAACACACAGACCATTTACACAGTCTCACATACAGACCCACACTCGTACATCCAACAGGCGTTATTTTCCCGAGTTTAGCTAACTTTGCTGTTTGATGTCTTGTGGCAATTTGGGAACTGACTGACCAACTTAACAAGGGTTCCTAGATGTTTTATATATGATATTGCTTCCCATTAGATCACCTCCATCATGCATTGAATTATGTCTTTATTATTCTAAAAGAAAATTTAAATCCTTCCCTATTTTGGATTATAGTCTAAAGTCTTCTTCAATTAATTTGATGCCCAACATTATTAAGGATAGTCACTCATTTTGATTTTCTAACAGTACCCTCCTCCCAGTGAATGGGTAGAGGGTGGGGCATAAGTAATGCCAGGGCCGTTATCCTTCCCCAAGTCAAACGGGTCCTGCCTCTTTGTAAAATACCTGTATGCCCTGTGCTCTGAATATTACAATATAGTAATAATGAATTCAATACTTTTGTGGCATAGTTTTGTTATAGTTTTATGTTTTAATGTAACCTACCCCCAAGTAGAAAAGCTGTATAATATAAGTAACTGACTAGGTATCCAATGGAATCCTTTATTTTGTTTTGATTTTTGTTGTTGTTGTTTTAGCAGTAACCTCAAAAAGGACTCTTAAAATAAATAGGCTTCCTGCTATTACAGTTCAGTCTACGTTTTATGTTTGATAGCTCTAAGAGCTGCCTTTATTTATACCAGTGCTTTATACTCTTTCCCCTTAGGCCTCATTATCAACTGAATTTCAAATCTTTACAGTATAAACCTTTTCTTCATTTTACTGCAGCACGGATTTTGTTTTCATGCCATATCTGAAGTTATTAATGGACATTTTAATGAAATAACATGAATAGCATGGTCAGTGGGTTTGCAGTTCTCCCACTGTCTTTTTGCATTGGCCATTTATTCTTTACATCAGGAAGGCTGCTGTAAAATAAAGTAGTCTCTACTACTTTATATGTACAATACATATCTTTATATGTACAATTACAATCTCTTTTGTCTAATTCAAACCAGTTTGCATATGGAAATCTTTCTATGGCCTTAGTTTATTTTTATACTTTCTATAGCCATTCTTAATGGCCTTCAAATCTCTGCTGCCAGGTTCTTTAAAGCATGCCCTTTATAACATATATTTTGAGTTACAAAAAATGACCTCATGCTATTCTTTCCTTTTAAAGTATATTAAGTTCTTAGTGTAGTCTCATTTTTAGCCTATTGATGATTATTTCAAAATCTATAATTTAGAGACACTCTATGTATCACTATCTGTTTTCTCATAGGGTGAAAAGGCCCAAGTAGTGTAAACATCTGACTCAGTCTACCAAGCATTTATCACTTTTTCCTAGTAATCTTTTTCAACATGGCCATTAGTATAATCTGCACATAATTTATAAACTGTGTGTTAACTAAAACATGGAGAATACCATATGCATTTTCTTTACCAATATCCATATACTTTATGATAGAAAACTAGGATATTCCTATTTTCTTTTTAAGGCAAATAACAGTATTGCTTCTGTTTAATACAATGATACATAAAACATTTAAGGTTTTATAACTTACTAAGAAGTAAAACAATGATTTTTTTCTCTTATTTTAAAATAATTTAGAAAATAAGCAATAAATATATCCAATGTTGAGGTAATGATTACAGATAAATTGGATACATCTACACTGTGTAGCATTCAGGGGAAAAAATCACATGGTTTTGAATGAAATGTTACAGAATTATTTTTCCTGCATAATGTGAATTAAATACAATTGAAGATCATTCCCACACAAAGCAGTTAACATTGTCTTTGTAAAATAGATGTGTATAAAATAACCAAATATACTGAAAAGATACACAACAGAATATATTTTTCATTATTGTTAAGGAGTAAGAATGATTAAAAGAAACTTTAATCTTATTTATAAAGTTCTTATATACTTAAATAATAATCTTTTACTACTTGTGTATTTTTTAAATTATATAGTTATAAATAACTAAATATGCCAATTTACCATATTTAAAATATTCATTTTATTTAATTCTTAAAATTGTCTATATGTTTTAAATGTGAAAAATAAAGTAAAATTAGCATAACTGTAGTATTTAAAAGCCAGGATCCTTTTATTGTTATGTATGTACTCACCTGAGCTATATGCAAACACAGTAAAATTGTTTACCTAATCAGTGTCTATATATAATTCACAATGAAATTAGGAAGCTATATCTAAACAAAAGTAAAATTGAAGCTTAAATTAAAGTAAAATTTGTAGATACAATTGAAATGTATGTTAAATGCAAATATGTAGATGTGCAAAGTTTAAATTTGAAAATACTGAAGATAAAATTTCATATTAAGGAAGTTTTATCCTGAATAACCTCAGTATGTGCTACATGAAGGTGAATAGCTGAACTTTTGCTAGGAAGGTAAAAGAGACAGTTTTATCAAAGAAAACCAAAGATACTTAAGGTTATTTTTAGAAAGAAATGAATTTAGAAGAAATACAAAAAATCTGATTAAAAGATAAGACAGTACAAATGAAATGAAACCTTATTGTATTCCTATGCAAAACATTAAAGGAATGTGTGTGTGTGTATTTGTGAACTCTGATGTTTACTCATGCTCTTTCACAAATTATAAATTGTCTTCTTTGAGCATCTGCAAAATGTCACTGAATTTTTATTAAAATACCTAAAACTGTGAACAGCTATTGGTAAATTTAACCTTTGTAGATAATTTTGCCTTTATATTCACTCATATTGTAATTAGTTTCTTGTTTTAATATTGCATATGTGTGCAGAAAAGGCTGAATTGCTGTAGCAATATTACATCTAAGCCCATAAATATTTGCTCACCTTTTATAGAACAAGACAATAATGATGTCAGAAAAAAATCAGTGAGATTATCAACTTTCTTTATTGGTAGAAAACCAGGAGTGACTTTCAGCAGATAATAATTTTAACTTCATATTTTTACCCTGGCTGTGTCAAAGATTTTAAGTCTCATTTTACAATAAATCATAAACAACAACAAGAAGAAATAGTCCTAAAATAAAGCACTCGTGAATTATATGTTTCCCATTCACCAGTGAAACTAAACCTGGAAACTTAATTTATTCTTCTTGGGTTTCTTGAGATACTGGAAAAAAAAATTGTAGATAGGTTAGCATCTAGAATTTTTCATAATTAAAAAAATAATGATACAGGGAGAAACTTAACTAAGGACAAGTGAAATATAACTATGAAAACAGAATGAAAATTCACACAAACAAAGCTTTGCTAAAATAATTAAGTGGACATTCTAATCTTTGCAGTTTTTCAAGGCAAGGCTAATGGCAGACTCTTCTAATACGAATCTTGTAGTTAGCCAATAACATATTTCAGTGCTAATTAAAAATCTAAAGATTCAACTTTGCAAATACCTTCTCAAAATCAGTAATACTTTGTTTTCAGAGGCATAAGGAATGCTAACTTTAACTTACTATAACTATAAGGTAAATAAACATATACTACAAATATTAAGAAAACATTTAAAGAGGGCTATAGATGTTGAAGCTACAAATATTAACAAAGACAACCACATGTAAATTTACAACAACAACAAATCTATTTACTTTGACTTCTCTTTCTTAATACAGCCTTCGCTTCTGCCATTAAAATTCTCATTTATATCAGCTTCTAACAGGATTTAGGTCCCATCATTGCTGCTCTCTGTAGAGGCCTGACAATTAAGGGGAGTTCATGAGAGTGCTTGGTACATTCAATAACTTCTGTTAGTTAGGAATAAACGTTTGTCAGATTTTTGTTTAAAAAAAAGCAATTGGAATAAATTATACAATTATGTCTTACCAAGTAAAATGTTATCATCTACTCTTATAATAGAAAAGTATGCATAACATGAACAGAGTATTTTAAAAACATGTTTTAGTATACTTAATCTCCAGCACTCCCATTTTTCACATGGGAAAAATGAAATCGTGATTTCAGTGGTTTGCCTAAAGTCATGCGACAAATTAAGAATAGTATGAAAGTCAAAAATTATCCCTCTGGAAGTTCAAAATGAGAGACATTAGCAATGAAAATAAAGGACAAGGACAGGTGAGTAATTATTTATCAAGTATAAATGTGAGTTGACAAATTCTTACAAACTGGGAGAAGGAACTTGAAATTTGCTTTAAATGTTTTAATGTGGAGTGTGACAAGCACACCAGTAATAGACATATTTCAGGAGATAATTGAAAAATAAACATAGTTTTAGAAATCAGACTGCAGAAAGACTATGGATGACATGGACTTTTCTGCCAAAAAAGAAACATGAATACAACACAGAAAAGGATTAAAATGAAGGGACATTTTTAGAAAGTATCAGAAAATATTACCATTTAATCTTAACTAAAATGGATTTCAGAACTCAGTATACGCTATTTGGATAATTATTTCTTAATATATTAGTTTATAAATAAAATTTTGTGTCTAATTGTCTAATGTGTTAATACTAAATCTGGAAATTTCCCACAATTCTTCATAATATATATTTTTCTATAAGACAATTTTCTTCAAAGTGCAATGTTTGTAGGAAATAACATGGAACTCTTACATTAGAAATTACCAAGAGGTGAATAAAAATGAAAGTAAAAGTGATTCATAGGAGACAACCAAAGTTTATTTGTGAAACTTTAATATTTATTAACATGATTGTTATGCAGTCACTTTATGTGAACGGTGAACCATTCAGCTTTCCCAATTTCCACAAGAATGAGAAAAATATATTCTGCTATACCAATTTTTAATAATTCCCTAACAGTCTTGATACAGTTTTATAAGTAGTAAGCAATAATTCTATTTTCCATGGAATACTTATATCCATTTTCAAGTACAGAAAATTAAAATGGAATTATTAATCCACAATAGGTAAATTAATGTATGATAGATTCAAAGTTTATGCTAATAATGACCATGATTATTTCCTAAGACAATTTGTAACATTTTAAATTGCATATTATTGGTATATTACCAACTTATAATTTATGAAGATTGTTTCCTACAAGTAATGTTTTATATTATGGTGGATCATACGTATTCCTTGAAAATATTGTTTCCAAAATTAGTTTTTGTGTATTAATGTTTTACTGCAAAATGTAAACATTTTTTGCTCATTATATGGCAAAATTCCAATGGTCAGGACCAAAGGTTAACCTGGTAACAGCACAAGCCCTTTAGAAATTAAGTTATTTTAGTGCTGTACTAGTACTATTGTTCTTAGAAGAACAATAACAGAGAAAACTAAAATAAGTGAAGTAATAAGTTGTATAGTAAGGCTAATAACTTCTCAGAAGACTTAGTTTTACTTTTTTCAGCTCTATGGAGCTATAACTGACAAATAAAAATTGTATATATTTAAGGTATAAGTGATAATTTTGTATATATATGTATTGTGAAATTATTACCACAAATAAGCTAATGAACATATCCATCACCTCACATAGTTACTTTTGTGTGTGTGTGGTGAGTACACCTAAGGTTTACTCTCAGCAAATTTCTAGTATCCAATATATGATTATTAGCTATTGTCTTAATGCTGTACCCTAGATCTCCAGAGCTTATTTCTCTTATAATTCAGATTTGTACCTTGTGACTCAATTCTCCGAATTACACCCATCGCCAGGCCCTGGCAACCACCGTTCTACTCTCTGTTTCTGAGTTCAACTTTTTGAGATTTGCATATAAATAGTATTATGCAGTGTTGTTCTTTCCATATCTGGCTTATTTCACTCAGCATAATGTCCTCCAGGTTCATCCATGTTGTCACAAATGGTAATTTTTAAAGACAAATAATAATCTATTCTTTTTATATATATGCACATATACACACATATATATTTCATTTTTAAATTTATTCATTTGTCAATTTACACAGGTAGTTTCTACATATTTGCTATTGTGAATTCTGCTCCAGTGAACAAGAGTGCAGATATAACTTCAAGATAGTGATTTTATTTCCTTTGCGTATATATCCAGTCATAGGACTGCCAGATCATTTGGTAGCTCTATCTTTAATTTTTTTGAAAAAGCTTCATGTGTTTTCCATAATGGCTGTACCAATTTATACTCCCACCAACAGCGTATAAGATTTCTTTTCTCCACCACATTGCCAAGGCTTGTCTTTTGAATTTTTGAAAAGAGCCACCCTAACGGAGTGAAGTGTTATCTCATGGTAGTTTAAATTTTATTTCCCTGATGATTAGTGATGGTGAGCACTCATATACCTCTTGGCTATTTGTATGACTTCTTTGGGAAAATGTCTATTCAGGCCCTCTACCCATTTTAAAATCAGGTTATTCATATTTGTGCTATTGGGTTGTATGTTTCTTATATGTTTTGTATGTAGACTGCTTACTGAATATATAAGTTCCAAATATTTTCTTCTCGTACTGTCAGTTGTCTTTTAGTTTGTTGATAATTTCCCTTACAGTGCAGAAGATTTTTAGTTTAATACAATCCCTTTTGCCTGTTTTTGCTTTTGTTGCCTGTATTTTTGGTATCATATCTAAAAAATAATTACCAAGACCATGTCAAAGAAATTTTTCTTAATGTATTTTTCTTGGACTTTTTGGTTTCAGGTCTTATGTGTAAGTCTTTAATCCATTTCGAGGTTATTTTCATGTACGGTGTAAGATACAGGTGCAATCCTTTGTTTGCATTTGGATATCCAGTTTTCCCTACATCTTTTACTGAAGAGACTATTCTTTCCTAGCACCTTTGTCAAAGATTAGTTGCCAGTATACGTGTTGGTTTCTCTCTGGGCTCTGTATTCCGTTCCATTTGTCTGTATGTCTGGTTTTTGTGCTCATACCATATTGATTCAGTTACTATAACTTTGTAATAAAATATGAAATACAAAGGTATGATTTTTCATCTCCTTGATAAAATTTATTCCAAAGTATTTTTGAGGCTATGATAAATGGGAATACTTTCTCAAGTTATTTTTAGATAGTCTGCGTTATTGTTTATAAACGCAACTGATTTTTGCATGTTGATTTTGTATACTGCAACTTTAATGATGTTCATTTATCCATTCTAACAGTTTTTGGGTGGAGGTTTAGGCTTTTCCATATAGGATCATGTCATCTGCAAACAGACACAGTTTTACTTCTTCCTTTCCAATTTGGGTATCTGTTATTTCTTTTCCTTGCATAAATAGTCTGGCTAGGATGTTCAGTAATATGTTGAATAGAAGTGGTGGGAATGTCTGTTTCTGATCTTAGATGAAAAGCTTACACCTTTTCCCTAGTGCATACGAAGTTATCCGTAAGCTTGTCATATGTGGTTTTTATCGTGTTGAGAGACATTCCTCATGTACCTTATTCATTGAGTTTTTTATCATAAAGAGATATTAAATTTTGTCAAATATTTTTATGCAGTTATTGAGATGATTATGTGATTTTTATTCTTCACTCTGTTAATGTAGTTTAAAACACATTTATTGATTTTTTGTGTTGAACCATCTTTGAATCTCAGGGATAAATCCCACTTGATCTTGATGTACAATTCTTTAAAAGTTCTATTGAATTTGGCTTCCTCATATTTTGTTGAGGATTTTTGAATTTATGGTTATCATGGATATTGGCCTGTAAATTTCTTTGCCGTGTCTTTTCTTGCTTTGATGCCAGAGTTATTATAGCCTTTAAAATGAGTTTGAAATGTTTCCTTCTCTTTAGTTTTTTTTGGAAGCATTTGAGAAGGATTGGTATTAATTCTTTTTTAAATGTTTGTTTGACTACAGTAGTGATGCCAGCTGGTCTTGGGCAGCTTTCTTTGTTTTGAAGATTTTTGAATACTGGTTCAATCTCCTTACTTGCTGTAGGTCTGTTAACATTTTAAATTTCTTCTTTATTTAACCTTGTTGGGTTGTATGTTTATAGGAATTTACCCTTTTTTTCCTGCAGTATCCACTTTGTTGGTGTATAATTTTTCTGAGAAGTTTCTTATGATCCTGTGTATTTCTGTGGCATCAATTATAATGCCTCCTCTTTCATTTCTGATTTTATTTGAGTCAGCTCTCTTACTTTCTTACTTACCAGTTAAATATTTATCAATTTAAATTGCTTTTTAAAAAATTAACTCAGTTTCATTTACCTTTCTACTGTTTTTCTAGTCTCTATTACATTTGTTTCTGCTCCAGTCTTCATTATTTATTTCCTCCTACTAACTTTGGATATAGCTTCTCCTTTTTGCTCTAGTTTCTTGAGGTGTAAAGTATTAGTGTTTATTTCAGATGTTTATTTTTTTAATGTAGTTGTTTTTTACTGTGTACTTTTCTCTTAAAATTGCTTTTACTGTATCCTATAAGATATGGTTCACTGTATTTCTATTGTTGTTTTCTCAAGATATTTTTAAATTTTCCTTTTGATTTCCTCTTCGAGTCATTGGTTGTTTAGGATTCTGTTGTTTAATTTCCACATATTATTAATTTTCTCATTTTTGTCCTATAATGATATTTAGTCTCATACCTTGTGATTGGCACAAACAATACTTAATGATTTCAATTTTGTTAAATGTTTTGACTTGTTTTGTGGTATAACTTATACTATATTATAGAGAACGTAGTGTGCACACTTTAGAAGAATATGTATTTTGTTGCTGTTGAAATGTTTTGTATATGTCCATTAAGTCCATTTGGTCTAAAATATAGTCAATGTTCAATGTTTTCTTACTGGTTTTCTGTCAGGACGAATAATCCGTTGTTGAAAGTGAAGTATTGAAGTTGCCTAGTGTTATTGCATTGCTTTTTACTTCTCCCTTCAGTTCTGTTAATATTTGCTTCAGGCTGGGTGTGGTGGCTCATGCCTGTAATCCCAGCACTTCGGGAGGCTGAGGTGGGCGGACCACTTGAGGCCAGGATTTCGAGATCAAACTGGCCAATGACGAAACCCTGTTTCTACTAAAGACACAAAAATGTTACCTGGGTGTGTTGGCACATGCCTGTAATCCCAGCTACTCTGGAGGCTGAGGCACTAGAATCACTTGAACCCAGGAGATGGAGATTGCAGTGAGCCAAGATAGCCCTACTGCACTCCAGTCTGCGTGACAGAGTGAGAATCTGTCTCAAAAAATAAAAATTTTAAAAAAAAGCAAATTGCTTTATATATTTATGTGCTCCAATGTTAGGTGCATGTCATTTTCAATTATTATATCTTCTTCATGTATTGACCCCTTTATCCTCCTCTAATTATCCTCTTTACATCTTATAATAGGTTTTATAAAGTCTACTTTTTTTCTTATATAAGTATGAACATTCCTACTTTCCTTTAGTTTTCATTTTCACAGAATATAGGTTTTCATTCCTTTAAGTTCAGCCTATATATATCCTTAAAGCTAAATGAGCCTGTTTTAGGCAGCATACAGTTGGATCTTAGTTTTTTAATGCATTCAACCACTCTATATCTTCTGATTGCAGAATTTAGTACGTTTACATTTAAAATAACTATTGATGTGTAAGACCTACTATTGTTAATTTGTTTATTGCTTTCTGTCTGTTTTCTTTTTTTTGCATTTTGATGATTTTTCTATAATGGTATACTTTAATTCCTTTCTCTTTATCTTTTGTGTATCAACTATAGGTTTTGCTCTTTGGTTACCATGGGGCTTACATAAAATATCTTATAGTAATAGTAGTCTATTTAAGCTGGTAACATCTTAAGTATGATAGCATACAAAAACTGCAAATTTGCTCTCTCACACACATTTTATGTCAGTTTCATGATTTATGTATTTTATATTATGTATAAATTAACAAATTATTGTAGCTATAGTTATTTTTAATACTTTTGTCTAACCTTTATACTAGAGTTAAAAGTGATTTATACACCACAATTATAGTATTAGAGTATTCTTAGTTTGACTATGTATTTACCTTTACCAGTGAGTTTTATATTTTCGTATGTTTTCATGTTACTAGTTAGCATCTTCTTATTTTAGCTTAAATAACTCCCTTCAGAATTTTTTATAAGACAAATCTAATAATGATGAATTATCTTAGCTTTTGTTTGTCCAGGAAAATCTTTACTCTCCTTCATCGCTGAAGGACAACTTACCAAGTAAACTATTCTTGGTTGGCAAGCTTTTTCCTTTAGCACTTTGAGTATATCATCCTCATCTTTCTTGACCTGCAAAGTATCTGCTGAGAAATCTGTGATATTCTGATGTGGATTTCCTTATTTGTGATGCTCTTTACTCTTATTGATTTAAAAATTCTCGATTTGCCTTTTATTTTTAACTGATTATAACATATCTCAAGAAAGTCTTCTTTGGGTTTTATCTTATTGGAGACCTGTGAGCTTCATATTTCTGGATATCTGTATCTCTCTCAAGATTTGATAAATTTTTAGCCATTGTTTCCTCAAATGGGTCTTATTTTTTTTTTCCTCCCTCTTCTGCCTCTGAGGCTATTCTAATGTGAAAGTTCTCTTGACAATGTCTTAAAATTCTCATAGACTTTATTCATTATCATTATTTATTTTTCTTCTATGATTAGGCAATTTCAAATAAGTTGTGTTCGATTTCACAAATTATTTCTTCTGCTTGATCAAAACTGCTTTGAAGCTCTCTGTTGAATTTTTCATTTTATTCATTGTATTATTGTGCTTCAGAATGTTTGTTTCTATTTTATGATTTTTATTTTTTTTGGTTGAATTTCTATTTTTGTTCATGTATTGTTTTCCTGACCCAAGTTGTCTATCTACTTTTTCTTGTAGCCTGCTAAGATTCCTTAACATAATTATTTTGAATTATTTGTCAGGCAATTAACAGATATTCTTTCTGTGGGTAGGTTGCTGGAAAGTTATTGTGTTCCTTTGGTGATGTTATGTTTCCTTGTTTTCTTATGTGTTTGTCGGTTCCTTGTATTGTTGTCATCACATTTGAAGAAGCAATCACTTCCTCCAGTCTTTACTCACTGACTTAAGGAAAGAAACACTTTTACCAGTCAAGCTCGTTAGAAATTGAGAGGTCCCTTCAAACCTTTTCTATGGATGTGCCCATTCCACCCTTATTCTTGCCTCATGGGGCCAGGGGGAATTCTCAGGATAATTTTCTCAATTCCACAAAGCCAGGCTGGGTGCTAAAAGTCTCCTGTTTGTTGTCTCTAGAGTGGTGCCCTGAAATACTGAAGTTTGTGTGCCTTCTCCCAAACACGCAGAGTACAGTGTCTGTCTGTACTCACAAGTGATCTTCAAATGCTCACAATTATCATCTGGGAAACGCATGCTGAGAGTTGGCTATGGGGTACAAGGTAAGGTACAAGGAGCATTGAGGTGCCTTTGTGCCAGTTGGAGGATTAACAGTTAAAACAGCCCATGTGGCTTGTGGATGGACTTCCTGATGGAATCCATAAAGTAATGAGTAGAATATGCATCCCTTTGTTAAAATTTAAGTCCTAATTACTGGGAATCCCTACTCCTAGACTCTCCTAGACACTCGGCCCCGTTGATTTTCTCATATCTGTTTGGAGTGACAAAGAGGTGAGCCTTTGGGCAGTGCCTCACATGCTGGGAAAGCTGGAAGCTTACTTAGTGTGTTCACACTCTCTCCGTGGGAGAAATTGTAGGCTGAGAGGGCTTTCTTGGCACTGTGCCAAGCTGTGCTGCCTGGAAAACCAATGAGGCTGGTAAAGTTAATTTTTCTTCATACCCTCTTCAATGTGCTCCAACAGTGTCCTGGAACCTCTCCAATGTACCCCCAGACTTCCACTTTTATTTTTTAAAGTGTTATTTGTTATTATTGTTGATTTAACTCTAAAGATACTCATTAGTAAATGCTTTATTATACATAGATTTAACATTTTCAAAAGACTTACTTAATTTATGTAAAATGCAAATATTGCATCAATACTTTATTTTCCTTGAAAATGTCTAACATCATTGATAGGACCTTTTTACTCCTTTAATTCATTCAACATACTTTATTCAGGATATTTTCTATTGCTATTAAATTTTGCTCTCTGGATGATTTCACATTGGAATGAAAGGTATATGTCTCTAGTAATTTGCATAAACATTTTATGGTTGGGTGTTGGATATGCTGACAAAAATATATATTCATATAAAAGAAATCTTAGCATGCTTAACTCTGAGTCGTAGGATATGCTGTACACTAAAATTAAACAACTATTCTCATAGTTGATTCCTCTTGTCTTCCTTCAGATCTCAGTTTAAGTACTGTCTTCTTTTTTAAAAACTTTATTAATTTTAAATAAATACAGACCATCTGTCCTATCATTTTTTTACCCAGTCATATTTTATTTTTCTTCATAGAACTTATAGCACATATACTTATTATATTAAATATATCTTTATTACTATTCAACAAATTTGTTTCATCATTGACACCCAATGACTTGTATAATTCTTAATAAGTATTCCTGAATAAAGCAATTAATAGATGAGTATAAGTTCACTCTGACATTTGTAGAATTATACTATGTTTGAAAGGGATTTATACCCGAGATCTGTTTAATCACCTCTGTGATTATTGATTTGGCTCTGAAACATCTCTAACATATAAGGGTTCAACTAATCTCTGAACATCTCCCATAATTGAACATGTATTAACCCTAACTACAACTCAGGGCATTATTATACAGATTTCGTAGTACAGTCTTTCCTATTTTAGACTTAATCCATCTTTATTTAATGTCCATACATTTGCCTAAACTATAAATTTTAACTACTCAGGAAAATGCACTCTGTTTTTCAAATGAAAAACTTTCAAATATTTGAAGACTTCTATGATGTTTCCCCTAAGTATTATCATATCTAGTCCTAACATTTGCGTTCCTTCAACCATTTCCTTTAAAATTTGGTCCATGGTTTTCCATATACAGGTTACTTGTCTTGAATGAATTCAACTTTGAATGAATCACTATTAATCAGTCAGTCTAAGTGACTTAGATGGCTAAGATGTTAATCATGTCTTGAATGAATAGTGTACAAATCAATGAAAAAAGATAACTTTAATAGATACTTGTGACACAACATTCTTATTCCCCTAAACCTCTTCATTTAGTACAGGTATGGTGGAAAATTCCTGGTATCCTTTTCGGATTCCCACACTAAATGAATGCAGCAAATTCCCTCTGTTCTGCCTTATCAGAGGCTCAAGGCCAGCCCCGCTGCATGAAAGTGCAACCCAGAAGTTCAAGGAGTTAACAAATAGGAAATGAATGTTTGTGGATAACTATTTCATCCTTCTCTTTCTGATGGAAAAAATTTGAGGGTCTACTTATTGTTAACTATTGTAACCCGATCATTATTATACTTTGGTGGGCTTTTCTTACCTTGTTCTCAAATTCTTAATTTTCTTACTTCTGATTTCTTGGATGACCTGCCAAATAAACAATAACATCTAAGTCATTGACTCATGGTGTGTTTTCAAAGAAATCCATCCTAAGAGCTATGAAATCCTATATCATCATATTTGTATTATTACCACTTGATATACTGTAATTTTTTAACGAAAGCAAAAAAAGTACTAAAACTGGCTTACTCTAAAGGCATTTAAGTTGATTTTATATATTTTCATTAAGCTGTTATATGCTAAAATTTACTTTTTCAATATATATTTTCTTCCTGAATGGACTGTATCTTTATATTTATCTCTTTTAAATATATCATATTTGCATGCAGTCTATACCATCCCTTAATATATCAAGATATTTTAAGGCATCCTTTTGCTATCAAACATATTACCTATCATTCTACTTTGGTGTACACCTCAGATGATCTAAACACTGCTATTATGGTTGTACCAAGTGACTGAATAATACATTGAATAAAAACAGCCAAGGGCAGAAAATATTTTTGTTCTTCAGCTATGATTTTTCTAATTTTAATCCACTTAATGTTTTTCTGTAGCAATACATTATCTTGTTGGTTTCTTATTATAATTATATGACATATCATATCTTCATTTTAGAGATCAGTGGTTCTTAGATAATCTAACTTTAATTAACTGCATATCCAAACCTATATACTAATATATAGCGTAACTGAGACTTGTTTTCAGATCTTTCTGGCTCCCAAAACAGTGCTCTTAAAATGCACTTTTATTAGAACACTAAAATGCTCAGAATTATATCTTTATTCCAAATAATTAGTTTTTTAACCGTTGTTTAATTTTTTTACTCTACTGAAATGCGAACTATTTCTGGAACACTTACCAAAACATCCACTTAAAAGCGGGGGGATATCACAAGGTAATATCTTTCAACTTAAAGATTTCATGTTAAAGGTTCTCTTTTTAAAAACATACACAACTTCTGCACTTGCATCCACAGAAAAAAAATGACTTTTGGAAATAAATTTTAAAAGAAGTTCTTGTTTAAAAATGCAATTGTTTCACTAGTTGTTTGGGTATAATAAAGAATGGTAATTTATTATATTCCCTACTCTACCGACACCACTACTTAAAAGAGTGAAAATATCTGCTAATTTCTTCTCTCAAATTATTCTTATATCTGAGAATTACTCTGGTGACCCTTAGTCTCTCAGCCTAGTAGCATTATTTTAATGATACATTATACAAAGTTAGGATTTTAACTGGAAGTGTGCTTAACATTTTTCAGTGGCCATTGAGATTTATTTAAAAGTGGATTATCAGGGCTAACATTTAAAAAATGTTACTGTGTTGTGAGGAAGCCAGGGGGCTTTGGGTTTATAGTTTGTATTTGCTGTTGTTATTCTTGTGACTTTCTCTTTCAAAAGTTTGAAAAGAGGAGGTACCTTTCCTGAATTCTTTGTTACTTCAAAATGATTTATGTAGCCCATTCTGTGAGCTTACCTTCTGCTTTATATTCTATTTACAGATAGTTGATATGTAATCTAATGGGGAAATAAAAACAGGATTAATTTACTATGTTGCTAGACAAACCTTTTTCCACCAAGTCCCCAATAGTCTTGAATAGTCATCAGTCAGCTATTGAGAATTTCTTCCATTGCCTTGACTTTTGTATTTCTTTACTTCTTTATTCATATTCATATCTAAATGGAAATTAACTTACAGTCAAGCTCCTTGTATTGTGAGGAGTGATTCAGATTACATATTTTACTTAACTTTTTGTCATTTTACTTTTGAATCTTATTTAGAAACTATTTGCCACTTGCGTTTTTCTTATTTTCTTTCCCTTGAGTCACTTTAGCTATGAAAAGTCCTGTTCGTTTGGTTCTCTCACCTATGTCAATGATTATATGCAGGACGTGCACAAATAAACTGTTATATAAAGTACTAAAATTTTAGGTTGTCCATTTATTCAACATGATCTCATGATGCTACAAAAACTTTTAATACAATATTTTCTTTTAGCATAGAACTAAATGGAATGAGTGGCACAAAAGATAATGTGTATATTTTAATCCACTTTTTGGGTTTTTATTATAATTTTTGTTGGGATTTCTGAGTAAATGAATATAAAAGGGCAGCCATATTTTCAAGAAGATTAAATGAGTTTATATCTTACTGCTATTTTTTATAAATTCTAAGACAATTCAAATCCTCACAAAAACTTAATGATTTTAATTTTTTTAATTTAAGCCATTAATAATGCTTACAAAATGCCCATAAACGCACAATTACATAGTTTCTCCTTTTACACAAGGGTGACATAACTTAAATACTCTTCCAAAATTTGCTTATTTCTCTTAACAATATATTTGCTAATATTATTTTGTATCACTACTTAACTAATGTCCTCATTTTTTAAATAGCCACACAGATGTGTACAGAAAAACAGCAATATAGTGCATCACCCCTTACTGATTAACATTTAGAGTATGTCCCAGTGCTATTTCTAGCAATACTTACCAAGTAATTTTGCACATATATTGTATTTCCAATTTCTGAACGTATCATAGGTTAAATTAGTTGATCAAAGGATCAAAGCACATACATACTTTGACCTTACTGCTAAATATTACCAAATTGCATTCTGTCAGATTTCCAAACTCAGTATTCTGCCTTCAAGGCATACCGGTTTCTGGATTCCTTTGCATTACATTATTTATTTTCCCAGGGCTCACAATATCTATCCTTAACTTCTCTAAGTATATTTTGATTAAGTATGGTCCTCATTCATTTGATTTACATGTCATCTTTCACTACAGAAACGATACTCACACTTTGTCCTTCACACTTAATACTTCTTACTTTACACAAAATAATTCACACTTTTACATAGCAGTTTACTCTTCCAAATCCTAACATCAAATTATCTTTGTCTAGTCATACTACTAAAATCTTAGATTCTGTTTACATGTCCCTAACATGCTTTAAAATATTGTTGTTATATTTTACACACACACATACACATAGAAAGTATGTTTCCTTTTCTCCCTTATGGATTAACATTTCTATCTGCTATAGTTTCCCTTCAGTCAGACACACACACACACACACACACACACACACACACACACACACATACAATCAAACAAACCATTTTTGGCATTTCCTGCAGAGCAAGTTTGTCAAAGATAAATTCTTACGGCTTTTCTCTATCTTCAAATTTCTTTATTTCACTCTCACTTGTGAAGAGAATTTTCACTGGGTATAAAATTCTGGGTCAATATTTGTATTTCAAGGATGCCATTCTATTATCTTCTGCACTGTGTTGTTTTTAATGAGAAATGAGCTGTAATTTGTATTGCTTCTCTTCTGTATATGAAATGTCCTTTATGTCTGATTGCATTGATTTTTTCCACTTTTTTCATTATGAGTTTTCAGAAATTTAAACTTTGACATACCTAGTGTGACCATGGTATTTGATAACTTTAAAAAGTCATATCTGAAAAAAATCCTTCTCCCTTGCAAGTTTTATTATGGAATCCCTCTTTAACTCCCTGAGTATCTCTAATTATTTTCTTCATCCTTTTCATGTGCTGTTATTCAAATAAGGAATTTCTAATGTTCTATTGTAAAGATTACTGACTTTTTCTATTATTTCTAATTTGCTTTTAAGACCAGTTATTTTTAAACTTTCAGATACTTTTCTAGAAATTCCAATTTATGGTTTTAAAACTTCCATTTATTTCCCTAAATTCCCTATTAATTCCTTACAATTACAGTTTTCTTCAATTCCTTGAATATGAGACCCTTTAATTCTCAGAACACATTTATGTTACCTACAAATTTTTGCCTGTTGTATCTAAAATTTGCATCATCTCATGTGTAGTTTCTTTTGGAGTCCTTTTGTTTTCTCTGTTTTTTCATATATCAAGATTTACTTGTTTATCTTCACATCTTATAATCAGACATCCTGAAGAATACATTGTAGAAGATCTTAATTTTGTTATATTCCTCTGAAGAGGTAATTTTCATTCTAACATGCATTAGATTGCAGGCTGATCACACTTGAACTTGTGGAGACTTGGTTTTATGCTTCGGTAAAGCAGATCTTATAATCTTAATGCGTTTCCCAAGCCCATCTTACTTGGTGGGACTCAAACTTCAAACTGTGATTTTAGATTTTGTTAGGAGATATCTAGCATAGGATTACTTCTAACATATGACCTTCTTTGTGTCTCCACCAAAGTGTTAACAAGATATTTATAAAGACTTCACACTGATTGAATTAGTTTTCCAGTGTCCTCATTATTACCTAATTTCTGGTATCCCTGTTCTGTTCTTAAATCTATAGAAACTGCTCTCTGGTAAGTCTTGGACAGTCTTGCCCTGAAAATGTGTAGTCTACGCTTCATCCAAGGACTGCTGAGAACCTCCACCTAGCTGTTGCTCTCTCTCTCACACAGATTCTGCATAACTTCCTTCAGTGGAAAATGGGCTCTACTCGGGCTCTAGCACACTTCTTAATGTTTGAAAAATTATCAACAGGCAGAGAAATGGACAACTATGATGTTTCCTTTATGATTTGCTTTTTAGTGGATATAATGCATTGTCTGAGGTCTAATTCTTAAAATAAGTTACTGAATAGATATTACTCCACTGTATTGTTTATTGTAGAAGTGCTAGCTGAATACTACCTACTGGATTATAGTCAGATTTTAGGCCAAAACATTAATTTAGGAAAAGAAGGCTTTTAAAAATCAGAGTATGCTTTTTAATGCATCCATTGTAAGTTATATCCTTTAGTTTAAAAGCGTAGCAACAGCATTTATTTTTTTAAAAAGTAGATTTTACATAATTTTCATTGACTGTTAATGATGAAGTTAAAGGCAGCAATAACAAACTATAAGTTGAATACTATTAATGCAAATATGGGATATTTAAAGAATATAATTTAAAAGTTGCATTAATTGATAATGAATTTTAAAAGCTTGACACCGAGAATTCTCATCAAATGTATGTTAATTTTAAACCTCAATAAATGTACCAAGATAAAACATAAGAATTATATAAAAATTTTCTGATCATACTGCCTGAAACCAGAAACTGATAAGAAACTCATAAATCAAAAGGCTCTACTACATGAAAACTGGAAGGAGTAGTTAATATATTATTAAGTCAAAATGAAAATTTCCCATAAATGGAATGTGATGCTTATAAAAACTGTATGTATTAAAATCTACTTTATACAATTAATTACACAGAAAAACATATATAATCTTAAATACTTGTTAACTTATTTAATACTGCTTTCTACAAGATACACTGCTGTTTTTTTGTTTTTTGTTTTTTTTTCTTTTTTTTTGAGACTGTCTTGCTTTGTCGTCCAGGCTGGAGTGCAGTGGTGCAGTCTCGGTTCACTGCAACCCCCACCTTCCAGGCTCAAGCGATCCTCCCTCGTCAGCCTTCCAAGTACCTGGGAATAAAGTCACGCACCACCACCCCCGGCTATTTTTTTTTTTTTTTTAGTGGAGACAGAGTTTCACCATGTTGCACAGGCTGGTCTCCAACTGCTGACCTCAAGTGATCTGCCCACCTAGGCCTCCCATAGTGCTGGAATTACAGGCGTGAGCCACTGCACCCTGCCTATATCACATGTTGAGTTCCACCACATTTCAGGTCCCTTTACTTCATCATTCCTTCTGTTGGTTTCCTCACCAACGTTTTCCCTTTATATTGCTTCTGGACATATTGTAGAGTGTGTCTTGAAACATATACTGTACAACCCTTTTGCACTCCCCCATACTACTTTCCACTGCTGCATTGCATGATGCTATTAAGTCTCTATCAAACACTGGGCAGCACTTAATCTCATTTTGGCACTTTTGAAATCTCTATTTTATGTTTCCACTGAAGATGATTTTTGCAGTATTTTTTTTTTAATTTCATCCTTTGAATTATTTCCAGGACAAGGGGGAGTTACAGATCTAAGCTTTCTCCAGGTTAATACAGAAAATCTCTGCTTTCAGTATGACAATCAGATTTCAGTAACTGATTTATTTAATTAGAACTTTTCTCCATTCATCGTTTTTTTCTTAAAGAATATTGTTAATTTGTATGATTACTTTGTTTTTTCTATATACTATTCTACATTTAATATTTTATCAGTAATCATTTAAACTTGTTTACTTGTATCCATTTCAAGTTATTTTATTATTTATGTCCTCTGTGTTTCTTTCTGTTTCTCTCTGTTGTGTTTCTCTCTTTTGTGTTTCTTTAAATTTTCCTATCATGCTACGTGATCATTTTTTGTTTTTTTCTTCAATTTTTAAAGTTGAGCACTGCCAGCTAATACTTTCTCTTTTTCTGTTTTTTCACCATCCCTTTTCTGAGCTTTTGTACATGTATCCTCAATAATGCCTCTGATTTTACTTGATAGAAGTAATTGTTTAAATAAGGGGTTTTTTATTTTCAAATCATTTTGAATGATTAGGCACAATTGTCATTTATACTGTTATACCAGTTTTCTGATGAGCATTTTTACCTGCTATACAGGTTTTACTTCTCAGAGTGAGCCCTTTTCCTTGGAGAAATGAAGTTGGTTGACTCTGTTCTGAGACCTTCAATGGTGTTACTTTCTCTCCATGTTTTCCCACAGTCTTCCTGCTTCATTCTTATACTTCAGATAGTCTTTTCCACATTATATTTGTTTTTCAAGTTTTTGTTAATAGTTTTGTTGAAGACAGAGTTTGTCTGTTTCACATTCTCTTTTCTGTTTCTGATTGATTTCCTCAAGGGAATTTGTTATTTCTGCTATATTCAAACTGGTATGCATGCTCTACTAACTTAGACCTGTAAGTGATCATCTTGTGTAGTTACTTACAGTAGTGTTTTTCATTAAATAATGTGATATTTACTATCCTAATGATGTAAATCTATGAAGAACCTTCATCAATTGGACTATCTCATACCCTGTGGAGACATCAGACCCTAATCTCATTTCTATTTTCACATATTGTTAAAACTCTTTAATTTGAAATTTTATTATTTTAAAATAATTTATATTTTATAGTTTTTATTGACATTCTCTAGCCATTCTGGCAATAATTTTTTAAATCATTTTTATGTTGTGTTTTTGCTAATTCCTTCCTCTTCCTGAAACTCATATTGCAATATTGATTTATTTTACTTGATATGATTTGTTAAAGGATGGTGTATTACATTTTCATACTCATAGATCTGAGTGAATCTTCCTGGACCATAGAAATCACTTAACATGTACTCGGTAAACTGATCATGTGTGAAAATTACACTAATTAATTGTTAATATGATATATCAAATAATAGATTATATTTTATGATAAGCTATTAGTTGAGAATTTTTTCAAGATAGTTCTAAAATAATCAGCTTGTACTTTTTTGTCTTTTAGGACAGAGATACTTATAAACTTATTTTAATCTTATTATTTTATCTTATTTTAATCTTACTATTTCTTAATTACTGAATTTGAATATAATATGTATTCTTACCCAAAGTTTTGGCTGATATTATTTAATAGAGTTACCTCATGATACTTTATGTATACTGTCACATTATTCAAATACATCAAAAGTAAATTATAAGTCAAAAAATATTAAACATTTCAAATACATCTCTAGATGCTTTTATGTATTTTATTTTATTCCAACTGACCTTCATTTAATCTCTGATGAAATTAAAATATTTTCATCATAAAACCTACACATAATTATAGAAAATATGGGACTCCTCTGTACTCTAAAATAGAAAATAAAAAATTACAAGTATCATCTATGGCAACCACCCATATATTGCTGGACTTTCTGCCAGTTTTTTCTTCAGATAAAAACCAATTTATTATTTACATAAATAAGAAAATATAAAATTTCACGTTATAATAATTTTTTCCATAGTATAATATTACACAGGAAATGCTCTTCATGAAATAAACTCTTTTGTTAAAACAGAAATTATCTTTGTGCCTTTTAATCTTATGAATATATTATAAAATAAAAAATGCATTATGTTTATTTATTGGATATTTATATAAAATGTTACTTATGCAATCAAAATAATAAAAGATATATATTTAAAGAGATATATTACATTTTAAATTAATTCCCTAATACTATATATATGTTTTTATATATATATATTTATATATAGAGAGAGACACACACACATTATTTGTTGTTTTTCACTATTGGGAAATTATCTATGATGATACTCTCTATATATATTTTCCCCAGTTTATCCTAAGAGGGATTCCTAAAAGAGTAAATTATTGATCAAAGAATATAAACATTTTAAGGAATTTGATATAATTGTATTGAACGAAGACTCAAAATGATTCTTTTAAATATTACTTAATATTTTACCACTTTGATTCTCTGAGGAAACCAGAAACTAAACTATGAAATGTGGTGCTCTTGATGAATGAAACTTTGGCTGCCAGTGTACTTATTTACAAAGCAGTCTTTTCCACAGCAGTTTTACAGACATGCAGTCAGCCACACGTATTTTTGCCTTCAAATAGCTGGTTGAGAATTTCTTTTTTATTTACTTCAGCATAAGCAATTTATAAATTATTATGTCTTCATCAAATAGCTTCACTGTAAAAAATGAAATAAAATCAAATAAACGGTCAAGAAAATAATGTTCATGCTGTTATCCAACTCTTAAGCAAATGGCTACATCTTAATCTTTCAATTTTTCCAAAGTACTCTTTGAACACGCAAAAATTCACTTATTGAATATGTCTGAAAAAGGCATTTTTTGGTCAGATTATTTGCATCTTTTGGAATCAAACTGTGTTCAACCATCACTAGAGTGAGAATTTACCAAAGATTCTCCATTATCAAAAGCTTCACCATATAAAGGGAATCTGAATATGATTACAAAGAAATGGGAAATGTCCAAGCAAATATGTGTGTGTATGTATGTAATATATATAGTATATATGTAATATATATTTATTTGTGTGTGTATATAAAGATATATAGATATATATATATATGTATATATCACTTAATATTTTACCAGTTTGATTCTCTGAGGAAACCAGAAACTAAACTATGAAATGTGGTGCTCTTGATGAATGAAACTTTGGCTGCTGGTGTACTTATTTACAAAGCAGCATGTATATATATGAAGGAGAGACCACAGTGTGAATGTAAAAATGCCACCTCAGTCTCATTGAGGAAGGCCTGTGGGTGACGGAAGAGAGTCATGACTGGCCTTCCTCATGTGCATCGCTCTAATAGGATGAGGAGCCCCTTACTCACCATGCCTATGCCTAGGGTGCCCATCCTCCAATATTCCATTTATTCATCTGTAGCAGGAGCTAGGGCTGCTGCGCCAGCTCCAAGACGAGAACAAATCTGGCTGTGTCAGTCATTTTGTATTTTTCTTCTTCTTTTTTTTTTCCATATTGTCAGAGATGGGACCTAAAGATCCCAATCCCCACCACACCCCCACCTCTTCTGTATGTATAAATTCTTTCATTAGCAGTTGATGCAGGTTGGATAGGTTCAAGTCAAATTGTACTTTGCTCAATTGTCAATTGAGAAACTGTTTCAATAAAGTATTCTTTTCTAAAAAAAAAAAAAGTGTAGATTTTATGCACCATAATAGAGACAAGTCATTCTTGGCTAAGAGCAAGACATTTAAAAATACACTTATAACATATATATATAAATATTTTTATGTACATGAATATAAATATAAAAGTAAATATACATATAAATGTATTTATATGTATATGTTTTATATTATACATATATATTTTAAATTATAAAAATATATGTTTGTATGTCTATAAATATATATTTATAATGTTATATATAAATATATACATAAATATATGTTTTTAAATCTCTTGCTCTTAGCCAAGACTGACTTGTCTCTTTTATGGTACATAAAATCTAAAATTTTGGTTACTCACTTCCAGAAGGATATTTATTGCTCAAATTACTCTTAAAACATCTGTGTTTAGGCTTAGTTGCATGTGCACAATTCTAAAATTTGAATTTTAAATAAGCATAGGTGTGTCAAGCAAGTTTTAGATTGAGTTTTGATGTTTACTACTTATTTTCTAGATCCAGCTGGTGCTAAAACAAATTATGCTGGTAAGAGATATTAGAATAATCACCTTTCACAACAGCAAATATTCCCCTCTCTTTAGTATGATATAGAATTTCCTCCTCTCACAGAGGGAAGATATTTTTAAATAACATACATCACATACACACAAAAATATTTATCTTCTCCCCTAAGATTATCTGACATAGAAAATCAAGATTCAAGATATTTTCTTAAATTATTGAATAAAATCTAGAAGAAAGCACAATATTTCTTCTGTGCCTTCATTATACCTGAAAGCTCATTACTGGTTCTTATCAGGTGTGGGGGAGTGTTATTATGTTATTATATGAGGAAGAGCTATACCTTATATTATGTGGTACCTCATGTTTGATTGAATATTTCCATTGTGTACTCCAATACAATTTCTTTCTAAAATGTAACAGAGGAATTGACATTGTTAGCTGGGTAATCTATAATGTTTATAAATTACAACATTATTATTAATTAAATCTTTATGGCATTATTAACTGTCCATTTAAAAATTTTCTAGTATAAATGAGACTTTTATAATAGAATTTATGTGTTTTATTCTGTAATCTTTTTAAAGAAAGAACAAGGCACTTTAAAAACCTTTGCACATTTGAATTTACATTTTTACAGTTTTGGGGACTTACGTAACTCCAGTTTAGAAAGGTTGGTGCTAAAATCCCAGAACACTTTTCTAGCATACATGAATATTTGAAAGCATGCACAGCATTTAGTTAATTCATTAACCCAGGTCTAGAACCCTGTCCAGCTTTCCATTTGGGGCTGCCCTAGCAGAAATTGGATGTGTCTTCACCATGCCTGGTTATTGGTACAAGCTACTGGCTTTGCTAAAGATACAGGGATCATCTGTGATAACAATTCCTGGCCTTTAGGTCACATGTGAGCCTAAACCGATACTGCCTTTCTTCAGTTCCATGTGTCACAGCATTCTTCTACAAAGCTTCCTGGACGCCACGGAATTTCTAAAATCTGCAGGGTCTACTCAGACTCCAAGCATGTGGAACCAAGAAAGCTGGAATAGGAGCGGGAAAATAACACTATTTAATGTTTTGGAGGCAAACTTAACCCATTTGAAATGAAAGTCTGTAGACAAACAATTCTCCCTTTGTGTTGCCTTTTTATGGTATTTGTACACTCCATAATAGCTTCATAAACCCTCCATAAAAGTCCTCTGTCATGATGCTTTAGCCATCTTGGTAATACACTTCCTCATACTTGTTCTTCCTCCTTCTCTTCCTCCGTTTCCTTTTCCTACACGCTACTTCCCTGGCAATGCACTCTCTGAGCATTTGCTCAGGCTCTGCATTCTAAAAAGCAAAAGTTAAGATAGGGACACAGCAGCAGAATGGAATCAAATGCAGGTACTATTTCTTATCAGTCATCTCAAAGGAATAGTCATAGACTCTAGCAGATTTTGTAAGTGAACAATATATGAGATATTGGTGAGCTTTAAGCAGATAAAATGTTTCTGCCTATTTTAAAAATGTTTCTCTTGTTGGTAGGTGTTGAGGGAGAGATGTTAAATAACAAGTAGAGTGATATGGTTTGGATTTGTGTCCCCACCCAAATCTCATGTAGAATTGGACGAGAGGCCTGGTGAGAGGTGACTGCATCATGGGGGCAGATTTCTCCCTTGCTGTTCTCAGGACAATGAGTGAGTTCTCACAAGATCTGATGGTTTAAAAGTGTGTGGCACTTCCTGTTTTGCTCTCTTTCCTGCCACCATAGGAAGAATGTGATTGCTTCCCCTTCACCTTCTGTCATGAGGCCTTCCAGTCATGTTTCCTGTTAAGTCTATGAAACTGTGAGTCAGTTAAATTTGTTTTCTTCATAAATCACCCAGTTTCAGGTATTTCTTTATAGTATGTGGGAATTGACTAACACAGAAAATTGGTACCAGGAGTAGGGTACTGCTGTAAAGATACCTGAAAATGTGGAAGCAACTATGGAACTCGGTAACAAGCAGAGTTTGGGACATTTTGGAGGGCTCAGAAGAAGACAGGAAGATGTGGGAAAGTTTGGAAATTCCTTGAGACTTGTTGAATGGTTTTGACCAAAATGCTGATAATGAAATGGACAATGAAGTGCAGGTGGAGGAGTTCTCAGATGGACATAAGGAACTTATTGGGAACTTGAGCAAAGGTCACTCTTGCTATGCCTTAGCAAAGAGACTGGGAGGTAACATTGTTCCCCTACTCTAGAGATCTGTGGAACTTTGAACTTGAGAGAGATGATTTAGGGTATCTGCTAAAAGAAATAATCTAAGCAGTAAAGTGCTCAAGGTGTGGCATGGCTGCTTCTAAAAGCCTATGGTCATTGCATAAACGAGGAGAACTTATATTTAAAAGGGAAGCAGAGCATAAAAGTTTGGAAAATTGGTAGCCTGACCACGTGTTAGAAAAGAAAAACCCATTTTCTGGGGAGAAATACAAGCTGCAAAAATGTGCATAAGAAGAGCCAAATGTTAATCACCAAGACAATGGGGAAAATGTCACCAGAATATTTCAGAGAGTTTTGTGGCACCTCCTCCCATCACAAGCCTGGAGGCATAGGAGAGAAAAATGGTTTCCAGGGCCCCACTGCTCTGTGCAGCCTTGGGACATGGCACCCTGTGTCCCAGCCACTCCAGCTCCAGCCATGGCTAAAAGGGGCCAAGGTACAGCACAGGCCATGGCTTCCAATGGTGCAAGCTCCAAGCCTTGATGGCTTCCCTGTGGTTTTGGGCCTGGGGGTGTGTAGAAGGCAAGAGTTAAGATTTGGAAAACTTCACCTAGATTTCAGAGAACGTACGGAAATGCTGGGATGTTCAGGCAGAAGTCTGTTGCAGGGACGGAGCCCTCATGGAGAACCTCTACTAGTGCAGCATAAAGGAGAAATTTAGGGTTAGAGCCCATACACAGAGTTTTTACTGGGGCACTGCCTAGTGGAGCTGTGAAAAGAGGGCCACCATCCTCCAGACCACAGAATGGTAGATCTGTCAACCGCTTTCACCATGCACCTAAAAAAGCTGCAGTCACTCAATGCCAGCCCATGAAAGCAGCCAAAGGGGCTGTGCCCTGCAGAGCTACAGGAATGGAGCTGTCCAAGGCCTCAGGAGCCCACCCTTTGCATCAGTGTGCCCTGGATATGAGACATCGAGTCAAAGGAGATTATTTGGGAGGTTTAAGATTTAATGAGTGCCCTGCTGAATTTCAGACTTGCATGGGGACAGTAACCCCTTTGTTTTGGCCAATTTCTCCCATTTGAAATGGGAGCTTTTACCAAATGCCTGTACCCCATTATATCTTGGAAGAAACTAACTTGTTTTTGATTTTACAGGCTTATTGGTGGAAGGGACTTTCCTTTGTCTCAGATGAGACTTTGGACTGTGGGCTTTTGAGTTCATGCAGAAATAAGTTAAGACTGAGGGTCTGATGAGAAGGGATAATTGTATTTTGTAATGTGAGAAGGATATGATCTTTGAGAGGGACCAGGGGTAGAATTATATGGTTTGAATTTGTGTCCCCACCCAAATTTCATGTCTAATTGGCCAGGTGGGAGGTGATTGGATCATGAGGGCCGATTGCTTTGTTGCTGTTCCCATGATAGTGAGTAAGTTCTCATGAGATCTGGTGGTTTAAAAGTGGTGGCACTTCCTCCTTTGTTCTCTCTCTCCTGCCACCATGGGAAGAAGGTGCTTACTTCACCTTCACCTTCCATCATAATTGTAAGTTTCCTCCCAGTCATGCTTTCTGTTAAGCCTTGTGGAATTGCGAGTCAATCAAACTTCTTTTCTTCATCAATTATCCAGTCTCAGGTAGTCCTTTACAGAACATGTGAAAACAAACTAAAACATAGAATTTACTATGAAAGGCTGCCAAATGTACCCTTATAGAATACTAGTTAGTTATTAAAAATTTGCAAGGCAGTAGGTTTCTAAAATATTTTTAAAACAAATATCCAAATATAAATTTACTCATGAGTTTGCCATATATTTAATAAGTACCTGCTGCATGCCTACTACATATTATATGATCTAGGGCACCAATGAAAAAGGGAAAAATCTTTGTTTTTTTTATATATCAACCATTCTAACACGAAGAGAAAAAAAACATGAAATACAGTTAATAAGTGATATGAAGGTAAATAAAGAAGGAGAAGGAGGTTAGAGGAAAGGAGAAAAGAAAAGCAAGGTCTTGCTGGTGAGGAAATATTTGAGGACAGAGACCTCAGGACTTCCCTGAGAGACCCTCTGTCTTCAAGTTGCCTAACAGATCTGTTAGAGGAGACAATGATGTACCTGTACCTGATAAGAACAGTAATGCAATTCACAAGAATTCATACCATGCTGGAGACCTCCAAAAAGAAGTTAGAGGAAACCAGATGGGTAGGAAGGTTTGATGACTCTTCTCTTCTCCTGACAACAATAAAATGAACACAGTCATGACCACTGTTAATCACTCTCCATGCATTTGGGTCATTGAACCTTCCCTAAAACCCTTTGTGGTAGTTACTATTATTGTCACAATTCTGCTGAGGAGGAAAAAGAGGTTTTAATACCTTAAGGTAACTATCTTAAAGCCAAAGATAACCTTCACAGAAAGAAACCTGAATTTTGAACCAAGACTATCTGAGTACAGAGGCCCAGACCTACCCATTATCTTATGCTGCGTAAGGCAATTTATGTTTAGAAAACCAGTGAATAAAACCCTCTTGCAATTTAAAAGGCAAATAAATAAAATTAGTGAGAAAGCAAGAAATTATCTCAGTTTTAGTCTGAGATTTCAGATAAGGCCTAGGGAAAAGGAAAGTGAAATAAGTTTTAACATTACAGATTGAATAAAATAAACATTAACTGCTCACTTCAATCAAAACTGGTGCATTTTAAAATTATTGTGTTGGGTCTTCAAATCCTAATTACTTTCTATATTCTTTTTTCATTTCGGGGTTTTGCTCTAGCAACAATCTTAAAGTGAAAAATATCTGTTATGTTTTTAATGGAAATGGGTCATTAATTAAAGCAACACTTCTTTAAGCAAACATCAACAAAGTTTGATCTATATTTTGTATTTTTCTTTACTTATAAAATATTACTTTTCCCATTTAACATAATAAAGGTTTGAAAAGAAATTATTCTAAATAAAAACAGGATTAGAAGATTGCTTTTAAAACCTTAGTTTTCAAAGCAAAAAAAAGTTTGTATTTGAAAACCTACCACTAAAATAATATCCAGAGTCAGTTATAAAAGCTTTGATGAATATTAAGTGTGACTCTCATTTCTTACATTTACATGAAGCTTTGTGCAAAAAGCAGATTTTTTAAACTTTCTGAAAAGCATAATTATATTGAATATTTGAAAGATAATACTTATTTTTGTCAATTGTTAAACTGAATTGAGGCAGATAAACCTTGATTAACCTCTGTGTAGCAGTTTCTTTGAGTTAGCAGGTCAGCTATTTTTCTCATTAATGGCATTCTAATTCAAATGAAATTAAAATTGAATACACTACTGAAAACATGTGCATTAGGCAAAGAAGACAGAATCTTTTTCTGATATTCTCTAAATAAAATTTCCTCCAGGAAAAGGAAAAAAATATTTGTAATTCGCTCTCTTTCTCACTTATTCTGACATGGACAAGCATACTGAAGATAATTTTGCATGACATTTCTCTAAATGAAACTGCAAATATTCTGTTTTATCATTAGGCCAGAAAATTCTGATCTTTTGTTATTTCCACGGGAAATTGAGAAAGGCAGAGAGAAATAACTTAGAGTATTTTAATGTTTCTGTTTTTCCCCTAAATTTAAATAAATTACTCTCCAGAAGCTTTAAGGAAGTCTGTTTATTTTAAAAGTAAAGAGTCAAATATCTAAATTAAAAATTATAATTCAAGTGAGCCTACAAATTATTCCAACTGAATTTGACAAAAGATTCTTTTCATAAAGTAATATTACCATTATTCAAGGAGATTTTCAACAACCAAAATATTTAAAAATGTAACTTTTATTCTTATATAGCATTTGACATTCTATTATAAATCAAGAGCCAAGAATATATATGAACTTTCTCAGAGAAGTGAATGCACCTTCAGATTTCACTAGAAAACCTACATAAAATCACATAGTAAATTCAAGACATTTGGCATCCTTTATAAATGGGTAAATAATTTCAAGTCTTTAAAGGAAACTGGAAAGAATTAGAAATTGCTGTTTATAATCCAAATACTAGTCAATCACAGCAATTTAAATTATGTTTAGAGCACCAAATATTAATAATAAATTTTTACAAAAAGATCATAAAAGATACAAATCTCTATTCTGTAGAAAATCAATAGTTTTTGCAAATGGTACCAAATAACTAAAATACTTATACATATATGAATCTATATTCTAGACAAAATATTTATTAACATTTGTTAGTTTATCTTATATGGATTTTGGTGACATGAGTTTGGTTTTTCACTGCCCTATGAGTTCATGCAGAATAACTTTAATTAGTGTTAGTTTATGACCAAAGCTTCCTTGAACTTCGTGAAAATGCATTAAATTTTTAAATGTTCCCTCAGATATTAGGAGTTTTATGTGGAAGACTAAAATTTTCTATCTCAACTCAATCTGATAATATACATAGACTCAGCCAGCATATATTATTTTGTTTAAATTTAAAATTTACTCTGGGGCTGCTGTGGTTTTTATAGTAAATGAAATTATAAAAGTGTAGTGATATGTGAGATAATGGAATTTAAAATCTAGTCCTTTGTGATAGAGAGACAAACAAGTTGTTCCCAAGCTTTACGTTTATTTCCTGTCCCTAGAATTATGTATGATTTATTATTCATAAAAATTGCTTTAAAGAAGAATAAGAATGCCTATGATGTGATCATCATGTCTCTCTGGGATAGTTATAAGAGTACCGTACATTTTATTTACTGGGGTTGTACAGCAAAAGGGTACTTAGAAATCTCATCTCTCCTTGGAGCTGAAGGAATAGTGCATGTGCATAAAACAATATTTACTACAGTGCTAGGAGGTATATAAATATTACTGCTAGGATGGCTGATTAGGTTGTCTCACTGCACTTTCCGTGGCTTTATGTATTTGTGTTTGATGCTATTTTTTGCTTGCTTCATTTTGGCTTTTGATTTCACCAACCTCAGCGACTTTCCATATTATGACAGCTGTACATTAAAGGTTACCTTAGTGATATGAGAAAGTTAATTTGATTGCAACTGTGTTTAAATTATTTCCAGAGAATAAATGTAGGTTTGTGAAGAGTAAATCCAACTTTGGAGACACTACCATCTAAGGTATGGGGTAAAATTTTCAACTCTTGAAAAGTAATGAGCAATGGGATATGACCTTGCGAAAAATGAACAAGGAAGATTTTCCAATTCCAAGTTCCCTTCACACTGACCTATTACTCTAGTTTGAAATGACGCTCTTATAGAACTCATTCCCCATGAATGAAAGAATTATCCCCTATTAAAATGTAAATGCCCCGGAAAAGACAGAACAAGAATCAATCAATCATTTATACCTTAATGAGAAGAAGTCACTCAAACCGTCCCAACATTATAGTCATTTGAAATTGAACATTGATAGGATGGAGATGAGACAGAAATACTTTGGGAATCAGGAGTAGGAAGGAGGAAAAACTAAAAGGGAAATGAGAAAGTTTTGGGAATAAATTTTGTACGATTTCAATGTTACAGACGTTGAATCACAGGTGACAATTACTGGAGATGGTGAGTCTGAGTTCACAAAAAGACTGTGCTATTACAAAGTCTTGAATTTGAGAAAAAGAAATAATAATTACTTTTCATCATTATTATTTTCTCCTCTTCCTTGCCTAGAAAAAAAATACTTAATAAAAAGAGTGCTGATGTTTCCTCTCAATAATGGGAAAGGGAGATGGTTAATATTGAGTCTCAGCTTGATTGGAATGAAGGATGCAAAGTATTTTTCCTGGGTGTGTCTGTGAGGGTGTTGCCAAAGAAGATTAACATTTGAGTCAGTGGACTGGGAAAGGCAGGCCCACCCTTTCTCTGGGTGGGCACAATCTAATCAGCTGCCACTGTGACCAGAAAAAGGAGCAGGCAGAAGCACGTGGAAAGACTAGACTGGCTGAGTCTTCTGGCCTCCATCTTTCCCCTGTGCCGGATGCTACCTGCCCTGCAACATCAAACTCCAAGTCCTTCAGCTTTGGAACTCTTGGACCTTTGGCCTCAGACTGAAGGTTGCACTGTCGGCTTCCTTATTTTCGAGGTTTTGGAACTGGGACTGGCTTCCTTGCTCCTCAGTTTACAGATGGCCTATTGTGGAACCTCAACTTGTGATCACGTGAGTCAGTACTCATTAACAAACACCTCTTTATATGTATGTCTATCCTATTACTTCTGTCCCCCTAGAGAACCCTAAATAATACAGAAGTGATCTGTATTTATGCAGTAAGTTTAGTTGTACCTGCTTTAAGAATATAAACATAAATGTAAATACATGTATTTTGAATTTGTCAGACTAACTCAGAAGGAAATAAAAATAGCCTTCACTTTTGAAAAGTGTTTTTTACATTGTGTAAAATTATTCTTTAGATAATGTAAAATGTCTGTGATTTACCATTGTTTGGTTCAAACAACTCTTTGGGAAAATGTCTATTTTGCAAGGCAACATAACTTCTAAATCTGCATTTAGACTTCCTTACACAAATTGAATAAGATAATGTGTTTTGCATAGCAATTAATCTATTTTAGCTATCACTGTCACGTTCATCATTATTTGTGTGTTTGTGTGTGTGTGTGTATATATGTATTTGTCCTGTTATTCAAGACAGAGTCATACATGAGCAAACAGGTGATTATCCAGCTTGAAGGGTAATCTTGAAGGGCCTTTTAGAAGAATCAGCTCGTTCACAATAATCTGTTGTCTTCCTATAAAATGTTGAAAGGTAAACCAACAATTATATTTTGGTTATTAAGTATATGTAATACATAATATGTAAAACATTATGTATTGTATATATTACATATAAATATATATAAAATCCATCCATACATAACTATACATACAGACATTATGCATATATCATTGGACTAATACCAGTTATACAAATTATTTAAAAATGAGTACGTATCATATGAGAATAGCTTAATCTATTGTTAAAAAATCTATCATAGGTGAGGCATCACTAATATGAATTTAATGTCAGAGCATGATAAAAATCATCTACTGATTTAACTTGAGGAAATTTGATTTGCTTGTTTTTCTCTCGCAAATAATTTTTTAAAAATTATAACTAGTGTGACTTCCAGGATGGCAATATACAGTATCTGGCTCACATACCTTAATGATGAAGAGTAAGATCTTATCTCTCTCTTGTTATATCTGAAAAGGCTATTTTCAAATACATTTTTCAGACTAAAGACAGCCATTTGTTAACTCCACTTAGAATTATTTTTATAGATACTGTTATATTATAATCTCATAATTAGCCATTTGTTGACATGTTAGTGAACATTGTGTTATTTTTATTCATTGTACATGTCTGATTATAAATGTATAAGATGATAGGGCTCCTAGGCTAAATTAATTGTATTTATTTGTTGGTAAGAAATCAATTATAATTCTCACGTTATTTTTTAAGTATATATTTAAAATAAAAACCTTATTGGCTAGATCTAAAACATCAAATCAGATTTAAATTAAAAATATAGAGAAGATAATACATTATAGAGTCACACTCTTCTGTTTCTATTTGTAATTTATCATTTATTGCTTTATGCCTTTACTCTGAAACACAAAAATAATATCATGAATTTATAGTTTTATTACAGTTGACATTTTATTTAACCTTAAATCTGAAAAATTCTTCTCTGAAAAATTTTTGCTGATCTACTTATATAATTTTCTACTTTATCTTTAATAAAGTTATAATTTTGTTACTGAAAAAAATCAAAAGAAAACCTGAACAAATTGCAACTGTCCAAATTTTATAAAATTTTTCTTTTTACAACAGTCAGCATCAAAACTCTGAAGTAAATTGCCTTTGAATACTTCTGTACCAGATGTCAGCCATCTTGCTTATCACTGAACAAGCCACATTTGAACTAAACAGCTCAGTATCGCATTGAGGGATGTGGTGGCTGATTGAACACAGGTGTAATAGTTGATATACTGTCACACAGTCTGACGTTAACCTAAGATCTTTGTTGAAATAGTTATTACTGATGGCACGAAATGTAATTGCTAATTTTCTGCCTGAGTTGTTACATATTTTCTCTAAATCTTGAGAGTTATTCATCCTTTTTCCACTGCCCATTCCTCAGACTTCAAGGCAGATGTGTCAGTGGCCCATGGACCAGTAATTGAACCTGTCACTTGCAATCTACAGACTTCATTCTTCAGAAATGTGACTACTGCTTTATTCACTCTCCTGCTTATTTTTCTCTGGGTATCAAATGCCCTACTTGAACAAAGCTAACTAATATTCATTGTTTACCTTTAAGGAGTTCTTTCATCACAAAGCAAATGAACTGGGGGTGAGTCAAGTCTGATTATTTTTTAGTATTTCTCATGGATTCTGGTTTTCAAATGAATTGGTTCTCTAGGAGCGTAATTATACTAAATCAATCAATTGCATTGTGGGTGTAGAAAGTGTGGAGGTTTAGTGGAGAAAGGGTTGGGAGGTTGGGATAGATTTGCTATTTTTTGTATGAATGTAAACCTTCTTAGAATGACTTAACATAACTCAAGCTGCTCATACACCTTTCCTGAATTTCACTGAGTAGCACTGCATACTAGTGCTTAGTGTCCAATGATCAACCAGTGCTTAGTAGTTTTGCTAATAAATATGTTGCAATAGATTAAGTTCCAATGAACTTTTTACCCCCAATTTTTATTTTTACTGACATAATCCAATTAAGTTATAGTACACATTAAAAATCAAGGTGCTAATATACCCCAAATTTGGAGGATTTTTTAATAAAATTATTTTAATTTTGTATTTTGCCAAAACCCTTTCAAAGTTAACCAAGTCTCCAAGAAACTATATAGTTTATTATTGTGATATTAATTTTATTTGCAAAAGATAAGAAAATTATTTCTACAACTGTACTCAACTAATAAATAGATGGGACTATAGAACTATTGGTTGAAATTTAAGATGGTGGAGCATGTGTCTTTCGGTGAAAAAAAGATGACAAAATTAATCATTTTGGCTTAGTGGAAAAATTAAAGCCCTGCTTTAAAATTCTGCCCCAAGGCAGATCTTGTGATCTAAGACAGGTCATCTGCATCTCAGTGTTTTTATCTTCAAGAGGGGAACAATAACCCCTGATTTACTCGTTGATATCAGTATTGCAGATATGTAGAAAAATCACCTTGGGCAACATCTGGCATATAACAGAGACTTGATGCTTGGTACCTATTGTAGAAAGACCTTGTATTAGTCCATTCTCACACTGCTGATAAAGACATACCCAAGCCTGGGCAATTTACGAAAGAAAGAGTTTTAATGGACTTACAGTCCCACGTGGCTGAGGAGGCCTCACAATCATAGCAGAAGGTGAAAGTCATGTCTCACATGGTGGCTGACAAGAGGAGAGAGCTTGTGCAGGGAAACTCCCATTTATAAAACCATCAGATCTCAGAAGTCTTATTCACTATCACAAGAACAGAACAGGAAAGATCTGCCCCCATGATTCAATTACCTCCCACAACACATGGGAATTCAAGATGAGATTTAGGTGAGGACACAGCCAACCATATCATTCTGTCCCTGGCCCCTCCCAAATCTTATGTCCTCACATTTCAAAACCAACCTTGCCTTCCCAACAGTCCCCCAAAGGCTTCACTCATTTCAGCATTAACTCAAAAGTCCACAGTCCAAAATCTCAGTCTCAGTCCATCTGAGACAAGGCAAGTCCCTTCTGGCCATGAGCCTATAAAATCAAAAGCAAGTTATCTGTACCCTAGATGCAATGGGGGTACAGGCCCCCATTTACAGGTAAATACAGCCATTCCAAATGGGAGAAATCGGCCAAAACAAAGGGTCTACAAGCCCCATGCAAGTCTGAAATCCAGCAGGGCAGTCAAATCTTAAAGCTCTAAAATGATCTCCTTTGACTCTATATTTCACATCCAGGTTACACTGATGCAAGAGGTGGATTTCCATGGCCTGGGGCAGCTCTGCCCTCGTGGCATTGCAGGTTATAGCCTCCCTCCTGACTACTTTCACAGGCTGGTGTTGAGTGTCTGTGGCTTTTCCAGGAACATGGTGCAAGCTGTCAGTGGATCCACCATTCTGGTGTCTAGAGGATGGTGGCCCTCTTCTCACAGCTCCACTAGGCAGAGCCCCAGTAGGGACTCTATGTGAGGGCTCTGATCCCATGTTTCCTTTCTGCACTGCCCTAGCAGAGGTTCTCCATGAGAGCCCCACCCATGCAGCAAACTTCTGCCTAGGCATCCGGGTATTTCTACACATCCTCTGAGATCAAGGCAGAGGTTCCCAAAACTCAATTCTTGACTTCTGTGTACCTGCAGGCTCAACACCACGTGGAAGTTGCCAGGGCTTGGGGCTTCCATCTTCTGAAGCAACAGCCTGAGCTGTACCTTGGCTCCTTTTAGTCATGGCTGGAGCAGCTGAGTTGCAAGGCACCAAGTCCCTACACTGCACACAGCAGAGGGACCCTGGGCCCGGCCCACAAAATAATTTTTTCCTCCAAAACCTCTGGAGATGTGATGGGAAGGGCTGCCACAAAGGTCTCTAACATGCCCTCGTGACATTTTTCCCATTGACTAGGTGATTAACATTTGGCTTCTCATTTTTAATGCAAATTTCTGCAGCCAGCTTGAATTTCTCCTCAGAAAATGGGGTTTTCCTTTCCATGGCATTGTCAGGCTGTAAATTTTCCAAACTTTTATGCTCTGTTTCCTTTATAAAACTGAATGCCTTAACAGCACCCAAGTCATATCTTGTGTGCTTTGCTGCTTAGAAATTTCTTCTTCCCAATACCCTACATCATCTCTCTCATGTTCAAAATTCCACACATCTTTAGGGCAGGGACAAAATGCCTCCAGTCTCTTTGTTAAAACATAACAAGTGTCACCTTTACTCCAGTTCCCAAGTAGTTCCTCCTCTCCATCTGAGACCACCTCAGCCTTGATTTCATTGTCCATATCATTATAAACATTTTGGTCAAAGCCATTCAAAAAGTCTCTAGGAAGTTCCACACTTTCCCACGTTTTTCTGTCTTCTTCTGAGCCCTCCAAACTGTTCCAACCTCTGCCTATTACCCAGTTCCAAAATTGCTTCCAAATTTTCAGGTGCAGTGCCCCACTCTACCAGTACTAATTAGTCCATTTTCATGCTGCTGATAAAGACATCCCCGAAACCGGGCTATGTACAAAAGCAAAAGGTTTAATGGACTTACAGTTCCACATGGCTGGGGAGGCCTCACAATCATGGCAGAATGTGGAAGGCCTGTCTCACATGGCAGCTGACAAGAGAAGAGAGCTTGTTCAGGGATACTTCCTTGTTTTAAACCATCAGATCTCATGAGACTTATTCACTATCAAGAGAGTAGCACAGGAAAGACCTGCCCCCATGATTCAATTACCTTCCGCTAAGTCTCTCCCATAGCACATGGGAATTCAAGATGAGATTTGGGTGGGGACACAGCCAAACCATATCAGATCTATTATGGATCCTGAAGTTCTAATAATAATGAGACAATTTACCAATGGAAGAGTCAGCTAGCCACATTAGGATCTGGAGAGAATGTTTTCAAGTTTAGGTGAACACAGAAATACAGACTTCTGAGGTTTAAATCTGATTGAGGAAAGGAAAAACCAGGTATGCTGCTGCTTCTAGGTGCAGTTGTCTGGGGTCTCATTAACAGTGGAGGGAGGTACTGTGCATATACATCAGAGCTGCACTAAAATGCAATGTTTTGTGCATATGTTGCTATGCTCATAGACTGATTTATACAGATACTGCATTATAAACTAGAGTTATTATATGGTGCCACACTAAAAGGGAAAGTAGTATGCCTTAAGTTATATTCCACTTTAGTATTTCGAAGTGATATATTTATAAGGTAAAATTTCTAAGTTTAAAACTATAATTACTGTATGTTTTATTTACATATGATTTATGAACCACTTTTTTCTGGCCTCCATATGTTCATTTCTGGGTTGTAGAAGCAAAAGATGTACAATGAATGTAAACTTTGAGAAGAGATGAATATTAGGGAACTGAATCTGAGGAATGGAATCTCAAGATTAAGAAGTAGGAATAATGAGCATTTGGAATAGATAAGTCACAGGGCACACTATAGGACCAGGGGTGTGATATAGTTGTTTGTTTATTTATTTTAATGCTGTCTTGACCCAGTTTCGAGGCATGGTTAGAAACTGGTCTGTTCTCATTTTTCAGCAGCTGATTAAGTCCACACCCCAACCACTTCTTCATCAGACTTTCACACCCTTAGACCTATCTGTAACCTGCCCTAATTTTCCTGAGGGCCAAGTATCAGAGAACTTGGTCCCGGATATTCAAATTAGCCAACCTGCAAGAAATGCACCAAAGCTAGCCAAACTTTCCACTTGTCATACAAAAGCTGCCTGGTACCTCTCCATCTTGCTGTTATCTTGGCCCCTGGTTGCAATTTTCTCTGTGGCCTCACCTGGTAGAGTTTTGTAATTTGAAGCTGGGAAGTTATTGTATTTTTGTATATATTTAAGGTTTACTGAATGATACCTTGATTTATAAGTCTGGAGATCTATTTGGAGCTTTGCTTTTCATCTATCCAAATGTCATTGTGTTGTGTCCTGCCCCTAAAAGGATTTTTAAATCGTATAATTCCAGGTAATCATCCAGGAGATAACAGATACCAAAGGTCAAGATACCAAAAATCCATCAGTTAAATCAAAAGCAAAGGAAAACAGTTTCCAGAGTTTGGTTTCCAGGAGAAAGTTACGGTCTTACTTATGTAGATCATACCACAATGTCTTATTTCTATGCTCAGTAGAGTAACACATGACTGGCATTGCCACATGCATTTTTACCACAGCTCAGAAACTACCAACCTTATCTTCCCATTTGGTAAAGGCAAAACAAGCATCATTCTTTTTTTTCTCCTTAAGATTATACTTAATATACAATAAACTGTGCATATATAAAGTGAACCATTTAGCAAGTGTTGACACGTGAATATACTTGAAAAACCATCACTGGAATCAGATAAACACATATATCACTCCCACAGTCTCCATCTGCCCTTTCATAATGACCTTCTCCAACCCTCCCCACTCCTCTCCCTCAACCTTTGCTTTCTGTCTCTAGTCAACTATTGATCTGTTTCCTGTCATTATAAATTACTTTGCTTTTTCCAGAATTTTATGTAAATCGAATCACGCAGTAAGCACTGTTTTATGTCAAGGCTTCTTTTATTATTTTGAAACTTAGCTCTATTGTTACATATATCAATGGTTCATTTTTTATAAGTAATATTAAATTATGTGAATATGGCACAATTTTTTGATGAATATTTGGTTTGCTTCCATTTTAGGACTATTACCAAAAAAACAGCTATGAACATTTGTATGCATGTCTTTGTATGAACATAAAGTTTTATCCATTCATTTTCTGGAGTAATACCTAAGAGTGTAATAGTTGCATCATATGGAAGAACCTCTGACGGGCCTGCTGGTGGGAATGTAAAACATCAGAACACTTTGGAAACCAGTTTTGTAGTTTCTTAAAGGCTTAAATATACAGCTTCCATATGATCCAACTACTTCACTCTTAGGTATTATTCCAGAAAATGAATGGATAAAACTTTATGTCCATACAAAGACATGCATACAAATGTTCAAAGCTGTTTTTTTGGTAATAGTCATAAAATGGAAACAACCCAAATATTTATCAGCAAATTGTGCTATGTTCACATAATATAATATTACTTATAAAACAGTGAACTCTTGATATATGCAACAATACAGCTAGTCAAAATAATAAAAAATGCCTGACATAAAAGAGTGCTTACTGCATGATTCCAATTACTTAAAAATCTAGAAAATGGAAAGTAATTTATAATGACAGGAAGCAGATCAATAGCTGACTAGAGACAGGGAGTGAAGGTTGGGGGAGAAGACTTGGGGAAGGTAGAAGGTCACTATGAAGGGGCAGATGGAGACTTGTGAGAGTGACAGATATGTTTGTTATCTGATTCCAGTGATGGTTTTGCAACTATATTTATATGTCAACGCTTGTGAAATGGTGCAATTTATATATGCACAGTTTATTGTATATTAAGTACACAAGGTTCTGTTCCTCTGTGTCCTTGCTAGCACTTGATATTGTCAGGCTTTTTAATGTTAATCAATTTTATAAATATGTAGTGGTATCTCATTGTTGCAGGACATGTCCTTAGTTCTGCTAAACACAGTGTTCTTGTCCATTCCACGGCCAAAAAATTTAGGCTCGCAGACAGTTTAAAGGGTAATGAAGCAGGGTTTCATTGGGTGAAAAGGTAAAAAAAGCAGGGGGGGAACAGGGATGGTCCACAAGGCCAGAGTCCCCTGCTAGAGCACTTCCCACCTGCCACTGGAATCCCAGGTTCCTGACGGGAAGAGGAGGGGCCAGGCTCCTCCCTGCTGTAAACTGGAGAACTTCCCAAGGCTCCGCCCCAGTGTACATTCCTCCCAGGGCCCAGGCTGATTGGTGAGTCTCTGGGGACCCCCCCTCCCACGTGGCTGTCTCATCATCATGATTTTATACTTTTCTAATAACTAATGATATTTGGCATCTTTTTATGTGCATATTTATGATTCATGCATTTTCTATATTTAAGTAACTAAACTCTTTAATACATGGATTAATTTAAATTATATTTACTTTTATTTATTCACTTGAATAAACAAAAATTTTTTTTTTCTTTGGAGACAGGATCTCCCTCTGTTTCTCAGGCCTGAATGCAGTGGGGTGAGCATGACTTGGGTGATCCTCCTGTCTTAGCCTTCTAAGTAGCTGGAACTGCAAGTGCATGACACCGTGTCTAGATACTTTTTCATATTATTTATAGAAATGAGCTTTCTCCATGTTGCCCAAGCTGGTTTTGAACTCCTGGATTCAATCCTCATCCTCCCAAAGTGCTGAAATAATAGGCATGAACCACCGTGCCCGGCCTTGTTTTTTTTGAGACAGAGTCTCACTCTGTCACCCAGACTGGAGTGCAATGGCACAATCTTGTCTCACTGCAATTCCTGCCTACTGGGTTCCAGTGATTCTCATGTCTCAGCCTCCCAAGTAACTGGGGTTACAGAGGTGTGCCACCACACCGGGCTAAATTTGTATTTTTAGTAAAGATGGGGTTTCACCATGTTGGCCAGGCTGGTCTGGAATCCCTGACCTCAAGTGATCCGCCTGCCTCAGCCTCCCAAAGTTCTGGGATTACAAGCATGAGCCACCATGCCCGCCGGTCTTTTCTTATTAAGTTTTGACTGTTAAGTATTTCAACACAAGTTCCTTATCAAATATATAATTTTCAAGTGGTTTTCTTTTCATTATTTCAGTAGTATTTTGGTGCTTTCTTTTTTTAAGATTTGAGGTCTCACTACGTTGCCCAACCTAAAGTGCAGTGGCTTTTCACAGGCATAATCACAGCAAACCACACTGGAATTTCTGGCTCAAGTGATCCTACAGCCTCTGCCTCCCAAATAGCTGGGACGACAGTCATGCACCACCCTGCTGGCTCTCAGTGGTGTCTTTTGAAGACAACACATTTCAAATTTTGGTTAAGTCTGGAAAAAATTTTATTCCTCTATTTGTGTATCCCAAATATATCTCAAAGGTGTCCATTTCTTTGTATTTTTTGTTATTACCAGTTTTGTCCTACCATCTCTCGTTTCTTCTCTCTGCTGCTTCAATAACCCAAGTCTATGCTTCCACCTCTCACCCCTTTCCATGAACACAATTCTTTATCTAGCAACTTAAAAATATAACACATACATTGAAATTTTCTTCTTAAATTTTCGATGGTTTCCCATTGGATTTGTAAAAACACCAACTCATTTTATGTACCCTATAATGAATGTTTGTCATGGTCTGGCACTTGCCTTTCACATATAATTTTGTACCACTTTCTCTCTTGATTATTATATTTCACCTATGTCATCCTCCTTTCTATCTTTGTTACCAGTCGAATTTCTACTTTAGGACTATTATTCTTATGTTATTATTTGCCTGGGTTGTTTGTTTGACTATTTGATTTATCTGTTATCCCTGACTGCAGAATGAAAGCTTCCTGGTAGCCTGCTTCTTTATTTCTAAACTTCCTAAACTCAGAAGTAGAATAAAGTGAGTATTCTTAAACAGTACCTGAAAAACTGTACAGTGAGCAAATAAATTTTGACAATTTTATAGGTCATTAAGCCAGAGTTTAGTTTAACCTAATAATTTAATTTTCTATTATTTTTATCAATATTCGCTTTATGGGATGAAGGCATCATTCTCAGCAACAACAAATACATATTGAATAAATGAGATTGGGAGCAATATCATAGTTTAAACTAGCAAATTGATGAAAAACATAAATATCAAGACATAAAGATGAGCAATGATGCAACTAAAATATGAATCAGATACTGAGCCAAATCATGTCTTCACTCTAGGTTACTGAAAGACATTCTAAGAGTAAACACTGACCTTATCAAAAGATAAGCAGTCTGGTTAGTGTTCATGGAGTGAGCAGAAACACGAATGGGTTAAATGATAACTCAGAAATAGTTGCTGAACAAATGTCCTAACATCTAGTTTAGTCCTAACATCTAGTTTATTCCAGAATGCCATATGAAAGGAAAATGGGTGAGTGTGAAGCTTGTAACCTTGTGCTTAAACTTTCTTATAGCTTTGTGTCATTTTCTGCCTTTGACTATCCAGTGACTCACACCCGTAGGCTGAGGTGGGAAGATCCCTTGACCCCAGGAGTTCAAGACCAGCCTGGGCAATACAGTGAAACCTTGTCTCAGAAAATAAACACACAAACAAACCAAAACAACAACAACAACAACAAACTAGAATTCCTATTATAAGCTACAGAAAAAAAGTTTTTAGATATGAAAGACCTCCTCCATACCCCTTCAATGTGCCTTCATTACATTCTTGATATTTAAATAGGTCTATCACTAGCTGAAAACAACTAAAGAAACATCCTATTGCTATGTGGTAGAGATCCTCAGGATGGTTTTTTGTTGGTTTATTTGTTGGTTTGTTTTTTGCTAAAAAAATTTTTTTTAGAATGTTAGTTTACTAAAAGTAAATTTTCTTCAAACACATGTCCTTGCTAAGTTTGTGTCACACATCCTTAATTTTGTTAGGCAGGTTATCCAACATCCTTAGTTGTCTAGATACTGCTATTGCAGAACAAAGTAAGGAGCTGATCAAGCCCCATGTGACCTTTGCTCTATTCTTGTAAAATGTCTCCATAATAGTGACAATTTACTTCCAGTTATTTTGGAGCCCTGCTTTGAATTCCTATTCTGACAAAATTATTTAAAGTAACAGTACATATTCTAGTAGTATTAAATTTTTTCATTAAAATGATGTAGGAGATTTTAGGAAATTCAGAAGCTGCTTGTATTCTATAAGGCAAAGAATATTTCCTTGGTTAATATGAGAACCTCTAGATATTTCTGATTGTAGCAATGTCATATTCTGTGTTGATATTGAAGTTTATCAGTAAAGAAAGGAGAGAAGAAAGTATTAGTATTGTTTATTTTATTATCATTTTCTTGGTCACAGTGATAATGAGAAATTAATAACTATTTATGAATATCACTTCTTATTCTGTATTTCTGGGTCTAAATAATAGTTGTTCTTCTTGATTTAAATATACATATGCTAATGTGTAAAGCATACATATAATTTCTCAGTGTAAATACAAAACTAATAATTACATGTTTTGGATTTTTTTTTTTTTTTTTTTTTGGTACAGGTTGAGTATCTCTCACCTGAAATACTTGGGACCAGGGACCAGAACTATTTCAGGTTTCAGAATTTTTGGATTTTTTAATTTTGGATTTAGATATATTTGCATATATACATAATATAATATCTTGGGGAGAGGACCAAGGTATAAATATGAATTCATTAATATTTTATATACAGCTTATATACACCTGAAGGTAATTTTATACAATTTTTAAGTAATTTTGTGCATGAAACAAAGTTGTTTATGTGATGTCAGGTGTAGAATTTTCCACTTGTGCCATGATGTGATGCTCAAAATGTTTTAGATTTTTAAGCATTTTGGATTACAGATTTTCAAATTAGGGATGTTTAACCTGTAATTAAATTGTTTTTAGTCTACAGTTGCTCCAAATAGTATTGTCCTCTTTCTACTTGTAATTTAACAAATACACTAGTCAGATATTGCAAAATGATCCAGGTGCTTTTCTTGAATTACCATTATGTTATTTTTAATTTATAAGTTAATTTTGTATATTCAAAAATTATGTTATAATATGTGCTATTTGCAACAATTCTAAACAATGCAGATGTGAATGAAGAAAAATATTTTTAGCCAAACATAAAAATTGAACAGTGCTATAAAGAATATGATTTTGCTCTTCATTCTTTAATATTTGTATAAACATGCAAACAATTCAGTTTATTTTCTTTCTTTTATATATTTTTAAATTGAGTTGCATGAGTTGAGTTTTATATATTTTAAAATTGAGTTGCATGATGCATATTACTCTCCTACTTTTTTTTCACTGCTTCCTCATGGATAACTTTTCAAGTCAGCACACACAAATCTCACTTTTCTTTATTTAACATAGTTTAGAAATTATTATTTATTCAACCATTCCTCTATTTATGAACTTTCAGGATGTTTTAGTATTTTACTTTTGCAATTAACATTACAGTAAACTGATTCGTAAAGATGTTAAAGAAAAACTTCAATGGCACTTGTTAAAACTTATTAAGGAAGATTTATTCAAGACTATTTTTATAGGTTTAAGGATCACTGCAATGGGGCTTGCAGTCAGGGAGAGAAATTGAGCTCAACCCTGAATATAGCGTGAGCAAGTGGGAATTTAGTGCCAAGCAACAGGATGGAGGTCATTGGATGGAAAAGTACTAAAAGGAAACATTAGGAGTAAGAGAGAATCTGTCTAACCCACCTACAGAATTATTTCCAAGGAGAAGCCAGGGTGATCATACATCACCTTCAGGATGATGGAGGCCTGGGAACCTGATCAAATGTTGAGGATAATCAGATATTGAGTGTGGAAGGCTCTTGCTAACTTGACTTAGTTAAAACTAACTTTTATGAAGAAGTGTGCATATGGGCCTAGAAAATTCAGCATCCTGACTAAAGTTTGGCCAGGAAAATAATCTTTTTCAAAGAAAATTGTTTAATTAAAATATCACAAAAATGTATTATATTCTTTTGAATTACACTTTTGATATCGTCCTCAGGCAAACAGATTTTCAGAATTTAATAAATAAATAAAAGCAACTCTAACACTGAGTAGTTTTTTGAAATAAATTATAATTGCAAAGAACTAAAATAACTTCATCAAGAACACACACTACAATTTGAAAAGATTTTTCTCTTTTTCATGGCTCCTACAGAGAAAACAAAAGTGAAAGTGTGGGAAAGAGACAGGTTTTAGTCACAAATATTAGAAATATAAAATAGCATAAAACTTATATGATAGTTCCTCTTCTACTATAGAAATTTATCCTCCAGGATAAATAAATTTGCTTCATGCAGGACAGTTTTAAACATCACTAGTAAATGAAATTATACCCCCTTAGAATATAATTTTACAGTTGAATTTTTTGTCTTTTTAGAGACTGTTACCTTATGTATCCGTCATCTGAGCTTATTTTGGATTACTTTTGGTATAAGACTTTAGTTAATATTGTAATAATTGTATAAAGAAACAATCTTTATTATGTAGGTAGTAGAGGTGATAAATTATCTTGTTAGTGGATGAGAGAAATTTGTTCTTAATGAGATGAAACGAGTGTACATGTATTAAGATAAACTTCAAACCAGGGTTTTGGGTTCTTAGTTCTTCTTTCTATGAGGTCATATTGCTTACCATACACTTGACTGTGCAGTAAATGTTTCCTTAAATGTATTTTCTTTAATATGTGACATGTACATGTAGGTTAAATCACCTAACAGACTAAGAAATTTTCTAGTCACTTAGATGCAGAAACTGTGCAAATGAGAGAGGTAAATATGCTGTTTGAAACCAAAAGTTCATAGAAGTCTACACCTACTGAAAAATGTACACTAAGATTATGTAGGTGACCACCAACCATACTCGTTTCAGGTTTTGGAGTATTCTTATTTCATCCTAATATTGACTCACTGAATTAGGCAGTTTAGAAAATGGATTGGGTAATATATATTCCAATTGTTTCTTCAAATCTCCAACCTACATTCGTGACAATGCTCTTTGCTCCAAGAAGCTATAGCATGCATTGGTTAGGTTTCTTTGCCTTCTGACTGTCAAATAAGTTTTGCAGGAAAATGGAGACTTGGAAGAAAGAGTTGTCTGGGTCCTTTTTGTACCTTTAGCTCTATTTGTCCCTGTATGCAGATTACTGCTCTAACTTCAAACCCCTGAGGCCTAGAATTGGTAAAGGCCTGCTATTTCTGGCTCCACAAAGTGTTGGTTTCTCTTAATCCTGCCTACAAGTGTAAATGGTTCATCCATTGAACCCTCTTGGATGCTCTTTTTGAATGCATCATCTATTTTCTCCATACCTCGTCTGTCATAAAGTTTTTCATTTGTTACAGATACAGCGACTCTTCATTTTAGCTCCAGGTATGTGAAAAGCTAATTTTATGCTATTCAATCAACAGAGAGTAGGGATTGTTAAAAGATATGTTAAGTATTTCTACAATTGTTTAAATCATACTTATCACATTTCTTATACTATTGGGCTTTTATTTTGTATACTATTCTAAATGAATGATAGACTTGTGGACTGCAGGAAAGTAGAGAGATGCATTTCACGAGGCACTTATGTTAAAAAGTGGGTCTCTTGTACACATTCTATTTAAAACTGATGTGTCAAGTGTTCTTGTTGATATAAGAGAGTGATATAAGAGAGTGGGTAAGGATGGTATGTAAGTGTGTGTCTAATTACCTATCTAGGACATCTCATTATCTGAAATCAGGAAAGCTAAAATCTGAAGCAAGCTGATAAAAAGGCAACTGAATCTGTGAGGAAGTGTTCTAAAATAGCATAGCTAAGCAGTCACATCCAACACTTAATAGGTTTATAGGTCATCTTTTCGTAATAACTCCTACAAATCAAAAACAACAGATCAAAATGGAATGATGTGCACTAAAAGATGACTGATAAGCAACAATGACCCGAACAGTCTGCATAGGTGGTATCAATCCTCCCCAACACTTAAACATAACCACAAAATAAAAGGAAGAGACAGTTGAAGAATATACATCAGAAGATATACCCCCACAAACAAATACATTTCAATATATGTGTATATTCTCAAATGAATAACATCTAATATGGATTCTAAAAGAAAGCTACAGCTGAAGATGATCATAGGAAATCAAGAGATGAAGTGAAAGAGTTTAGGAGTTAAACTGAACACTCTAAGTGACCCTGTATGTAAATAGGAATTCTACTGTAAATAAAGGAATATAAAATAGATACTGTTGAAAATGAAATTAGTAGAAAAGAAGATCAGCTTGAGGAACAGAATTCAGCAAATCAGGTATAAAGGAGCAAATATAAAAAGGTAATTCTCTTTTAGGATTTTATACATCTACTAATTTTTAATTTTTGGGTACATAGTAAGTATATATATTTATGGGGTACATGAGATACTTTGATACAGGCATGCAGTAAGTAATAATCACATCATGTAAATGGGGTATCCATGCCCTCAAGCATTTATCCTTTGTGCTACAAACAATCCACTTTTACTCTTTTAGTTATATTAAAATGTATAAATTATTATTGAATACCGTCAGTCCGTTGTGCTATCAAATACTGTCTTATTTATTCTTTCTAACTTCTTTTGGTACCCATTAACTATCTCCACTTCTCTCCCAGCCTCCACCACCCTCCCCAACCTCTGGTAACTGTCCTTCTACTCTCTAACTCCATGAGTTCAACTGTTTAAATTTTTAGATCCCACAAATAAGTGAAAACAGGTGAAATTTGTCTACTGTGACTGACAAATTTTACTTAACATAATGACCTCCAGTTCCATCCATGTTGTTGCAAATGCAGGATCTCATTCTTTTTTATTGCTGAGATGTATTCCCTTGTATGTATGAACCCTGTTTTCTTTATTCATTCACATGTTAATAGACACTTAGACTGCTTCCAAATCTTGGCTATTGTGAACAGTGCTGCAAGAAACATGGTAGCGCAGATATCTCTTTAATATATTGATTTCCCTTCTTTTGGGAATACATTCAGAAGTGGAATTGCTGGAATTTAGGGTAGCTCTAGTTTTAGTTTTTGAGGAACCTCCAGACTGTTCTCGTTAGCAGTTGTACTAATTTACATTCCCAACAACAGTGTACAAGAGTTTCCTTTTCTACCTCTCCTCACCAGCATTTGTTCCTGCATGTCTTTTGGGTAAAAGCCATTTAAACTAGGGTGAGATGATATCTCATTGTAGTTTTGATTTGAATTTCTCTGGTGATGATCAAGGATATTGAGCACTATTTTATATGCCTTTTTTGCCATTTGTATATCTTCTTTTGGGAAATGTCTTTTAAAATATTTTGCCTATTCACTAATTGGGTTATTAGATCATTTCCTATAGAGTTGTTTGAGCTCCTTATATATTCTGGTTATTAATCCCTTATCAGATGGTTAGTTTGCAAATGTTTTCTCCCATTCTGTGGGTTGTCTCTTCACTTTTTTGATTGCTTCTTTCTCTGTGCAGAAGCTTTTTAATTTGATGTGATTTCATTTGTCCATTTTTGCTTGGTTGCCTGTGTTAGTGAGGTATTACTCAAGAAATTTTTCCCAGAACAATTTCCTGTAGAGTTTTCCCAAAGTTTTCTTCATTTCATAGTTTAATGTCTTAGATTTAAGTCTTTAAACCGTTTTGATTTGATTTTTGTGTGTGGTGAGAGATTGGGGTCTAGTTTCATTCTGCATATGAATATCTGGTTTGCTCAGCACCATTTATTTAGGAGACTATCCTTTACCCCAATGTGTGTTTTTGGTACGATTTGAAAAATGACTTCACTGTATTTCATTTCTGGGTTTTCTATTCTGTTCCATTGATCTATGTGTCTGTTTTTATGCCAGTTACCAGGCTGTTTGTGTTACTTTAGCTCTTTACTATAATTTGAAGTCTGTTCATGTGATTCTTCCAGTTTTGTTCTTTTTCCTCAGAATAACTTTGCGTTATTCTAGGTCTTTTGTGGTTCCATAGAAATTTTAGGATTTATTTTTTCTGTTTCTGTGAAGGATGTCATTGATATTTTGATAGAGATTGCATTGTATCTATACATTGCATTGGGTAGTATGGACATTTTAACAATACTGATTCTTCCAACCCATGAACATGGATTTCTATTTTTTTGTGTCCTCTTCGATATTTTTCATCAGTGTTTTGTGTTTTTTATTATAGAGATCCTTCACTTCTTTGATTACTACATATTTAATTTCATTTATGGCTTCTGCTAATGGGATTACATTTTTATTTCTTTTTCAAATTGCTCACTGTTGGCATATAGAAATGCTATGGATTTTTGTATGTTAATTTTGTATCATGCAATTTTACTGAATTTATCAATTCTACTAGTTTTTTGGTAGAGTCTTTAGCTTTTCCACAAAAAGGTAATTTTTAAGAATATAATCATAAACATAAAATATAAGAAAATAATCAGTGTTCTATGGGAAGAAAATAAAATATAGAAAGCAAATGTAAAATTCTCTGAGATGCAGTAGAAGAGATTTTCTAAACTACTTACAGATAGCAAAAATGAAAACATTTCCTGATAAAGACTTAAATCTATAGAATGTGAGAGCTTTTATGGCATTAATCTACATTTATAATTTAATCTAGTTCCATATATAGATAGAAATAAATTTTAGATAGATAGATGTTGCGGGAAGTCAGGGACCAGTTGGAGCCATGGTAGTGGAACATAAATTGTGAAGATTTCATATTAACATGGACATTTATCATTTTCCAAATAATACTTTTATAATTTCTTATGCCTCTCTTTACTTCAATCTCTTAATCCTGTTACCTTTGTAAGCTGAGGATATACGTCACCTCAGGACCACTGTGATAATTGTGTTAACTGTACAAATTGATTGTAAAATGTGTGTTGGAACAATATGAAATCAGTGCACCTTGAAAAAGAACAGAATAACAGTGATTTTAGGGAACAAGGGAAGACAACCATAAGGTCTGACTGCCTGCGGGGTCAGGCAAAAAGAGCCATATTTCTCTTCTTGCAGAGAGCCTATAAACGATGTGCAAGTAGGGAAGATATCGCTAAATTCTTTTCCTAGCAAGGAATATTAATATTAATACCCTGGGAAAGGAATGCATTCCTGGGGGGAGGTCTATAAATGGCCACTGTGGGAATGTCTGTCTTGTGCAGTTGAGATAAGGACTGAGATATGCCCTTGTCTCCTGCAGTACCCTCAGGCTTACTAGGGTGGGAAAAAACTCTGCCCTGGTAAATTTGTGCTCAGACCAGTTCTCTGCTCTTGAACCCTGTTTTCTGTTGTTTAAGATGTTTATCAAGACAATATGTTTTATCAAGACAAAACATAGACCCTTATCAGTGGTTCTGCTTTTTCTCTTTGTCCTGTTTCCTCAGAAGCATGTGATCTTTGTTAGACTCTTATTAGTAGTTCTGCTTTTTGCCCTTTGAAGCATGAGATCTTTGTACCTACTTCCTATTCTTACACCCCCTCCCCTTTTGAAACCCTTAATAAAAACTTCCTGGTCTGAGACTGAGGTGGGCATCACGGTCTTACTGATACATGATGTCACCCCCAGTGGCCCAGCTATAAAATTCCTCTCTTTGTACTGTCTGTCTTTATTTTTCAGCCGGCCAACACTTATGGAAAATAGCACCTATGTTGAAATATTGGGGATGGGTTCCCCCAATAGATAGATATTGTTAAATGTATTCAGCAATAGAAGAAAAATAGCAAATAAAAATTAAACATAAGAAATAATGCTAGACAATAAATATATATTGAAATTTTAAAAACTTAAGTTGTAAGAACAAAAGCTGGGCTCTTCCTAAATTCTTTACTGCAGCAGTCATCATCAGAGTATGTGATAGTAATAGTACAATCATTAGAAGAAAAATAAAAGTCTAGGTCCAAGAACATTTAAAACAAATTAAGTTGTTATTAATGAGTAATAGCTTTTAAATTAATAAAATAACAGTTGTGAAAGCCATACAGACAAAAACATTTCAAGCTTTTTGTACCTAAAGTAGATTCATGTACTAAACCATTTATTTCTCTTCCTTGAAAATGTATTTGATAATAAAAATCCAGCTGTGGCAGGCTGATAAAGACTAATAAAGATTTGTCTATTTCCTAATCCCTGGAGACTGCAAATGTTACCTTTTTGGGAAGAAAACAAAAAAAAAAGCACCTGTGAAGATGTGATTAAATTAAGGATCTTGAATTGAGATCATTATGGATTATCTGGGTAGGGCCTAAATGTAATCACAAGTATACTTATAAGAAAGAGGCAGAGAGGCCGGGTGCAGTGGCTCATGCCTGTAATCCCAGCACTTTGGGAAGCTGAGGCAGTGGGTCACGAGATCAGGAGATCGAGACCATCCTGGCTAACACGGTAAAACACTGTCTCTACTAAAAATACAAAAAATTAGGTGGGCGTTGTGGCGGGTGCCTGTAATCCCAGCAACTTGGGAGGCTGAGGCAGGAGAATGGTGTGAACCCGGGAGGTGGAGCTGGCAGTGAGCTGAGATTGTGCCACTGCACTCCAGCCTGGGTGACAGAGCGAGACTCTGTCTCAAAAAAAATAAAATAAAATAAAAGAAAGAGGCAGAGAAAGATCATACCCCTCCCAACACACACACACATGCTTGTACACACATATGCATGCAAGAAAACAATGTAAAGATGGAACAGAGAGAAATGCAGACATAAACCAGGGAGTGGCAATAGCCACTAGAAGATGGAGAGGCAAGGGTCTGATTCTCTCCTAGAGCTCAGGAGGAAGCACAGCTATGCCTAGGTTTTGATCATGAGCTTCTGTTAAAATAAATTTCAGTGTTGTAAGTCATTACAATGATTAATTTAGTGTGTCAACTTAGCTGGGCCATGTTACCCAGCTTCTTGGTTAAACATGTCTGATAATTCTGTGACAGTATTTCTTAAAGACAGTCTTAACATTTAAATCAGTAGACTTTGAGTAAAGCAGATTGCTATCCACAGTGTAGCTGGGCTACTTTCAATCAGCTCAAGGCCTTAAGATAAAACAGACTAAGGTCTCCCAAGGAAGAGGGAATTCTTTCTCCAGACTGTCTTTGGACTTGAACTGCAACATTAACTCTTCCCTGGTTCTACAGTTTGCCTTTCTACCCTAAAGATTTAGATTCAACAGCCTGCACAATCACTTGAGCCATTCTTTAAAATAAACTTCTAAGACACACACACACACACACACACACACACACACACACACATTTTCCACATTCTATTGGTTCTGTTCCTCTAGAGGAGTCTGATTAATATAACTACCAAGTGTGTAGTAATTTGCTGCAGCAGCCACAGGAAACTAATATACCAGCCAACACAATTATTTTAACATACCAATTTAACACAAATTAAAGATTCAAAAATTAAGGAATGTTGGTATGGAATAATTTTTAATGTATGTCAAATATGTTTAAATATAGATTATAATGCTATAGAATTCTGGACATGTTATTCATGATATGCAACATAAGCATTACAAGTATACTTTTTCAAAAGCTTTTGTCATAATAAAATTTTATCCAATGCCGTGAATGAGCAAAACATATTATCCAAAGCCTTAAGAATGAGATAACTAAAAATATACTGTAACACTATTAAATTATATACATTAATTGCATACAGAAATAAATTATATACAAGGAAACATGTAAACTAACACACACATGTTCATATTCAAGGGAACATAAAGAACAAAACACATACATAAAAAACAAACAGTCACATATGTAATACACATAAAAAGAAGAATAGTCAAAAGATAGCAGAAAAAGAGAATTGTAGAAAACTCTTAACACGAAAGTCAAAAATTACCTCCAAACCAATATTTCTGTCTTAGTAATATAGATACTTTATAACTGTGTTGCTAATTAAAGCTCTAAAGAATTTTGATGTACATTTCACATATAACATTCTGCGGTTTAAATATTTTATAATAAGTATATGCGACTTTATTACATTAAAAAATTGACTTTCCACTTATGGCCATAACAAAGAAAATGATACTGGATTTGCCCTTCCATTGTATATAGCTAAAAAAATGAACAAATTATATGAGGCAATTTTTCCTTTGGCATCAGACAACAGACAGCAAAGGACTATGATACTTGACATAAGGGAAATTATTAAGAAGGACTCTAGATTTACTACAATTTTGGCTTTGTGGTACATTCAGAAATGTCCAAGAAATGGACCACTAATAGAGCAAGTTGGTTTTATAGAGCTCAGGAGTTAGAGATGAGTTACAGACTGCTGAAATAGCTGGATAGGGTAGAAAAGAACAGAAAACTACTCAAATGAAGAGGCTAGATATTTATGTGAAGACTGTCCACAGTTCCTACATATGCACATGGTGAAAATATTCAAGACTTTGCAGAAACCACTACTGAGGGGCTGAGATCTGAAAATAGGGAATAGAGGTTGTGCATTCCGGAGTGATATCAGAGTTTTGGCCAAATCAGAATTGAGAGACCTCCCTCAGTGCATTGAAACATCAAAGATCCTGGGTATTAGCCTCTAGTGTAAGAATTTTGCCCTAGTACCAATGAAAAAACTAAACACACAGACACGCAAATGCACCAACAATACTCACAAGAACAAAAAAATTCCCCTCTGTAATTTGAACTTATACAAAAGCATAATTCAATTGTTTTTAAAGAAAAGCAACATAATCTAGACTTCCTTATTGTATCATCTACAATGTCCAGCCTTTATGTAAAGGTTATTAGGAAGAGAAAAAAAACAAGGAGATGCATTCATAATAATAATAATAAAACACTGAATCAAGAGAAGACCACTTAAAATGGAGAAAAAATTGTGACATTTTGATTTACCCTTTTGCTACCTCTATTCTCCACATGGTACTATTGAAAACAGCAGCCCACATACCCAGTACAGGATCCTTCGTTCCAGAGGAAACAGAGCAGTTCTCTGCCTTTTCTTACCAGTCTAGATGCTCCCTGAAGGACTGATGCAAAGTGCTTTTCTATATTTTGCCTGACTCGGAAGTCAGTCAGAACAGAAAAGTGTTGAGCATTTCTCAAAAACAGTGTAAGGCAAACAAACAGGCTGAGCCACTTGGGGCACAAGTTTACAATGGAAGCAAACCATAGTGTACAAAAACCTGGGAAGATCTTGTGAGAGTGGTTCTTTGGGAAATTAGGGCATTCAATTGTGCCTGAGTATACAAGGGAATTTAGAAAGCCACATGCATGCTCGAGGGAGGATACATATCAGAAAGGAACTGAGACAGTATTAAGGTTTTGCCTTTTGCTAACCTCTGGGCTCAGTGAAAGCAGAAAGTGAACGCTAAGGCAGAGGTAAGTTGCCTAAGCATTCAGAAGTGACCCAGCAGAGAGACATTCTGTAAAAACTGGTAGAAGAGAGGTTCTTTTTTCTTTACTTGTTTATTTCTTTTCCTTCCTTCCTTCCTCCCTTCCTTCCTTCCTTGCTTCTTTCCACCAATGGTGTTCAAGGAAATAACTTTCAAAACACTAATCTAACACAAGTTAAAAAAATGTAGAGATTTCAGACAACAAGGAATTCAGAATTTTTAAAAAATTAGAAGAATCGCTAAGCAAACAGCTATAGCAAAAAAAAAAAAAGTCTTGAGAAAGAGAAAGTATCTGATTTCCCAACTTAGGTCATTATTGTAATTTTTAAAATGCCAAGTATTCAATAAAAATTGCAAAACATCTAAGGAAACAAACAGAATTATGTGCAAAAAAGAAAATATTAATAAAGAGAAAAATTATATAACAAAATCAAATAGAAACTCTGGTTAAAAAGAACTGTACATTGCTTAACAAAATAAAAAAAGTCTTAAATAATTGGAAATACATTACCTATTCATGAATTGAAAAACTTTATATTGATACAGTGGTAATATCCATAGTGATCTCCAGATTCGATTGAAATCCTATCAAAATTCCAATGCCCTTTTTTTCAGAAAAGGAAAATTCAATCATCAAATTAATATGGCATTGCAAAGGGCTCCAAATATCCAAAACAATATTAAAAGAGAAAATTGAGTTTAATAACTCACACTTCTAGATTTCACAATTTACTGCAAATCACAGTAGTCAAATCAGTGTAGACTGGCATAAGCTTAGACAAACATAGGTCAATGGAATAAAATTGAGAGTTCAAAAATAAACTCATACATCTATGGCAAATTGATTTTCAGCAAGTTTGCCATATCTGTTCATGGGAAAATAATAGTTTCTTCCAAAAAAATGGTGCTTTAACAACTGGATAACCACATGCAAAAGAATAAAATTTACCACCACTTCCACTATGCAAAAATTAACCACACAACATATGCAAAAATTAACTCAAAATGGATCAATGCCTAAATTTAAGAGCTAAAATCATAAAACCCAGCAGAAAACATGGGTTTTATGGGTAAGTCTTCATTACCTTGGATTTGATACGAAATTTTTTGATATGACATGACACTAAAACATAAGCAATAAGATTTCTTTTCTTTCTGAGACCTCATGGGATTTACTTTTCAATGCATTATTTCTATTATTCGTCTTTTCAAAGAAATCTAGGCTTCTTCTATCATGTGCTTCAAAACCCTTCCAGCTACCAGCCATTACCCAATTCCAAAGCTACTTCTATATTTTTATGTACTTGTTATAACAACATTCTACTTCCCAGTACCAAAATTTTTATTAGTTTCCTAGGGCTGCTGTAACAAAGTACTATAAGCTAGGTGGTCTAATACAATAGAAATTTATTCTCTAACCATCCTAGAAGCTAGAAGTTTAATATTAGGTGTTGTCAGGGTCATGCTTTCTTGAGATCTCTAGAGGAAGCCTCTGTTCCATGCCTTTCTCTTAGTTTCTGGTGTTGCTAACAATCCTTGCTCCTCCTTAGCTTGCAATTGTATAACTTCAATTTCTGCCTCTGTTGTCACATGGCATTCTCTCCTTACAGTTCCACATTGTCTTCTTAAAAAGACAGTAGTCATATTGGATTAAGAATCTACCCCACCCCAGTATAATGCCATCTTAACAAATAGTTACATCTACTATAACTGTATTTTCAAATAATGCCACATTTAAGTGTACTGGAATCAAAGACTTCAACGTATCTTTTTGATTCACACAATTTAATTCATACAAATTACAGATACTTGCTGCAGCATAGACAAACTTTAAAAATGTGATAAGTGAAAGAAGTCAGGCATAAAATATCATATACAATACTTCATATTATATGAAATATTCAGAATAGGAAAATATATAGAGAAAGTGGATTGGTGGTTGCCAGGGACTTGGTGGGGGGAAGAGGGAATAGGGAGTAACGGTTGAATATGTTAAGGGACTAATTATGAAAGTAACCCATTTTGGGGTGATGAAAACGTTTGGAATTTGTATTAGTCTTATAGGGTTGTAATACAAAATACCACAGACTGGGTTGCTTAAACAGCAGAAATTTATTTTATCACAGCTCGGGAGGCTGGAATTTTAAGATCAAGATTCCAGCAGGGTTGATGTCTTCTGATGCCACTCTCTTTGGCAGGCAAACAGCTGTCTTCTCACTATTTCCTCCCATGGGCATTTCTCTATCCACACAGGCTTGTGGTGTCTTTCCTTTTCTTATAAGCACATCCATCCTTTTGAATGAGGTCCCTACACTTATGACTTTATTTAAACTTAATTACCTAATTAAAGACACTATTTCCAAACACAGTGACATTGGGGGTTAGGTCTTCAAAATATGAATTTGAGGAGAACACAATTGAGTCTATAACAGAAGCAGATAGAAGTGGTGGTTGCATAATTGTAAATGTAATAATTGCCACTGAATTATTCACTTTAAAATGGTAAATTTTATGTTACATGATTTTCAAGTCAATAAAAACAAATTAAAAAGGACGTTTAAGTAATATCCTCTTCTATATGCTATACATAACTGTATTTGCAATTGGATGAAGTTTAAGTACAACAAAGACTCATTTGTATGCTTTCAACTTTGTTAAAATAAATATAATGAATTTTATGTATTAAAATAATTTAACAATGGCATGTAGATCGAATTTTAAAATACCATCTGTGATTCCATTTTGGAGACTATGAAGAAAACTCAACCTCAAACTGAAATACTGATCTATGATTGCTGAATGTTAATATATTCTTTTGTTTTAAAAACAGCTATTTGAAAATAATTATTTAAAAGTAATCATATCCTAATTATTTATGTGGCAAGCCACAATTATTGCCTTTCATTAAATATACGCATTTATGTTAAATGGGATCAATTATAAAATTTCACACAAAGTTGATAAGGCTTTCTTAATATTTAGCAAATTGCAGAGACAATATTGGAAAATGAGTCCAATCTTAAATAGCAATGATTATGTGCGCAGCTTTTAGCTATTATTAAATAAAAGTGAAAAATTTAAGTGACAGCATAATAGGTAAGTAACAATCTCTATTATTCCATAATTTTCTTCCTAACTTCTCCCATTTCCCACAACCTTGTATCATGTATAGGTGTGGCCGATCATTATCCTGCTATTTTGTACTACTTATCTGTATAACTCAGAGAAGGTTTATATTCTGTTGTACAATTTTTTTAAACAATGTACAGTATACTTTTGTGGTAATAAACTATTTCCAAAAGTGATAATTCAAACTTAAGTATTGAATTGGCCAGTAGCACTAATTAAATTAGCTATCATTTTCTCATTCTTAGAAATATATGACGTGCAGATTTTTGCCTCTTTACTCGCAACAGTAACTCAAAGTTATGAGAAGGTGAATAGTTAACAGAGATCAACATTTATAGAAAACCTAAGGTTTCTGGGTCATTCCTGGACACTGGACACCCTCACAGGATAGTAAAATCTGTAAAGACAATTCTAATTCATCCAAAAAGTCAAGGATAAAATGAGGAGACACAGTCCACACATCCACACCAGAGGCCTCTCTGTATATGCCAAATCCCAGATGAGTTGTGTAGCAGGTGGCCTGCCTTGCATGTGCCATATCTAATACTTTCTTAAAAACCTGCAAGACACAATCTCACAGCCAATTCTCAAAATCAGTCTGGCATACAGGAAATATCTAGTCCTAACTAATGTATAAAAGAAAACGACAGACAAGGAGAAGGGAAAGAAGGAAGAAAGAATGGAGAGAACAAGCAAGGATGAAGGAAGGAAAGAAGTGAAAGGGAGAAAAGAAGGAATGAGGAAAAAGGAAACCAATTAACTAGATTATCCTCCAGCATACATGACAGGTCTTTTATTACCTTTCAATCTGTCTGCTCTTATATCTCAGCTGCTGAACTATGAAAAATATTTCCATAATTAGGGTAACACTTTCTGTGACAGTGAATGAATTAATTCTGGAACATTTATGTGATTTTTAAGGAAGTTTAGTTGGAGGTGAGAAAAGTGGATAATAATAAAATCAAATCCATTAACCTAACTACACATTTTGACTTAATAAGTGATTTTTACCTATTTAGTTTCTCTGCTGTCTATAATATTATTATTTTATATTTCATTATGCTGTCAGACATGACATATATTTCAGTCAGCATTCCCAAGATTCTCAAAGTCTCTCGTGTGAGTCATAAACAAGAATTAAAGCATAAAGCCAAGCATTCAGCTTCCATACTGAAGACCTCTAGTCACAAAAACCATACATAACAGAGGAGACTCTGGCTACCCATGTCCATCTTTATAATTTACCAATCCCCTCTCAAGCCCAGAGGAAATTGCCTATTGAGATGAGCAGAATGTCTTTGACAAAAGAAGCCTGAGCAGTTGTCTGAGCTGCTTCTTTGGGATACTTAAACTGTACAGTACAGTATGTTTTAGGTTAACCTCCCTACTGATTTCCTTCATTTTTTATTTTATACTAAAAAATTGTGTCACTGTGTTTGTGAACAGAAGATAAGCCTGGATTTGTAGTTTAGGAAAAATAAGTACATATTGAACTTACAGAGTATGACATAATTTCCAGTTCAAGGAACCTCAAGCTTTATGGACTTTAGTGTTTTAAGGGATCTTAGGAATTATCTACTATATTGTTTCATGAACTGTGAACTGTGAAAAACTTTCTTATCTGAGATTGTTAAATTGCAGGGGTAGCAAACACAATTGCCAGGCAGGTAACATAAATGAGTGTGTCTGGGTAGATACTATATAATTAGGAGTGCTGGGAACTGTGGTGACCATGAAAGTTTATTCTCCTTATCCTCTTTCTGAAAGAAATGGCTAATATGCAGCCCAATAGAATTGTTATCATGCTGGATTCAGATCCAATATTGCTAATCAATCATTTTCTAGGAAAAAAAAGAATATTCTAAATACATGTGAAATCTCCCAATTTTCAAATATTAGCAAATATATTACAAAAATGCACATATCCGAGGAAGATCTAAACAACTGGCTATCACTTTGTGAGTTCTATTAATTAAGCCTTTCCCCCATTTGCCCCGAGAAACTCACCAGTGGTGCTTGTGGCTGCAATGTTTACCCAGAGAAAACTTTGCCATGAAATATCTTGCTTTTACTATTATTTTCTCATCACTCTAGTATATCAACTTTGAAAACAAAAGACATCATTCTATTTATAGCATTCTGTTTTTAGTAGTGATTATTTCTATTTACAAAATATAGTAATTCTCAATCGCTGAAAATGTAAAATCCTGGAAAACATGGCATTTTTACACGTGATGTTAACATCGTTCTGGAAGTTTTTGGCCGAAAATTCATTTGATTAATCCGATTTTTTCAAAATAGACAGTTCTGATGACTCAGATGATTCTGAGATTAGTCCTGTTTAGAAATAACTCCAAGAACAGTTTTTATATTTTATTTTCACATTAAAAATCAGTCATATTTGCTTCAGCCTCCAAGAGTGTGTTTATGTGAAATGAAATGAGCTCTGGTAGAGAGCAGCACTTTTTTTTTTCATAAACGGGAAAAGGGTTAAATGTGTGACCGAAAAGTACTTCCGTGATTAAATTTGCTTTGGAAATTGGGGCATAAAAAATGTAAAAATCTCCTTGCTCTGGGATTTCAGAGTCTATAATGTTAAATAAAATGGTGAATCCCAAAAGACAATATGATGGGCAAAAGAATTCAGGGGGCTAACATTTGTGATCCCATGTTAGAACCATCAAGCATAGTTCAATATTTATTGATTAGCAACTACAATAAAATTACCGATATTTTTCAGTTTTGTAAAGATGAGTTTCAAAAGGTGTCTAAGAAACTTACAGGCAAATGGCGGGACATGTATCTAATGAGAAACTCAGTGTAATCTAATAAAGGTTAAAAAGAGTTAGATACTCACCTAAGAAAGCAGCACATTTCTCCTTGGAGGCTGGATAACCTCCCTGAAATTATTCATCCGAGAGTACAATGGGCTAGTGTTGTTGAACATTTAACTCATACAAAGAATTTTCTCCATATTCTGTTTTCAAGAATACCAAGTTTTATTCTCATAAAGTCCCTTTGTCAAGAGAGATAAACAACTACATTAACCAGTTTACTTAGCACTTCTGATTCTCAATGTCAATTAATAAGTGAAAATACCATTTTTAAAGGTCAGTTTTGTGACTCCATTACCATATGTTAGCATACTCAATTCTGATCAGAACTTTAATGATCACAAGATTAAATTTATGAGGTAATGCTGGGAACCAAAGCCTAAATAATGATGGCTTGACCAAATTAAAGCCCCTTCATGGGAACTACCTGCTTGGCTAGATAGCCAGATATACCTAGGTTTTTATGGACTCTGTGTTAGCCACTTTTGAAATACATATTAAAGCAATGTACTAGGAAAAGTATAAGTAGACATTTAGGATGTTCTGAACATATAATCGTTTATTGCATCAGGGTGTGTGATACTTTATAAATTGTTGAAAGTTTGGTAATATTAACATAAGTTGGAACTTCCAAATAATAAATTTAACATGATTGTGAAGTGAAAAAAAATAAATTTTATTTTATTGAACATGTATGCAATTGATGTTACACGAGAGTAAGACATTCTCAATGTTAATAAAAAAGAAAAATATTATATGGAGACGTTATTTTGGTATCCCAGTTTGCCTGTGTAAAAATTAAAATAAATTTTGTGTAATTAAAATTATCTATATAGAGTTAATGGATAGATGTACAATTCCTTAATCTCTTTTCTAGTGAAAATTTCAGAAGTATTACAAATGAGTTTAAGATTATGACAATGTATTTTTTCATAAACAGGTACATTCTGATTTATAAAGAGTAATACAAAATATTTCTATAGAAATTTGACCTTTTGGCATCTTTTAATTAATTGCAAGATAAATATTACAGCCAAAATTATGTGTTTTGTGTGAATTGATTATATTATATAAACTTCTAAGTTTTGTTATTTCTATAAAATATGTGACTAAAATTCATTTATTTACAAAAGAGCCATTAAATGATTGTTATATGTTAGGGCAGATATTAGGAATTAAAAACAAAAAGAAAAAAAGCAAATGTAAGAATAGAAAACCAAACAAATAAAAGAATAAAAGCAAAAGCAAAAAAAAAAAAAAAAAAAAAAAAAAGCAGATGCTCCCACAATAAAGACAAATAGAGGCATAAATGTCTTGTGGAAAAGAAATATTCCCACTATTACTCTAGAGTAGATTAAAAAATAAAAATGGCAACAGGTTGAGTTGAAGGTAAGTATTGCCACCTAATTAAAGACTCTGTGAGCTCTATTCAGTATTTGCTAAATTGGGGGTCTATAGAAGGCCTTTAAACAAGGAAGCGCTAATAAGATCATTACCTCCAGCACAGTAAATGAAATAAAAAGGACTAACTTGAGTCAAACTGATCACTTTATTGTATTGTCTAGAGCTGCTTTCTTACTACAATAGCAGAGTTGAATAGTTGAGAGAGACAACATATGTCTCAAAAACTTAAAATACTTACAATCTGACCCTCTGCAGAAAACATATGCCAACTTTTGCTATTGTTGGTATCTACAGCCATATATACGATGGATAAGATTGTATAGAGAGAATGTATAGTATCTGAAAAGCACTTAGAATTGACCTCAATCGTGTCCCTAAATTAAAATGGCAAATAAAAAAGACCAGAGGATAGAATTTAGATGGGAGCCAAATATCCAATGAGAAAAGTAGAGAATGTTTTGTTATAGAAGACAGAGATCCGTAGTGAGTTATGAAAGAATAGTGGTCAGCAGTGCTACTCTTCAAACTGTCAAAATTCAAATGGGGTATAAACTGAAAACTAGTAAGAAGTCACTGGTGTCTTTGATGAGAGTAGTTTCTATAGACTGGGAAAATAAGAAGTGAGTAATAAATGAGGAATAAAAGGAAGATTGAAAAATAGAAAGAGAAAACATGTAAAAATATCTTTATTTTTTAAGGAGTATGTAAGATGACAGGAAGTTTTTGTAAAATTTATTTTAGTGCCAGAACTAATGACAAAGAACTATGAGAGAGTTGAAGATATAGAAGAGTTTGATAATCTTTCAAATATGTGACAGAATGGTATCCAGGGAAAGTGAAAAAACATTACTTCTAGGATAACAAAGAGGAGGAAATTTGGCTGAAAATGTAGGTATGTTTTAGTTTTTCTTAAGACATTTGACAGTATCTCCCCTGAACTGACTTTCCCCATGTTAAAAGGGAGATCATCTTGCAGTCTAAGGAATGAGGCAGAAGAACTGAAATCTAGAGGCATGAGAAAAAGCTTTGCTATATTGATGAGTAGAATGTGAGCAAGAATAAACTATGAAATGAAAACTAATTAGCAACACTGATGACTCAAATGAAGTTAGAGACCTTGGATTCATACAGACATTGGTATGCTTTCTTCTGTGATTCTTTTATTAGTGTTCTGGAGCCTGTTATGGGTATGGGTACGACATAGAGTTGGGTTAATTATCATGCAGCCACAACTAGGGTAAATTCTGCAATGTGACACAGTCTGGTATAAAAACATATATTTGGGGGAACCGTCAAAATTACAAGTCAAGAGTCAATAAAGGAAAGAGGGTATGTCCTCCCAATCTTTCCATTAACCCACAGAAAAGTGTTCTAGGACCCAATGGCTAAACAGAGTGGACTTGTGTGCCAAAGAGGGAACCTAAGTCAACTCTGCATTTTGCCTGTTTTACTAATGTTACTATAAGCAATCCTGACCCTAATATTTTTTGGGTATCAAGGCTTATATATGTCAGATGTTTAAAAGTCACTAATTAATCTAACAATTGTTAAATGTATATTATTCTTTTACCTTGCCTTTGTAATAGCAAGTTGAAAAAAATGTGCAAAGTTATAGTGTTTATGATTTAAGTGAGCAAAATGTCAGATGCCTGATCAAAACAATGAATACAAGCAGAAAAATTTATTTGATTAAATCCACAACTCAAGAAGGCTGGATTTAATTCTGTCTTTATTGGTAATTATTCTTGTCATAAATTATTTTATGTATCTTATTCACAAATTTTATTAGAGAAATCTGTTACAGATATCTGTGATTACTTCCACTTTTTAAAGTTAAGCAGACTACTTTTATAAATAATTATTTACATTTTTTTAGTTTCTTAAAAAGCTTCATCTTTGCATATTTTATTTCTGTCATAATCTCAATGTGTAACTACTTTTCACTAATCAAAGGATTAAATATAAAATGTTACTGAATTAATGTGTACAATCTTTGACTATATTTGTAATGATAATACATATTATGTAAATGTAAAAATAAAAATAAAATTACTATGCTGGTAAGCGGCTACTTTTCCTCTAAAATATTCCAAATTATCTAGTTTGTTAAAAGACAAAACATGCCTTTATTAACTATTATCAAAAATATTAAATAAGGATAAACTATTGTATAGTTTTGAAAATTTAATTACATTTTATTAAATATTTGTATTAAAATAAAACTACTCAAGATGTACAATTTCCTTATCCATGTAGTGACAATCTAAAGAATCAGTATCATGATTCATACATGTTTTGACTAGATCTACATATGGTCAAACTTTAGAAAAATATGAATTGCTTAATATTGCAAAATGTTTATCAAAGGTTATATATATAAATGTTTTATACACTGTTCAAATCCTATGTAATTCTAGAATCAAGAGAAGTAAACAAACAAATATTCAGATCTACTTGGAAAAAATATTTTATCATGCAAAAAATGTATTGTCTTCAGGCTATCTGACAAAAAAATTGACAATGTAATTAATTTATCTTCTATCTCAGCTGGGAATTTCTGCTTCTCAAATCTTTACATTCTGAAATAATGAATCTCCCACATTAGCAGCAACCCAAACACATTTAGACACAGTCACCTGTTGATGTAAAGATAGAAGAAAGAAGAGAGGGAGAAGTGTTTTCTTGGGCCATGATGGTGATAGAAAGGTATGATTTTCTTTCAGGCCTAAACAGTGGATCCAAGATCCAGAGCAGCAGAGAAATAAGTATGTTCTTTAATAAAGTGTGTGTGTGTGTGTGTGTGTGTGTGTGTGTGTGTGTGTGTGTGTGAAAGAGAGAGAGAGAGAGACAGAGAGAGAGTGTTAGAAAGACAGATAGAAAGCAGAGACAGGAAACTTTGTGATTCCATGCTCCCCAGGACTCATGGCTCAGGAAAATAATCCTGTCTTTCCTGTGACTTTCGAAGACCATGCTGACCATAAGAACGATTTTGTTGTAGGGAATAAGCAACTAGAATTTAAGAGCCAGGCAGTCTATACTTTGTACCAGCTGATGACAGAAAAGTAGCTGCCCAGCATTTGTGATCTTGAGCCCAGTGAGAAGTTATTGTCATTTCACTCAAAGGAAGGCAGTCATACGTGTGTGAGGAACTAAATGTGGACTTAGCCCTTCATGTTAAGAGGAGAATCGCTAATACAAGCCATCTTATTGTCCAGGAAAGAAAAGGCAAGTTGCCACTTTCAGACAATTCTGCTCTTCCCACCACAGCCAAGATCAGGCTTTATCCTTTAAGAGACACAAAGGACAAAGAGAAAATATGTTAAAGGCCAGGGGTTATGGGGGGCGAGGGGCGGGAATATGAGGAAAGTGGAAAGTGATTGAAAACACTATAGGGAGGAAGGAGATGGTAAGGTGAATAGAGGCAGAGAAAAAGCTTCAATGAGGTAGGTGAAGAAATGCATTTGCGGTTCCCGTGAGAGAGCTCAAGGGATTGAAAAACATATGCAGAGAGTGAAACATCTTTAATATGACAGAGGAATCAGGGCTCCTGAAAACTGCATGGCTAGTTTAGGTCCATGGAAGTTGTCGAATAAAATAGAAGTAGAAAAAAAGCAAAACTCCCTTGAAAATTGAGAGTTTATATTACAAAGCGAGTTATTAATACAGAAATGGAATCAACCAGGATGATGACAACCCTTGCGAGGATTGAAAGTATGATACAGAATGATAAACCGTGACTAAGATTCTAATTGGTAACTATGAAAGTGTGGGAAATATGGAGAACGAACAGCTTTCTTTTAACAGGGCCATCAGAGAATTATGTTATAATTCTTTATTTCTTAATTTCTGTTAGTCCCTTTACAACTCCAATTTTTCCTTGACCCAAGTTATAGATAAGGCAAAGAGATAATGAGAGAAATATGTCAAGATGTTGAGGGCATGGAGCAATACATTGTAACAGAGCCAGAGGAAGTATACACAGCATGTGATGCGGATAGGGTATGGGAGTGATACTAGAGGGGTTTTGAGTTCAACTGACCAAGAATTTTTGATAGTTTATTTCACAGTAAAACTTGCCTCCCAAGGGTCTCAGGCTAGCAAAAGCAGAGGATTCAATGACACAATAAATACCTAGATTGGTTGCTGAATAGATTGCACCAGAATGTTCAGTTCACTTATAAAAAGGCTGAATTATAGGCTACATCCCCAGGTGATTGAGGCAGAATAATTCATGTTGAAACAGGAAATGAACATTAAACATTTTTTTAAATGACATTCTTACAGGAAACAAAAGGAATGCAGTTCTGATATGTAGTATTATGGTGATATGATGATTCAGGAGAATAGCTTAGAGAATCAAGAAAAAAATGTCCCAATGGACAAAACACACCTGGTAGCAAAGTACCCTTTTATACATCAACATTTGAGAACTCCTGATTTATATATTCTGTTGCATAGGCAGAGATTATCAGACCAGATTTTAGACGTTAAGGCTAGAGCATATGTCCTGGGGAGATTGACCTACTTAAATTTAGTTTCTTATGTGCATGCATTTTAATTTAATAACACTCAAATGTAACTAGGATTTTTTGTTGTTCTTATTGGGAGTCTGTATGATGTTTTGAGGCAAAGTGAAGCATTAAAAAAAAAAAAGTTTAAAGGACATTGTTTTTCAGCCTAGTTGCTTTAATACATACTTGGCATGCAGCCTTTCTATTTATAGGCTTTAGATATAGGAGGTCTTTAACAAAATGATATGTCTGCACTATTAATTTTAGCCTGATTTGCTCTCTCAAATTATAGTTTTAATGAAATGAACAAAGGGGTCAGACTGTTTAGAGTTTGCCATAATCAGTGGTCATAGGGTCTGTAGTTATTTTTATAATTGGTCATCAGCAACAAAGTAAAATTTAGAGAATATATTTAGAACCCAAGAGAAGAAAGAAGTAAAATATGCAAAAAAGAGAATGGTCTATCAAAATTCTCAAACATTTGTTTTAGATTTCTTTATTTATCTATTTATATTTTTCCATAGGTTATTGGGGTACAGTGGTATTTGGTTACATGAGTAAGTTCTTTCGTGGAGATTTGTGAGATCCTGGTGCACCCATCACCCGAGAAGTATACACTGCACCCTATTGGGAGTCTTTTATCCCTTGGCCTCCTTCCACCCTTCCCCCCAAGTCCCCAAAGTCCATTGTATCATTCTTATGCCTTTGCACCCACATAGCTTGGCTCCCACATATCAGTGAGAACATACAGTGTTTGGTTTTCCATTCTTGAGTTACTTCACTTAGAATAATAGCCTCCAATCTCATCCAGGTCACTGCAAATGCCGTTAATTCTTTCCTTTTAATGGCTGAGTAGTATCCTATTGTTTGTTTATCCATTCATTGTTTGGTGGGCATTTGAGTTAGTTCCACCATTTTGCAATTGTGAATTGTGCTGCTATAAACATGCACGTGCAAGTATTGTTTTTGTATAATGACTTCGTTTACTTTGGGTAGATACCGAATGTTCTGGGAAGCAGGGACCCTGAGCAGAAGGACCAGCTGGAGCCACGGCAGAGGAACATGAGTTGTGAAAATTTCATGGACATTTATCAGTTCCCAAATAATACTTCTACAATTTCTTATGCCTCTCTTTACTTTAATCTCCAAATCCTGTTATCTTCATAAGCTGAGAATGTACATCACCTCAGGACCACTATGATAATTGTGTTAACTGTACAAATTGACTGTAAAACATGTGTGTTTGAACAATATGAAATCAGTGTACCTTGAAAAAGAACAGAATAACAGTGATTTTTAGGGAACAAGGGAAGACAACCATAAGGTCTGACGGCCTGTGGGGTCGGGCAAAAAGAGCCATATTTTTCTTCTTGCAGAGAGTCTATAAATGGACGTTCAAGTAGTAGAGATACAGCTAAATGCTTTTCCTAGCAAGGGGTATTAATATTAATACCATGGGAAAGGAATGCATTCTTGTGGGGAGGTCTATAAATGGCTGCTCTGGGAGTGTCTGTCTTATACGGTTGAGATAAGGACTGAAATACACCCTAGTCTCCTGCAGTACCCTCAGGCTTACTAGGGTGGGGAAAACTCCTCCCTGGTAAATTTGTGGTCAGACTGGTTCTCTGCTCTCAACCCTTGTTTTCTGTTGTTTAAGATGTTTATTAAGACAATACGTGCACAGCTGAACATAGACCCTTGTCAGTAGTTCTGCTTTGCTTTTGTCCTGTTCGCTCAGAAGCATGTGATCTTTGTTCTGCTTTTTGCCCTTTGAAGCATGTGATCTTTGTACCTACTCCCTGTTTGACACCCCCTCCCCTTTCGAAACCCTTAATAAAAAACTTGCCAGTTTGAGCCTCAGGTGGGCATCACGGTCCTACCAATATGTGATGTCACCCCCAGCGGCCCAGCTGTAAAATTCCTCTCTTTGTACTCTTTCTCTTTATTTCTCAGCCAGCCGACAGTTATGGAAAATAGAAAGAACCTACGTTGAAATATTGGGGGCGGGTTTCTCTGATAACCTAATATTAGGATTGCTGAATCAAATGGTTGTTCTACTTTTAGTTCTTTAAGAAATCTCCACACTGTTTTACATAGTGGCTGTACTAGTTTACATGCCCACAGCAGTGTAGAAGTGTTCCCTGATCACCGCATTCAAGCCAACATCTACTGTTTTTTAGTTTTTTGATTATGGACATTCTTGCAGGAGTAAGGTGGTATCCTATTATGGTTGTGCATTTCCCTGATCATTAGTGATGTTGAGCATTTTTTGATATGTCTGTTGACCTTTTGCATATCTTATTTTGATAATTATCTATTCATGTCCTTGGCCTACGTTTTGTTGGGACTGTTTATTTTTTTTCTTACTGATTGGTTTAAGTTTGTTGTAGATTCTGAATATTAGTCCTTTGTCAGATGTACAGATTGTGAAGATTTTCTCCCAATCTGTGGGTTGTCTGTTTACTCAGCTGACTGTTCCTTTTGCTGTGTAAAACCTCTTTCGTTTAATTAAGTTCCAACTATTTATCTTTGTTTTTATTGCATTTGGTATTGGGTCCTTGGTCGTAAAATCCTTGCCTAAGCCAATGTCTAGAAGGGTTTTTCCAATGTTATCTTATAGAATTTTTATATTTTCAGGTCTTAGATTTCAGACCTTAATCCATCTTGAGTTGATTTTTGTATAAGGTGAGAGATGAGGATCCAGTTTCATTCTCCTATATGTGGCTAGCCAATTATCCCAGCACCATTTGTTGAAAAGGGTGTTCTTTCCCTTCTTTATATTTTTGTTTGTTTTGTGGAAGATCAGTTGGCTGTAAGTTTTTGGGCTTATATCTGGTTCTCTATTCTGTTCCATTGATTTTTGTGCCTATTTTTATTCAAGTACCATGCTGTTTTGGTGACTATGGCATTATAGTTTGAAATCAGGTAGTGTGATGTCTCCATGTTTGTTCTTTTTGCTTAGTCTTGTTTTGGCTATGTGGGCTCTTTTTTGGTTACATATGGATTTTAGATTTTTTTTTCTAATTTTGTGAAGAATGATGATGGTATTTTGATGGGGATTGCATTGAATTTGTAGATTGCTTTTGGCACTGTAGTCATTTTCGCAATATTGATTCTACCCATCCATGAGCTGAGATGTGTTTCCATTTGCTTGTGTTGTCTATGATTTAATTCTGCAGTGTTTTGTAGTTTTTCTTGTAGTGGTCTTTCACCTTCTTGATTAGGTATATTTCTAAGTATTTTATTTAAATTTTTTTGCAGGTGTCATAAAAGAGGTTGAGTTCTTGATCTGATTTTCCACTTGGATGCTGTTGCTGTATAGAAGAGCTACTGATTTGTGAACACTAATCTTGTATCCAGAAACTTTGCTGAATTCTTTTATCACTTTTAAGAGCTTTCTGGAGGAGTCTTTAGGGTTTTCAAGGTAAATGATCATATTGTCAGAAAACAGTGACAGTTTGACTTCCTCTTTACTAATTTGGATGCCCTTTATTTCTTTTTCTTGTCTGATTGCTCTGGCTAGGACTTCCAGTACTATGTTGAAGAGGAGTGGTGAGAGTGGGCATCCTTGTCTTGTTCCAGTTCTCAGAAGGAATGCTTTCAACTTTTCCCCACTGAGTATTATGTTGGATGTGGGTTTGTCATTGATGGATTTTATTACATTGAGGTATGTCCCTTGTATGCCGATTTTGCTGAGAGTTTAAATCCTACAGGGATGCTGAGATATCATGTGATTTTTGTTTTTAAATCTGTTTATGTGGTGTATCACATTTATTTATTTGTGTATGTTAAACCAACCCTGCATCCTTGGTATGAAACCTACTTGATCATGGTGGATTATCATTTTGATATGTTGTTAAATTCAGTTAGATAGTATTTTGATAAGGATTTTAGCATCTATTTTCATCAGGTATATTGGTCTGTTGTTTTCTTTTTTGGTTATGTCCTTTCCTGGTTTTGCTATTAGGGTGACGCTGGCTGCCTAGAATGAATTAGTGAGGGTTCTCTCTTTCTCTATATTGTGGAAGAGTGTCAAAAGGATTGCTACCAATTCTTCTGTGAATTTCTTGTAGAATTCTGCTGTGAATCCATCTGGTCCTGGACTTTTATTTGTTAGCAATTTTTAAATTACCATTTCAGTCTTGCTGCTTGTTATTAGTTTGTTCAGGGTATCTTATTCTTCCTGATTTAAGCTAGGAGGGTTGTATTTTTCTAGGAATTTATCCATCTCCTCTAGGTTTCCTAGTTTATATGTGTAAAGGTGTTCATAGTAGCCTTGAATGATCTGCTGTATTTCAGTGGTGTCAGTTGTAATATATCCTGTTATGTTTCTTAGTGAGGTTATTTGGATTTTCTCCCTTCTTTTCTTAGTTAATCTTGCTAATGGTTTATCAATTTTATCAATCTTTTCAAATAACTAGCTTTTTGTTTCATTTATCTTTTGTATCTTGTTGTTCTTGTTGTTCAGTTTCATTTAGTTCTGCTCTGATCTTTGTTATTTCTTTTCTTCTGCTGGGTTTGGGTTTGGTTTGTTCTTATTTCTCTAGCTCTTTGAGGTGTGACCTTAGAATGTGAATTTGTGCCCTTTCAGTCTTTTTGATGTAGGTGTTTAGGACGATGAACTTTCCTCTTAGCACCATCTTTGATGTATCCAGAGGTTTTGATAGTTTGTGTCAATATTGTCATTCAGTTCTAAAAGTTTTTTAATTTCCATCTTGATGTCATTTTTGACGCAATGCTCATTCAGGAGCAGGTTGTTTAATTTCCATGTATTTTCATGGTTTTGAAGGTTCCTTTTGGAGTTGATTTCCAGTGTTTTTCTACTGTGGTCTGAGAGAGAGTGCTTGATATAATTTCAATTTTCTTAAGTTTATTGAGGATCATTTTATGGCCTATAATATGGTCTGTCTTGGAGAATGTTCCATGCGCTGTGGAATAGAATGTGTATTCTGTGGTTATTGGATGAAATGTTCTGTGTATATCTTTTAAATCCATTTGTTCCAAGATATAGTTTAAATCCATTGTTTCTTTTTCGAAGTTTTTTCTTGATGATCAGTCTAGTGCTATCAGTGGAGTATTGAAGTCCATCACTATTATTGTGTTGCTGCCTATCTAATTTCTTAGGTGTGTTAGTAATTGTTTTATAAATCTGGGAGTGCCAGTGTTTTTGTTTTATAGGTCCTTGTGATTTATTCTTTAAAGAGGTTCTATTTTGATGTGTTTCCATGAATTATTTCAAGATTTAGAGCTCCTTCAGCAGTTCTTGTAGTGGTGGCTTGGTAGTGGTGAATTATCTCAGCATTTGTCTGCAGAAGAATGTATCTTTCCTTCATATATGATGCTTAGTTTCCCTGGATACAGAATTCTTTGCCAGAAATTGTTTCATTTGAGGAGGCTGAAGATAGGGCCCCAATCCCCTCTAGGTGTAGGGTTTCTGCTGAGAAACTTGCTGTTAATCCTACAGATTTTCCTTTATAGGTTGCCTGTGCTTTTGTCTCACAGCTCTTAAGATTCTTTCCTTCACCTTCACCTTAGATTACCTGATAACAATGTGCCTAGGCAGTGATCTTTTTGTAATGAATTTCCCAGGTGTTCTTTGTGCTTCTTATATTTGGATGTCTAGGTCTCTAGAAGGGCTAGGGAAGTTTTCCTCAATTATTTCCCAAAATATATTTTCCACTTTTAGATTCCTCTTCATCCTCGGGAGCACAGATTATTCTAACATTTGGTCATTTAACACGATCCCAGACTTCTTGAAGGCTTTGTTCATGTTTTCTTATTGGTTTTTTTTTTTTTTTTTTTTTGAGACAGAGTTTTTCTCTTGTTGCCCAGGCTGGAGTGCAATGGCATGATCTCAGCTCACTGCAATCTCTGCCTCCCAGTTCAAGCGATTCTCCTGCCTCAGCCTCCCAAGTAGCTGGAACTACGGGCACCTGCCAATATGCCTGGCTAATTTTTGTATTTCTAGTAATGACAGAGTTTCGCCATGTTGGTCAGGCTGGTCTCGAATTCCTGACTTCAAGTGATCCACCTGCCTCGGCCTCCCAGAGTGCTGGGAATACAAGCATGAGCCACAACACCTGGCATCTTATTCTTTTTTCTTTGCCTTTGTTGGATTGATTTAATTTGAAGACATTGTCTTAGAGCTCTGAATTTCCTTCTTCTACTTATTCAATTCTATTGCTGCGACTTTCCAGAGCATTTTGAATTTCTATGAGTGTGTCCAATGTTTCCTGAAGTTTTGATTGTTTTTTCTTTATACTATTTCTTTGAATATTTCTCCCTTCACTTCTTGTAACATTTTTTTTGGATTTCCTTGCTTTGGGCTTCACCTTTCTCTGGTGCCTCCCTGATTAGCTTAATAACTAACCTCCTAAATTTTTTCAGGTAAATCAGGGATTTCTTCTTGGTTTGGATCCATTGCTGGTGAGCTAGTGTGATTTTTGGAGGGTGTTAAAGAACCTCGTTTTGTCACATTACCAGAGTTGGTTTTCTGCTTCCTTCTCATTTGGGTAGGCTCTGTCAGAGGGAAGGTCTAGGGCTGAAGGCTATTGTTCAGATTATTTGGTCCCACAGGGTGTTCCCTTCATGTAGTACTCTCCCTTTTCCCATGGACGTGGCTGCTTGTGAGCCAAGCTGCAGTGATTGTTAACTCTCTTCTGAGTCTGGACACCTAGCAAGACTTCCTGGCTCCAGAATGGTCTGGGAGTTGTCTGTACAGAGTCCTGTGATGTGAACTGTCCATGGGTCTCTCAGCCATGGATAACAGCACCTGTTCCAGTGGAGGTGGCAGGGGGCGAAATTGACTCTGTGAGGGTTCTTAGCTTTGGTGGTTCAGCGTTCTATTTTTGTGCTGGTTGGCCTCCTGCTGGAAGGTGGTGCTTTCCAGAGAACATCAGCTGTGGTAGTATGGAAGGAACCAGCAATGGGAGGGGCCCTAGAATACCCAGGAGTATATGCCTTTTGTCTTCAGCTACCAGGGTGGATAGGGAAGGTCCATCAGGTGGGGGCAGGGCTAGGTGTGTCTGAGCTCAGACTCTCCTTGGGTGGGTCTTGCTGTGGCTGCTGTGGGGAATGGGAGTGAGGTTCCCAGGCCAATGGAGTTGTGTATCTAGGAGGATTATGACTGCCTCTGCTGAGTCATGCAGGTTTTCAGGGAAGTAGGGGAAAGCCGGCAGTCACAGGCCTCACCCAGCTCCCACGCAATCCGAAGATCTGGTCTCACTCCCAGTGTGCCCCCACCAACAGCCCTGAATCTGTTCCAGGCAGTGAGCTAGCAGGCATTGAGAATTTGCCCGAGGCTATCCACCTCCCAGCTGCAAAAGAAAAGGTCTTGGTTCTTCCTCCACCCATGGAATCTGCACACCGGATTCGCGGTGCACACCTCCTCTGTGTTCTGGCCAGGAGGCTTGGTTCAAATTGTTGCCAAGTTCACCGGGAAACTTCTTTCTCCCTGTGGCATTTTCCTCTGGGCCTCTGGTCACCCTCCTGATGGATCCCTGTTGTGCCAGGCAGGAATGGCCTTCTTGGGACCCAGCGAGCTCCCAGGGCCTTTCCTGCTGCTTCCTCTACTCTTGTATTTCACTCAGCTCTCTAAATTCACTTAGCTCCAGGTAAGGTCAGAAACTTCTCCTGCAAGCAGACCTTCCATTTCCCCAGTGGAGGTGTGTGTTCAGGAGCGGAGGATCTCCATTTCTGACTTCTGCAGTTGGGGCACTCACAGTATTTGGGGTGTCTCCCAGGTCCTGTAGGAACAGTCTGCTTCCTTCAAAGGGTCTGTCTTATTTTAGATTTAAACACGTAGTCTGTGCTTACTGCAAACTGTCTGTGTTCTTCCCAAATTCTTATGCTGAAACCTAACACCCAGTGTAATGGTATTAGGAGGTGGGGTCTTTGAAAGGTCATTAGGTTATGAGGCCAGAGCTTCATGAATGGAATCAGTGCCCTTATAAAAGAGGTCACAGAGATCTCTCTCACCACTTCTGCCATGTAAGGTGATAGTAAGAAGAGCACAGTCTATGAACTAGGAAGCAGGCCCTCACCAGACCCCAGCCTATCAGTGCCTTGATCTTGGATTTCTCAACCTCCAGAAATATAAAAAATAAATTTCTGTTGTTTATAAGCCACCTAGCTTATGATATTTTGTTTCAGCAGTTTGAACAGACCAAAGACAATGCTTTTTCCAACTTTAAACTATGACGTTAATGGCGAATTTATAATTATTCTAAGATAATTTTTTCTACAATGTTCTGATATGAAATGTATTATAAAATTTATTAGTATATCTAGATAATATTCAATCTTGTATTATTTATCACACAAGTGATGATACTAAGGAAGAGTGAAGTTAAGTTGATAGCCCGTCATCAACAGAAAAACTGTTAATAAAATTCACTTTTCTTGATTCTATTCCAGAATCCTGTATCACACCTCATTCTATAGATATTCTCTGTGGATAGATAGATATTATTTTATATATAATCATTTGAAATTATTCTATTTTGAAGTTAAATAATTCTGAAGTACCAACAGATATTTTCATAATTTATCAAGGAACATGAACACTGAGGAGACAGACAAATACACAGTGCCTTCATTCATTTAATAAATACATATTAGGTAGTTTTTTTATGCATAATAATTTTCTTTCCATTCATGAATTCAAATAATGGTGGAGATTTAGAATGCCAAAATGTCCAACTTAGAAATTATGGTATTGTGCGGTTCACACATAGACACATATACATGTATATTTGAGTTATTTTGAAAATGAGCCTGTAACATGTTTCTATCATTAGTAATTCAGATATACACAGGTAAAAAGAAAAAATTATTAACTGGAGCTCAGGAAATCCACTTCCAGTCTTTCTACCCAAAAGCTGTAATCCAGATTTCTCACTAGCCACTCAGAAGCTGTAACCTCTATGCAGTTATTGCTTAATCTTTGAGGGGCTCAATTTTTTATTTATAATATAAAAACTTCAGATTAAGAAATCTCCAAGTGGTATGAATTTTAAAATACTTTTTGTCTGTTAAATCATTTGGAGTCAGAGTTGGTAGGAATCACTGTGTATTTCTTATTCTCTTTTATATTCGTAGGTAGTGCATTTGATCAGGCAAAAGGCACATTTTCTAGTTTCAGAAATGGAACCAGATCAATGTCTTGTTATCTATATCCTGTGATTTTTTTGTGTGTGTCTTTAAACACTCTGCAGATGTTTAAAGACAAACAAAGAAAAACACAAAACAAGATAAAACATGATTCTCCTCCTGCACTCTCAAGCAGAAGAGAAGAAAATGGAGAAAAACAGATTTTTGGAGAGGGAAGAGTAGAGGATTTGTTGCCATTTTAAGTAGATTTCTTTCTTTTCTGATTCAGAAAAATTGTCTCAACAATGGGCCTTGTGACGTGTTGTTATGTATTGGTTCACTTTTTCAGTAATATAAACACAATTTTATAGAGTACCTTTAAAAATTACCACTCAACTTTTCTTCCTTTTATGTTAGGCTGAGATCAAGAAGACAGTGAGTTAACTGTGAATGCTTACAAAACAAATCATGTGTTGTTCTAGCAGAGCTTATTAGACAAGCCACTTGAGCATTTGGACTTCTTGGTTGACACTTTCAAGAATCAGGAAAGTGAAAAGAAAAAGAATTAGAAAATTGAGATGAGAAAAGTAAATTGACTTGGACAATGCCACAGAAATAATACATGTTAGAGCTTCATTCATATTGGAGTCCTCGAAACTTAAGAATCTATAGTCTTACACTGCAATACATTGGGTTTACTAATAGGCATCCATAGTAATAGTATTTATATGTATAACTATTTTCATGATCATGATGATTATTAGATGTGTCAGAAACGCCTGAAGCTGTAGCTGGATTTCCAAGTTTACTGTAATTTCTAATTCCTAGACTCCTTTCCTGACTTATTTTCATGTATTCTAGGATTTGCACTGATTGAGGGTTTTTCTTGTCTTTTAACTTATTCCTGGGAATTTATGTTTTTATTTATTCTTATTTTTAACATGACAAATGCATTGCATGCCTAACCAGTGATATATCAAAAGCTTTCTTCAGCTGTACCTTCAAAACCAGTGAACACAAAAATATTTACTAAAGAAATATCAGCTGCACACTGTGGCTCACGCCTGTAATCCCAGCACTTTGGGAGGCTGAGGCGGACGGATCACCTGAGGTCGGGGATTGGAGACCAGCGGGACCAACATGAATAAACCCCATCTCTACTAACAATACAAAAGTAGCTGGGTGTGGTGGCATGTGCCTGTAATCCCAGCTACTTGGGAGGCTGAGGCAGGAGAACCTCTTAAACCCAAAAGGCTGAGGTTGTGGTGAGCCGAGATTGCTCCATTGCACTCCAGCCTGGCCAATAAGAGCAAAACTGTGTCAAAAAAAAAAAAAAAAAAGAAAGAAAGAAAAGAAAAGAAAGAGAGAAAGAAAAAAAGAACCATCTATAAAATTTATTTCCTTGCTTTTTATTGAAAAATAAAATTTTATGTATTTTCAATCTTGTTATTCTATTTAGTGAATTCCTATTACACTTAGTAACAATTTGGCTTTTATTTTAGACAAACCACATCTTCTCATGAAAAAATCTCTTTATTTGATAATTTCTAATGCTATTTTCTGGCTCCCAAATTTGTTGTTCATCATAATTTAAGTATTTGACTGACAGATAAAATCATCTCCATCAAACACTCAGACTGTTCAAGTTCAAATTTCACTCTAGTACACATTAAAAAGCCTAAATTATATTCTTAGTGTGTTTATACCCTAGTTTCTTGATCTACAAATTGATGACAATAATGAAATCTTCCTTAGAGTCATAGAAATATAATAATATAAAAGTATTTATAAATATATTATATAAATATAAATATAAAAGTGTTCATAAATATAATAATAAAAAGTGTTTTGTGGTTTTTGACAGATAAACAATTCTTAATAAATATTGGCTCATTATTAGTAATAATAAATGTCATGATAAAGACATTTAAAATTTATTTGAGAATTTATTGATATTGCCAAATGTGAGGGCAATTGCATAAAGTATTATGTAGTCCTTGTAAAATAAGAAAATATCTTTGTCCACATATATATAGTGTTATTCTAGAAAGATAGCTTTATAAGTGGTTTCTTTTTTTACTAGTATCAGTTTTGGTGAAGTTTTTCTTGATTCTAATTTACTCTGAAAGTTTCATGTGGTTTTTTAAAGTTCCTGCGAAGAACTTTGCAACTGAAATTGAAAATTTGACTTACCATATGTCATTTCAGATTTAGTTCCAGAGAAAGGATAACATAATCAGAATGAGTAAGGAGTTAACTATTGATATATATGACAATAAATAAAGGTGAAAAAGTAACAAAAGGAAAGAAAGCTTATGAAAGTGTTTAGGCTTTGCAGCAGAATTTGAGGCTCACCTGGAGTGAACATTAATTTAATTAGTTCATTTAATTAATTTGAAGACATTTTTAGAGGTTAAAATTTCAGCTTCCAAATTGACCGAAGCATTTGTTGGAAAACAACAACAACAACAAAAAACTCTGGCTCAAAGCAAGATAGTACATTTAATCTCGCCAGCTTTTTTTGTATAGGATGCCATTGGTCTCAAGTAGGATATAGAAAAAAAAAAAAAACAGTGATGAGAACTGAGTCTAATATATTCTGTCTTGTATTAAAGTTATTTTTCTATATGCATTATTTCTCCAATTACCTAGCATGGTGCTTTAAATATTTTATTTGTTATAAATAACTTGGTATTATTCTGATGTGTCTAATAAGAAAGATCCAAACTGGTTATCTAAAAAATGACACAAATGACTAAAAATAATAAAAGACTATTATTTATTTGATAGAGGACCCATAACTCCAATTTCATATATAAAACATTATTTTGTTCATTTGCATTTGCATTTACATTGATCCTCTTACAATAAGTTTTATTTTATTTTACATCCATGTCTGAAGAGTTTTTTTCTACTTTCTTTGAACTAAATCAATTTTATATCACTTCACTGTTTTCCTTTTTGTTTAGTGGTTACCCTTGAGATTATATGTGAATCCTTACATTATGAAAGTTATACAAATTATGAGAGTAATAAAAATGTAATGCAAGTATTACTCTTTCCCCTTTCCAACAACGCTACAAACTTAAAATACTTTATCCCCATGGGCTGTACTCAATTCTTTTCTTTCAGTATTGCCATGTATTTTGATTTACATATATTTGAGGCCATGCAAAACATATCTATCACTATTTTATATAGTTACCGTTCATTTATATTTATCCGTATATTTAAGCATCCCATTGTTCTTTAGTCCTTCATTCATTTTCATATTTTTATCTGAAATCGTTTTACTTCCGAAGAATATGCTTTACTTTTTCTTTAGACACCTTAAAGACACCAATCCATTTTCTGTTTTCTTCCATATTATTTCTACAATGAAGGTTTCCTCTGACTGTTTTTAAGGTTCTTTCTTTGTCTTTTGTTTTTAGCAGTTATTCCAAAGTGACCAAAGATTGATATTACAAGATGATTCATGCATATAAGGTCCATTCAAAGACCAAGTAAACAAATTTTAATGTAACAGAGTACAAAAAGTTTGGTGATATTCTTTCACATTCCATATTACAACTATCTTTTGAAAACTACTACATTTTACCAAATTGATGTTGGTCTATATCAAATAAAAATATCCCCAGTTATCTGAAAACAAGTCATAATCCAAATACCCCTCCATTTTCTAACTACATAAATATTGGAGCCCAGATTTTCTTTATATACTTCTATCGAAAAAATATATCATAGGAGATTAAATTCAGAAGCAGATATGATAATGCAACTCTCTTCTAGCAAACCAGATATAAAATATATTTGCTAAAATATGAAGCAATGTCACTCTTCTCACTATATTTCATTTCAGAAAATATAGTTGTTTTGAAAATATAGTTGTGTCAATATATGTACATTAAAATAATAGAGGCATTATAATAACAATAGAGGCATTTTTGTTATTTATTAAATGAATTTAGTACATGTTTTGTATATTTCATAGTTTTGATTTCTAATACCTTGAATATGGATATAAATTATTTAATTAGGTTAATAATTATTTATCTTTATATTAGCACATATGTAGTTTTACATAAACACTTTGGGGCCTTCAATACTTTTAAGAGAGTAAAGTTTGAAAAATACTCTTGTAAGATGTGCCTACCTGTGTTCTTCTTTGTATTTATCTGATTGGGATCCATAAAACTTCTTGAATGCTTGAGTTGGGATTGTTCAACCATTGTGGAAACTTCTTCATCACTCTCTAATTTTGCTGTTTAATTCTCTCATCTTTTCTGTAATTGCAACTAAACATGTGAGATCTTTTACTATGTTGTACATGTCTCATGTGCTGTTTTTCATGTATTCTACTCTTTTTTTCTCAGTTTGGATTTTTTTTTTCTGTTGACTTGTCTTTTATTTCAGTAGCCCTATCATGTGTTGCCTATTCTATTTCTGTACTCACCTATTGAGTTTATAATTTTATGTATTAGATTGTTCACTTTTAGAATTTCCATTTGACTCCTTTTTATATGCAAACAGTGCATGTTAGCCTAGTTAACTGAAATTCTTGCATATCAGAACTGTCTTTGTTCTGCACAGCTCTTCAGTCATTGAAATCTTGCAAAGCAAGGACATGGTTTTGATTTACGCAAGTTGCAGTTAGCACAGTGGCATGCAAAATAAGGACTGCTGTTATTCCAATTATCTACTGACATTTTGCATATTTTTCTTTACTTCCTAGAACATTTCAATGATATTTATTTAAAATTTCTTCTCTTAATTAGTACACTGATATTCAAAATGCTAGCATGTGAAGAGATAATGAATTTGATTCATAATATAAGTTGACTACATCACTTACTTAATTCAGTAGACTTTTTATTAATATCAACAATTTCAGTGATGAAGGCAATGCATTAGTCTATGCTTTGGCAGAAGCTCCTTAACTTTTTGACAGTAGCACATTCTAGTTACAAGTGATATGCCATTATTGCATAAAAACCTTACTGTATATACTCCTATTTTTCTAATTCTGGCTTCTGTGCTAAAGTTATCATACAATTTACTTTTACATATTTTATAAACCTCATAATGCATAGATTTTTTTAAATAACAAATTAGCTTTTAAATTGATATAAATCACGAAAATTTACAAAATTTGCATTTTTTCAAATAGTTACAAAATCTAGTATCATTTTTCTTTTGCCTAAAGAGCTCTATTCAACATTTCTTACAATGCAGATCTTCTGGGAATTAATTATTTTAGTTTTTGTACGTCTGAAAGCTTTTAATTAGTCTTCAGTTAGAAAGATATTTTCACTTGTTCTAGAATGTTAGATTGATAGTTTCTTTTTTTTTCTGCTTTTTCATGATTTTAAAGATGTTTCTCCAGTATGTTCCGGTTTGTTTCCAAGAACTCTGTTGTCATCCTTACCTTTGTTCTTCAGAATATAATATCTCCTTTCTCTGGTGGTTTTTAAGATTCTACTCTATCATTGGTTTTAAATACTTTATAATGCACCTTGTAATTATTATTTATATTGAATACACTGTTTCATTGAACTTCTTGAATCTGTGCATTTATAGGTCACATATGATAAGTAAAATAAGTCAGGCACAGAAAGAAAAATACTGCATGAATTCATTTATATGTGGAATCTAAAAAAAAATCAAATCTATAGAATTAGAGAACAAAATAGTGGCTATCAGCTGTGGAGGGTTCCTTGGGGGAGAAATGGTGTGATATAATCAGAAGGTACAACCAGTTATGTAAGATGAACAAGTCTGGAGACCTAATGTAAAGCATGAGGATGATAGATAATAAAATTATACTGTATTTCAGATTAATGCTATATGAGTAGATTTTAGCTACTCTTGCCACAAAAATAACAACCAAAAAAGGGAAAGTTGATAGATATATTAATTTACTTCACCATAGTAACTTTATTACTATTGGTATGTATCCCATAACATAAATGTTGTATATCTTAAATACACAAAATAAACTTTATTTAAAAATAAACAAAAACCCACACATTTTTGAAGAAATAAAATACTTTTTAAATTTTAATTTTTTTCCAGAAGTTTTCATTACCCTTCTCTTTTCTTCAGGAACTTAGATCACATGTATATTGTGCCATTAAAAGTTATCTTGCAAGTTATTGGTGCTCTTACTTTTAAATTCCTTTTTTATTTTGTGAGCTTCATTTGGATAATTTCTATTGCTATGTCTTCAAACTTACTAATTTTATCTATCTACCCTTAATCTTTATTTTTAACTATTTTTAACCTTCGGTGTTGTCATCTTCATCTCTGAGAGTGATTTGGATCTTGAGTTATGAGATTTTTCATGTGTGAATTATGAGGTTTTCAACTATGTTGTTTAAGAAGATGAAATATTTCTAATCTTGTGTGAGATCTTCTGTAATTGTTCCAATTATTCATGTGGTTCTTTATTTAGTAATGGGTAGTTTCCTGCTATTCGTACACTACTCATTATTTAGCTGATGCCTTGAAGGAGACCCTCTTGAGATATCTGCAGTTATCTTTTTATACAGGCTTTTTCTCTTTGGAACATTGCTTTCTGAACTTGTTTCACCTGGGCCACCCTGGATTCTCAGTTGTTCTTATCTCTTGAACTTATAGGCTTCACTTGGGTTCCCCTACCATAGACTGGGGCCTGGAAACTCTTTTTTAGGTGATAAGTTGAAACAATTTTAGGATTAATCCTATTAGCTTGAGGTCACTATCCTTTGTTACTTGATGATCTATATGATAAAAACCATTGCTTCATATATTTGGTCTGTTTTTTCTCCTTTTTTTCAGGTAGTAGGCAAAATATGATTTCTTGTTATTCTGTCTTGACCCAACCCAGAAGTACAAAAACTTTTGTGCTTTTCTGGAGTTTTGAAGTTTATGCTGTATCTATTTTAAATATGAATGAGCAATGCTACTATTTAAGATAAAAAAAACTATAGAATGGATTCTCAGGATATCAGTGTACCATTTTTCATGAATTATAATTTCTTGAATGATATCTCTTTTTGTAAGATCCAATGACTTTGATAATAGATTAAACTATCTTCATTTGAGTAAAATTTCACTGAAGTTGCATGTACCATTATATTTTAGAATTTTTCTTATAGTAATTTCATGTAAATAAATGATCAAAACGGATAAAAAAATCCACGCTAGTAGTTATTTACTGGATATATTGCATAAGGAAATTTATAATTCTAGTCTTATCTTACAGACACAAAGCATTTGTAATGATTATGATTACCTATTAAAAACAAACCCATGAGTAACAACCAGCAATTATTTTTTCACTGACTCATAGCAGCTATGACATAAAAACTGAAACAATAACAACAAAAAAGCTAAGCCTATTAAAAAGAGACTGGATGTATAAAGATGCTTTATTCATCAGAAATTGATAGGTGAAAATAGTCACCTAACAGGACGATTTATATGGTATCCTTAAGGTCAAACACAGTATAAGTTATAGAGAAGATTCTATTGGCTCTTCATACTGCTATGAGTAACAAATTAAAGGAAAAGATGAAAACAAACAAAAAAATTTACATTCACTTCTAGACTGTTATGTCTTATTCATCCATTGAAATGTAAAAATAGAAAGGTTTCTAGATCGGCATACATTTTTTGGATTTGTGGTTAATAAATATATGAAAATCAAGTGACTTTCATCATCCACAGGAAATAGTGAGTAAATATTTTCCTTTCATATAAATTGCAATATTTACATTTTAAGCATTTTATAAAAGGTAAATGGATGTAAGGTCATTACAAAGTGGGTTTTACATACATACCCATTTTCAAAAAGTTGTCTATTCTTCTAGTTTTATACATTTATAAGAACTTCATTGTCAAAATGATAGCTAATTAAACATGTGGGATTGAATATAAATAGCAGTTTTGACAAGTTTATAGAAAAATGTAGATCCTAATAACAGGAAAATATAATTCTTTTAGGACATTCTTTAAGCAATTAGCTTTATACTTCAAATTTGTCCCCCAAAATCCCTGATGGTTACAAATTTACACAAAAAATACATTCTACTTATGTCTGACTATAAGAATAACTGTTTAAAATAGAAGATATAAAACATGTAAAAGAAAAAGACTACTATGGTTGTTACCTAAGATTCTCTCCTCATACCCCTTTTCCTTGGTTTTTCATAATCGGAGGGAATTAGAGCCTAACCTAGTTGAATAAGCTAGTAAAAATAACAATTCAAGCCCAGTATGAAGCGCAAGACAGATAGGGTGGGCATACCCAGTGATGACACATGTTGTCATCAATTCCATTTCCCTGGCAAAACTTCCTCCAAAGGACAGAGTCCAGATGATTGTTTCCTCCTTCTCTATCCATTGCCAAGAACCTTTTCTAGAAACCATGTGTTGTTGTTGCTGTTTTTAATTATTTGAAGTACCTCTCAAACTTCTCCTGTTCTTTACCTGTAAATCTTGGTAGCATATAATGTTGTTATTACTTTTATTTTCACTGTGCCTACTTATGTTCATTTCAGTCAATCTAGGCAATGATGCTTGATAACTTCACTAACAGTATTTCTATGATATTTCTTTTTCAAAATCTATAATACTTATTTTCTAGTGCATTGAATTTTGTCTTGTGTATGTAAATTTCAATTTTAAAAAACATTATTACTAGTTTTAATCATTTGAGTCCTCTCCCATGACTCATCATACCTTAATTCTCTCCGCTCAAAATACTCCATCTGCTCATTTGAAAAATGAAGATTTACCTTCACAAACTCTCACTTCTGCCATGTAGCTTATGATGTTTCTTCTATTTGGAATGCCCTCCTCTTTCAATATAATATCTTAAATAAACCCAGTAGATATCCTTAAAAATCTCCTTTATTATTTATTAAATCTCAAGAATTCAACAAAATAGGCCATGAAAAAGAAAAGAAGTGTGAACTCTTGTCATGACGGTAATATATAGAGGAAAAGGGATGGGCATCTAGACCAAAAGCAGATTTCATGGAGAATGTAATCTCTGATTTGAGACATGATACATGATTGAATAATCAATAATATTTGATACCTACTCAAGAATACATGTAGAAGTATCAAGTATTCTTCCTTTAGACTTTTTTTTTAGAAAGAAAAATAATCTATGTTCACTACAAAAGAAGGTCATATGTACTACTAACCCGTGGTACAAATGCCCTGATGTGAAAATATAAGTATGTTCAGGTGACATACACATAAGGAACTGCAGGTGGTTCATTATTGTTGGAACCTAGAGCACAAGGCAAGGATAGTGTCAGATGACAGTAAGCAGGGAAGAGGGGACAGATCAAGGAAGATTCTTGCGGCATGCTGAGGAATTCATTTTACAGACACAATATAATACCAAATCTGTATAATATTTGTCGACAAAGAAGCAAGAAGCAGAATTATATTTTCTTTGGTCAAAGAAAATAATGTCTCAGCCTGATTTTTGGTACATATTGAGCCATTTTCCAATGATTATATTTGATTCACAGCAAAAGGCATAATTGTTTTTTAAAGAGTTCCTTTTGAAGAAAACTAAAATTATTTATTGGTTTTTATGTATCAGAAGCATTAAGCTGCAAGCTTTACTGATGTGCTAAAATATATAGACATTAGTTGTTTATGGATGATAGTTTAGGACTTTTTGCAATTACTTAAGAGCATGTATAAACTAGGTATAGAAGGTTAAGATAATAGTTAATGAAGTCTAATTTGTCTTAAACATTACACATGAATTAGAATGTGAAGATGTCTCTCCTAGAAGTTGTCCTCTCCTGACCCTGAATATCTATGATTATGTTATTTTTAACATTTTTAAAAAATTAGCCCACTGGGTTAAATGAGGCAGAGTCTTAGTCTAAGGCCCATGGCAGAGGACAATTGGATTTAAAGTATGGAAATATGGAAAGTTTATCTTGGCTGCATTATGAAGACTAAATTCAAAGCAAGTCTTGAAAGTAGTAATGTCTGTTAGAATTTGTCACAGTAGATGATGACAGGTGATCAATTAATTATTATAGGTGGCAAGAGTATCACTCAATTTATATGAGATATGTGAAATACTAAGGTCTTATGAATATTAGACTCATGAATACATTGTGATGAACTGAATATTATAGGGTGGTGGCAATAGAAGAAATATTGGCATATCAGGGAAGAGTGTTAGGTTTTAGTCATGAGCAGCTGAATGAAGCCTTGTGAATGATTAGAGAAAAAAGAGGAATCATACAGGACAGTAGTGGGTTGAGAAATATTTAAATATTGAAATTGAGTAACCTATAGGATATCCAAGTGCATAAGGTCAACAAGTGGGCGATAAATACGTTTGCCAGACATCACTAACTTGAAATATAAATTTGAAATAAAGCTACAATGAGAAGTCAAGTAGTTACCAAGAATAATGTAATTCATAGTACCAGGAAAAAATAACAAATTCCAAATTTTAGATTATGTGATTAAAGGATGTTAAAGAATAATCCTATTTAAATAAAATAATCCTATTTAAATAAAACCAGAATCTAAACCGAAATTATCTGTGTTCATATTAACATATAGATGTTTAAATAAGGAAAACAGAATTGTGAGCTATCATTTTCTCTGGGATAATTTTTTTTTTTTCAAATGGAAAGGCCAAAGAAACCCTTCACTTTTAATTCAATTACTTATTTTTTACTTTAAAAGATACGAGTATGTAATTTCTTCAGCAAAAATAAAGTATTTATTTTAAAGGAGAAGATGTACCATTAAGTATAATACAAAGTTTGAGAGATGTATAAATATGTTAATAAAGGAAATAAGAAACTTTGGAGAAAGTTTCTTAATAATAAGTTATTTCTTATTTATTTCAAATACATTTTGGAATGGTCATTAAATTATACCTAAAAAGACAAAACTTTTAGACTCTGTATCACTTTTCTTTCAGTTTTGATCTTCTACTTCTTCCTTTTCTTTTCCATCTTTTACTACTTCTCAATCATGTCCTCCAAAGCCATGTTCTGAGTGAAGATGGAAAAGAAATAGTAATACTCAGACCATACAATGTTAGAACCACTGAGTGATCATTCCAGAATAAGCCACTGTTACTTTTTATCTCAATGAACTAATCTATTCTATCTTTTAATAAATAGAGTTCAGTTACAATCACCTCTCTTTTTTCCTGAAAATAACAATGCATTTAATACTACTTTTCTGAAAGTGGGTCTTGTTTGAGATCACTATCTTATCAAATTTAGTCTGCTTAATCTGACTATGTTAGAAGCAACAAGCTAAATGTGTGTAAACATAGACTGAGGTTCAGACAGTTATACTTAATTCTCAACCTATTATCTTTATCATTGAGCAAAATAGTGATAAATAGGTAATAGAAAGACAGATGTGCACTGATGAAGACAAGGAAAGCAAATTTTGTATTACCTTATTCTTTTAACAGTTTTAAGTTGAGTCAATTATAAGTTTGTAAGAAGTTTCTAGGAAGTATGTCTCATGGCTTAAAGTCAGCACTCCAAAGAAATTCTTTCCTTTTAAAAAATGTCTACCATTAAGACAGCAATTTCATATGATTGCTATCAACTTGTTTTTTCCCCAAATCTACAAAGCAGCTACTGTCAACCTTTCAACATTTACTGAAAATAACCCTTCATCAGAGCACCTAGATTCATACACAATACTATTTCACCATTAAGTTTGAAGACTTGATTCATGTACCTGTGAACCTCTGAAATTTCCTACCATTTTCCAACCTTTTAGTGATTTAGGAGAGAGTGAAGAAAGTATGTAGAAACTAAAAAGTTACAATCAAAATGAACACGTTTTTTTGCTTTTTCTTTTAAGAGGTGATGAAAATTTCTCTACATTCAAAAAAGTGAGAAGCGTTTCTCCTTAACTTCGTGAGGATAGTGGAGAACCCACCGAATCTCTGATAAATGTGTATTACAGAATCATTTGGAAACTTATTGCTAGGATTATTTTTAAATTGTCTTAAAAATAAAACTATGAATTAAGCATGAGCTGATTTGCCCTCTTCTAGCTATGTCTAGAATATTGCTCTTTGCATATGTAAAAATGTCCTTAAACATGGGCTTATCTTTACTTCATGATGTATACTTTGCAATTTTCTAACAAAGCTTAAATCAGAGTTGGTATTATTAACATTTGACAGAAGGGCTGCAAATATGTTAAATTGTGTGGAAAGTGGACTGAAAAAATTTCATTTAAAAATGGTATTTGAAATAGGAAAGAAAAATTATATGTAGCAAACATGTCTTAAGATCTCTGTTTTAAATTACACAGGAAAATCAGAGGATCTTTAAACATAAAACATTTAGACAAGAAAAACAAGATCTTGATTCAAGTCTTTCAATCATTATTTACTAGACAGTCTTATTAAAGAAAAAGATACTCTAAATTTATTTTCTAGAATTGGAAATTAATGTAGCATATTTTTTCTAGAAAACTTTAAAAGAGCTACTTAATGATAAAAGTGCATGAGAAATAATTGATTTATCATTGAATTTACCAAGTTAAAAATCAAGATCTTTTCTTTGTTTCTTATAACTTAATTTTGTATATTACACAGAGAAAAGTATAGAATTATCAGACAATATCCCAGTTATATTCTCTATTTTGAGAGATAAAACAAGTATGATAGTTTCACAGGAGGCCCAAGTTTTGTTCCTAATCATTCCACTGACTCTATTATAAAAAAAAAAAAGTGGTTTCCTCTTTGTGATCTCTCTTACTTCTTTACTATGTTTTGTTTCTAGTTATCTGATGCAACTTACCAATGTTATAGGACCAAATAGTTACAGAGGTTAAAAGATACTTAAAAAAATTACGCAGTGAAAATTATGTAAATATTAGCAAATTTAAGGCAAGTAATGTTAAACCCTAGAGTCATTCTTTAAGACTAGCCTACCTCCTTCCTGAGAAGTGAGGATTTTTTTTACCAACTTATATTTCTGTCTCTCTAGAACTTTCTCTTTGTCTTTTTTTACTTTCTCTTTCATGATGCAGGACATTTGTATTTATTTTGTTTCCTTGGAAGAATCTATTGTGTTTGCAGTTGAGCACGATATTGAGTAAATTACCACACCAAGTGTCTGACTCTCCCTAGACCTTATTTATTTTTCTCATCTAAATGATTAAGTCTCGTCATGATTCTTCAGACATTTTCTTCCTGTCCTTAATCATCTTCAGTTTTAGTTCTTTTGATTAAATATCTCTCCCTCCTAAAGTGTCTGAAACCAAGTCTTCTACTTATTTGATAGCTGTCTCACGATATTTCTTAGATTCATCCCACATCAATGTATCACACATCACTGAATGTATGCAAGATAACTCGTTGGCATTATAAATGCAGAAAATATAATTTGTATGTGATTATGAAATGTGATATTCATTGCATCTTATTACAGTAAGAAAAAAACATAATTTTCATTCTTGAAATGTATATATTTAAGAATACATTTAAGATTGTTAAACTGATTCAAACAATCACATTTAAAACAGTATGCAGAAAAGGCACTTATTTTGTTAATGCTCATATTTCACTACCAAAACTGTGTCATGTGCATTTAAAACACACACCCAGAGCTTTATACTCCAATAAATTTGCACAAGAAAATAAAAATACGTGATGCTAATTAACTATGTAAAGAGGATTAAACAGTGCTAAGAAATAACCTTTGCCTTAATCAGTAGTAAATGTATTTAAAATGTTAAGAAAATGGAAATAAAATGATAAAAATCATTTTTGCTAAAAGGGATATTAAGAAAAATGCTTTGATTATTTAAATTCTATGGGTAATATGGTTGCTGGTGGTCATTTAATTATTGGAGAGGAAGCTGTGAAAATGGCCCCCAGCAGGAGTGTGGATTTATCATTATGCATATAGAATAGAAACTTAGCTTGGGTTTTTAAGATGTTATTTCTGCATGAAAAGACCTAGCAAAAGCTATGTAAGAAAGGCTGAGACTGCACTAGTACTTGCTCAAATGCTAACCAAGAATATTATACATTGCACACAATGACAACACGTGTTATTGAGGGGAGGAGGAGAAAGCATCTACAGCTGCCACTTGAAAGGAAATGTCTCAGGGTTTTTATGAGTGATCAAAATCACATTGGATAATTATCCACATTTATTTTTGAGGAGTCCATAAGATTCATCAGTAAATACTCTTCACTTTGAGAGAAACAATACATTGCCACAGGGCATGTCACACTGACATATTGTTTCTGCAGAAGTTAGCAGCAAGAACTGAGGTAACTACAAAACTGCAAGTATTGTAATATAACCTTAGTCCATCTGGATGCACGAGATAGTTTTAAGTTTCATTAAGCTTTTATTAGAATCATGACAACTGTCCCAGTCTATTTTCAGGGGCTTGTCTGTCCAGTTCCTCATTAATTTTATCAGAGGAAAAGTGCTGATAGTGTTCAAAGTGACCAAAGGCTATTATTTTGTAGAAGATTGTAGATACCAAAAGTAACAACTTTCCACTATGCCCATGAAGCTAAACTGTATCATCTTCCAATGGAATGCACTGTGATCCTTACTGCATTGGACTTCATTTCCACATATTTATATATTTTTTCAAATTATTCTTATTGTTTTTAGGAAAGCGTCACCCAATGAAAACCAAGACCCCAACTATTTAACTTTATATAACTAACCTATAATTAATAATAATATTTTTTGCCATAATTTAATCAATACTAAAATCTTTAGACCTGATAATATTTCACAATCTAAGCATCATAGAAATATTTCTGTTATCACCAAAAAAAGATAAAGTTTATTTTAGTATAGTGGCTAAGCAATAGTTTAGAACTTCTTTAATACAAGTTCAATAACAGCTTGCTTTTTAAAAACATTATTTAATGTTAATCATTTAGTTTCTTCACATTTAAAATCAGAAAAAAATTGTTATTGTAGTTAAACAACTATAACTGTTGATACTTCTTGTTTATCCATCATTGGTGTTAAACTGTCTTCATCTCAATATATTAGTATCCTGTATATACTAATCTTGTGGTACTTTTGTTCTAGGAAAATGGGCCCACTTTCCATCTTATCTTTCCTAATACACTATAAACATATCAAGGAAGGAAAATAGCTTGAATCATCTTTGAATATCACATTGTTTCTTGCATATTAGCACTTTGAAAGTTGAATGAATAAATCAATGAATGAAGAAAAAAATGTAGTAAGTCACGAAACATAAATTAAAAAGACGAAAGCCGAGCTTGATGATGTGTCTAGCATGGTGAACTGTAGCTAGTTAGTTGAGAGCTAAAATGAACAATATCTGGAAATGCCTAAAAAGTATTTACCAGTGCACCTGCCATTAGAAGTGGATGTACTAATTTTAGGCACTGGTATATTATAAACCACAGTGAAAACCCTGCTTCCTTTAGATTCAGGTTAGGAAGGAGTATGATGGAAGAAGAAGCACTGGATGAATAATAAAGAAAAGTTTTCTAATAAGTGAGATGGTAAATATACTTTGTTTTCAGACAGAACATTTTCATGGCATGTAAAGCAATACCTTTGTTTAAATATTCATTTTGCTCTACTTAAATTTGTAACAGTAAAAACGAAATTGCTGCTTTGAGTCTTGACATATTTTTATACAATTTAACAAAATTTACTATGATTTAATACTTAGCACTTAGATATTATAAATGCAAGGTTAACAAAATATTTACAGTTTGAAAATCATGCAGCTGTATCCAGCCATTTCCTGAATAGAAAGAAATTTTATTTTACTATGATGACTGCAAGGCTATGATTTGGGACAAAACTTGGATTGGGTTGGATAAGAAACATGATTAAGTTAGTAATATTATTTACTGGAAAAACAGTCTAACAGGAGCAAACTATACAATGTTATAGCATTCTACAAGTACGATACAAAATCCGGTACTCATCTGTGATATTTCAGTAGACATTCTAATATTCTGTTAGTGAATTGCTTTAATAGCATCACAGTCTGTGTCCTATTATTGACTTCCAAGAACAGCATGAGACAATTGGTTTTTTATAATGCAGTTGTAGATCAAAGCAGTTTATCATATAAATGGCTATCCATAGGAGTAGATAATTCTGATGAGATTTACCTAATTTATTTTTAGGAAATAAAAAAAGTATCACTAGATTTCAGAAAGCATAATTAAAATACTAATTGAAAATACTGTGCTACATGTGTATCAACTGTCATCTCACTTTTTTAGAGTTCTGTCAGTGTTTTAAACACATCTGGCCAGAACACAATAATGGCAAGACAATGCCATTGTTATCTTTATATCCAATGCTGTAGAATGAAAGTTTGAAAATTCCTCTTTTTACACTATAAAAATAATTAATGATAAGTTAATGTACAATTAGTTTATTATGAAAATTGATAAAGGTATTAGCAAAAAAAGACAGAGGCATTAGAGTACATAATTAAGCTTCTTTAGATAATTTTATACATAGAATTAACACTATTCTTTTTTTTCTGATACTATTCACTATGTTAATCTTACAGTACATGCACTAGATTATGATTTTCTGAATCAAGGCAATTTAACATGAACCACAGATTAACTTAAAGAGTGAAATGATCTCATTTTTGTTTATAGACTTTAGGGTTTCCTTAAAAAATTAATGAAAGTAAGTCAAAGATATAACGTTTATATTTTAAAAAATTGAAATTAGTCACAATTAGAAAACTGTTTTAAGTATATAAAATTAATTTACAATTCATCATAAAACATGATGCTATTTCCTTCTATAGTTGTATTCAGTAATGTGACTTTAGACTCTCCTTACTATAATTAAAGAGCAGTGTAACTTCCTATTAGCATTATAAATCAAAGAGAAATATTCTGCTTATAGCTTCCAGAGAACACTGTCAAACTGATATGTGACATTTCACTATGTCATCAAATTAAGAAACAAAGTTACCAATCTCATAACTAGGGTGTTTTATTCTTACTTAAAATTAAACATTTATCAGGACATTACATACTTTGCAAAATGTCAATTTTCAGGTGCATGATGAGAAACAGACAAAAACCATACAAAGAATATGTGAGCAGATTATGGACAAAATACCTTCTTAATGCCATTTTCCATGTCATATCTTTGTTGGTTTATTGGTTTTCTTTTGTTTCATAGTATGCTGCAAAATGGTAAAACAATTGTCTTCTCTTATTTGATACCAGCACATATCTTTTCCCCTTTTATGTTTTCCTGCAGATAAATAATATGTTTTGCATGTATTTTATTTATTTATTTATTTATTTATTTACAGATAGAGTCTCGCTCTGTCACCAAGATGGGAGCATAGTGGTATGATCATAGCTCACTACACCCAGTAAGTCCTGGACTCACACGATCCTCTGGCCCCAGCTTCCCCAGTAGCTAGGACTACAGGTGCACAGCACCACATCTGGCTTATTTATTTTTATATTTTCAGAGACAATGCCTATTTTTTCCACGCCTTTGCCTCCCAAGTAGCTGGGATACAGGTGTGAGCCACCGTGCACAGCTATCTCTTCATTAAAACATCTGATTGTGGACTTATAGTATTATAAAGAATTACATAAATTTTAACGTGCATATATTATTCTTCGGAATCCATGGGGAAAAATATTTTCAAGAAATGATAATGAAACAGTTGGCTAGCCATCACTAAAAATAGTAAAACTTTTCTATTACCTTATACCTTGTACAAGAATTAAAATGTACAATTAAGAGCTAAAATTATAAATCTAGAAGGAAAAATGGTACAAAATTAGTGTAATCTTCAGTTGTCAATAATTCTCTTAATAGAGTTACAACTTCTTGAACTATAAAACATTAAATAAATTCTTCATCAAAATTATAAACTCCCTTTCTCCAGATCAATGTGCAGAAAATGAAAAGGGAAGTCACAGCATGGGAGAAAATATTTTCAAATATACTTCTAACTAAAGACCTGTGTTCATAACATATAAAAAGCCTTACAATTCAAAAATGATAATTAGAACAACCCAATAAAAATGAATAATATATTTGAACAGATGCTTCACTAAATAAAACATAGATGAAAATCAGTATGTAAAAATATACTCAACATCTTTGCTTGACAGGGAAATACAAATTAAGTCATTGATATACCATTTCATACACTGTGGAATGGCGGTAATAAAAAGAATCTCCAGACCAAGTGTTGTGGGCGTGGGGAGCAATTCCACCATATTTCTGGTGGGAATGAATACTGGTAAATTCTCTTGGGAAAAAATGTTTGGAATTTCTTGAATATTTAAATTTTCTCTTCCATAGAACCACTCCATTTCATTAGCTGGTGTCTATGCTAGGAAACAAAATCATATGTCCACACAGTAATCTGTACATGAATGTTGGTAGCAACTTTGTGAGAGCCAAAAATCAGCAGCAAATCAACAACTCATTAACAACAAAATGGATAAAATCATGATATGCCCATAGAGTGGACTGCTATTCAGCAATAAATACAAAAAACATGTTTTTGATACATATATCAATGTGGCTGAATGTTGAAATAAGTATGTTGAATAAAAAAGCCAGATAAAATGATCACATACTGTATAATTAGCTTTATCACAATTCTAGAAAATACATAATATTGACAAAGTAATCGGTGGTTCCCTGCATATGTAATTGGAGGAAGGGATGTTTTATAATAGTGATAGTGGCAGGAGGCAGACAAATTCCTAGGCAGATCAGGGTGGGTCCCTGGTGAAATCCAACTTTCAAGCCAAAGCCTGAAAAGCCTGAAAACCGGGCTGCCAGTTCCAGGTAGAATCCACAACCGGAAGTGAGAACTTCCTGATGCCTTTCAGCCAATCAAATGGTTCTTCTTTCAGAGCCCACCCATGGACCAATCAGCATGCACGTCCTTCATTCTGAGCATATAAAAACCCCTGGACTCGGCCACAGCTGTCGACTACCAGGCTGCGTTAGGAGCTACCGTCTTCAGCTTTTTCTCGCTGCTGAGAGCTGTTTTGTTACTCAGTAAAACTCTTCTCCACCGTGCTCACCCTTCAGTTGACCGTGCAACTTCATTCTTCCTGGACATAAACCCGGGACCCACAGAACAGCGGGTGCAAAAAGGGCTGTAACGCTTTCCTGGCCGGATCGCCAAGCTGCAGGTAGGAGCTAAAGGAGCTATAACATGTTCCTGACGAGCGCGCTGAGCTGTAGGTAGTGACCTGCTCGCATTTGCCAAACTGGAGGAGTAAAGAGCAGCAATCCTTCTAGGGGCCCAGACCTCGGGAATCCCCGAGCCAGAATTGTAATACTATATATAGCCCTCCTACCCTCCGCCAATGTCAGGTAGCTGCTCCACACGACAGGAAGTACTGGCGGGACCAGGCCAGCCTGGGAGCCCTCGGCTGGAGCGAGGCTGCAGGGCTCAACAAGCTGAAAATACATCTCCCCTACCCCCACCATTCGGTGATATATGGGCGGCAGGAATGAGAGCTGTAGTATGCCCTCTCCAGCCCTGGGGGCTTCACGGTTGCTGGTGTCACTGAGTTTTTAAACACCACCGCATTCCCTCTGTCTAGATGCTGGCACCCGCAGCAGAATCTACTTGGGGTATGCCTAGTCCAGCCACAGTCTCGCACAGGGCCGGCACCTGTGCTGGCACCTGGAGGTGTCTGGCCCTCCACAGCTGCCAACATGCCTGGCTGTGAGCTCTGGCCAAACAGCGCACTCACTCGCTCATACACCGCTTTGTTCGCTCATACACCCCTTGCTGCTCCATGCCTGGTACGCCTTTGAAGGGCAAGGGATCCGGGCCAGTAGTACAAACTGAGGCAACCTGGTGGGCCAAGTGGGCGGAACGAGCCCAGCGGGTGCAAGTAAACTTAAGCAGAGGCACTGCCAGCCACAGAGGTTTCCAGCTGGTGAAGTGACATGTGAAAGATCCTGTGACAATAAGAAGTAGGAAGCTTTTGGTGTTGACAGGTTAATTCTGATTATGGTGTTGGATTCACGGGTGTATATACATCAAATGCATGTAATCACAATCAAAATATTATATAAAATTGACATATTACACCTATTGATTTTTCCAATCAAAGAACATGGTATATCTCTGCATTGATTTTTGTCTTTAAATTCTCTTAGAAATGTTCTGTAGATTTCAGGGGATAGGTCATTCATAGTGTCACTCAAATTTACTTTTAAATTCCTAATGTCTACTGATGGTATTTAAAATTCTATAATTTTTAAAATTTTCAATTTCTGCATATTTAAAATAGAACTAATTTTTCTCTATTGACTTTATCCTCTAACATTGCTAAACTCAATTGTTGGTTTTAATAGTTTTTGTTTTGTTTTGTTCGCTTTTAGAGTTGCATTAGAATTATCTACATGGACAATTATGTGTTTTCTGAAAATAAAGAGTATCAGTTTGTACTTATTTTTCTCATCTTACTGCACTAACTAAGGCTTTTGGTTAAATGTTGAGAAGACAGTATAAGAGTCAACAGCTTTGCCTTCTTATTGATTTTAGGATGAGAATAATCACAGTTTTACCATTGTTTTGACATCAGCTGTAGAATTTTCATCAATGTCTTTTGTTAGGTTGAAGAAATTATCTTTATTCCTGTTTTACGCAACTCTTTTTATTATTATTAGAGTTGAATTGTGCCAAAAAAATGTCTACATCTATAGAGGCGATCAAATGCTTCTTTCCTTTATTTTTAATTTGTTAATATGGTGAATTAAATTAATTGATATCAAAATGTTGTATCAAATTCGTATTTCCAGGATAAAATCCATTGCGTGACAATATAGTATATATTTATGTATTTTCAGATTTGACTTACAAACATTTTGCTTGAAATTTTTGCATATATTCATGAAAGATGTTGGTCTGCAGTTTTTTCGTTTGTTCTGTTTTGTTTTACTTGTAATAACTTTGTCTAGTTTTGGTATCACAGTAATTCTAGCCTCACCCATTGTGTTTGCTTCTTCTCTATTTTCTAAAAGAGCTTGTTTTGAATTGGTATCATTTCTCATTAAATGTTTCAGAAAATTTCCCCGTTAAACCATCTGGGCCTTGGGTATCTTTTATGGAAATTTTTTCACTATGAATTCAACTTGTTATAGATTTATGACTGTTCAAGTTATCTCTTGTTCAGCAAACTTCAGTAGTCTGTGCTTTCAAAAAATGTGTTCATTTCGTTAAATTGTGATATATATTACCAAAGAATTCTTTATAATATTTCCTTATTATACTTTAAATGCTCTTAGGATCTCTAGTAATATCTTCCTTTATCATTCTTGATAATATTACCTTGTTATTTCTCTGTTTTTCTTTTCCTGATAATTCAGGTAGGAAATTTATCAAATATATTGATCTTTTCAAACAATGACCTTTTGGTTTTATTAATCCTATTGTGATTCTTTTTCTATTTTATTAATTTTTGCATTTTAAAAATTATTTTCTTTCTTCTGCTAGTGTAAAATTTCTTTATTTTTTTAGCTTATTACTGTGGGAAACTTAGTTCATAAATTGGGAAATGCTCTTTTTTTCCTAGCTGCAACCCACAATTTTGAACACATCGTAATTGCAGTTTTTTTCAAAATATTTTAAAATGTTTCTTGTGATTTCTTCTTTGGTCCATAGTTGATTCAGAAAAGTGTTTTTTAATTTTAAAATATTTTGGTACTTTTGATATATTTCTTTTACTAATTATTAATTTATTTTTGTTATCAGTGGACAAGCTCTGTGTTATTTTACTAATTGCAAATTCACTATGACTTATTTTTTGGGACTAGATGTGGTCTACCTTGGAAAATGTTCCAGGTGCACTTGGAACATTAGTACCCTTTGTTTTGGTGTAGGATAGAGTGTTCCATAATTACCATTAGGTCAGTGGTTGATGATGTTACTCATCTTCCAGATTTTTACGGGTTTTCTGCCTTATTCTATCAGTTATCAAAAAGTGGTATTGGAATCTTCAACTGTCATTGTAAATGTGTCTATTTCTACTTTATTTGTATCATTTTTGTTTTATAATGCTTCATGATAGGTTCATTTGCATTTACATATTTAGTTTTATGATAGGTTCATTTGCATTTACATATTTAGTTTTAGTGGACTCCTGTATTATTTGAAATGACCTGCTTTATCTCTGGTAACATTTATTCTCTCAAATTTATTTTGTTTTGTTTTATTATATGATTTCAGATTTTTCTTGAGTAGTGTTAACATGGCATAGTTTTTGTATTCTCTTATATTTATCTTGAGTTCATGTATTTAAGGTGTCTTTCTTGTAGACTTAACTTTTTCAGGAATTCTAGACACCCTGGGCTCCCTAACTTCATCTCCTGGAATCAGGGAGACAACCAGGCTCTATTGAGTTCTCATGCACTCTACTCTAGCCTGAAACACTCTCCAGGCAAGGTGCTGACCTAATCATTGGGCTCTACTCATTGTTCCCTTTTGCTGATGGAGTCCTCCCTCATGCTTCCTGCCAACCAACGTCTGAGAGCCATTTTTTAAAAATATAATTTGTCTGAGTTTTTGTTTGTTTAAGGTGTGAAACTAATTCTGTTTTCTGCTATTTTACTCCTCATGAGAAGAATATAATTATTTATTATATTTTGCCTATATGATATTCCAAACATTCAAATTGTCAATCAGATGCACACAAACCAGAGAGCTTCCCCTGTATCAAGCCTTCCTAATTGTTGCCAGGATTTAATTGATTACAATGCACAGTAGAGGAGGTCTGGGTTCACCAACACAGCTTAAAGTTTCATTTTGGGCTGCAGTAACAGGTATTCTTGCCCAGGTTAACATGGAGTTTCTATGTAATATATACAGATGCATAATTTTCATAGAAGAGTCATTTTGGACATGACACATCTTCAATTTTTTTTCTAATAATCTGTATAAGGATTGACAGGTTATGACCAATGGTCAAATTCAGCTTACCATGATTTTGTATAGCTGGTAAGCTAAGAATGGCTTTTAAAATTATTGTCAAAAAGAAGAGAGAAAAAAAAATATGTAAAAGAGATTTCATGTGACCTGCAAGCCTGAGCTGTTTACTATGTAGCTACCTTACAGAAAAAAGCTCGCTGAGTCCTGATTTATGTGACTGTCTATAAAATCTATGTCACCTATAGATTTTATAAGTATCTGTGGACAGGCTAGGTTTATACTGCCACAGTCGTTCTGCTCTAAGAAAACACTATTTGTTTGATTGCCAGGAGGTCTGTCAATATTTTTACAAGGATATTTGACTGGGTTATCTTCCTTATTTACTGGAAGCATAGTCTCTGCACCATGAGCACAGGCAATAGGTTGCAAACTTTTGGGGTTACTATACCTTTCTTGTAAACATGACTATACTCTTACTAATTTGAATGCATGATCTGTGAGTTATTTTATATTGTTTTACATATAACATCACATCAGTCATGAATATTTATTTATTTCTCATCATTATATTTTGTTTTTATTTCTCACCTTACTGTACTGGTTAGGACCTCCAGAAGAGTATTAAATAGAAGGAATAGAAAATTTTTTTAAAACTTTTTTTCTGATTACATTGATTTAACAAATTTTTCAGAAGTTATTCAAAGAAACAAAATTTGTTTCGCTTGTCTCCATAAGAAAAATGTAGAGAAGGATATCAATTTTTTAAATTTTTTTCATCATAACTATATAACTATAGGGATTGATTATTTAAGAAATAAATACAGTGTGTAACCAACAATCACAATCAAGGTATAGAACATTTCCATCATTCCAGTATGTTCCACTCTGCCCCTTTGCACTGAAAGCCCTCCCCCTACACCAAGATTCTGTCAGTAATTGATGTTTCTGTCACAAAAGTCATTCCCTTTATCAAAACTTTATATAAAATAATCTTTTACTTTTTCAATTAGTGTAATGCTTTTGAAATTCATCCATAGTGTTTCATGTATTAATAATTTATTTTAATTAGTTGACTAGTATTCCTTTGTGTGGCTACACCACAACTGGTTTATTCAATCAGCAGTTCATGGACATTTGGGCTTTCTCTGCATTTTAGCTATTACAAATAAAGTAGCTATGAATATTCAAGATTTTGAATTTTTTTGGTTCAAGTCCCAGGAGTGCAGTACTTTATTGTATGGCAAGTATATGTTTAATTTTACAAAAAAATACAATACTCTTTTCAACATAGCTATATCTTTTCTATTTCACACAGCAATATATGTAAGTTCCAGTTTTCTACATTCTCTCCAAGACCTGGTATTGTCAGTGTTTTAATTATTCATTTTACTGCATGTGTAGTAATGATGCTGTGTGGTTTTAATTTGCATTTTTAAATAATCAAATAAAATTGCACATTTTATGTGTTTATTTGCATCCATATATCTTCTTTGGTGAAGTGTTTGTTCTAATATTTGCCTATTTTTTCTGGGATAATTTGTCTTTTCATTATTGAACCATAAGAATTATTCATATGTAGTCGATATAAGTCCTTGATCAAATATGTGATATGTACATAATTTCCACAAGTTTGTGGTTTTCCATTTCATTTTCTTGATAGTAAATTTTCAAATAAAATTTTGGTTTTGCTTAGAGTCCCAGTTTTTATTTTTTTCTTTTATATGTATTTTTTTCTGTCCTCGAATGAGTGAAAATATAATTTACTTTTACATTTAAGTCTGAGATTCGTTTTGAATTAGCGTTTACCTACAATATCAGGTAATAGTTCAAATTTATTTCATTTTTTTAGTACTTTCTGACTGCTGAAACACAACTTTTTGAAGAAATTATTCTTTCCTCAGTAATTATCTTTGTGCCTTTGTCAAAAGTCAAATGTATAAGTACACATATACATATGTGTAAGTCTACTTCTGGCCTTGTTATTCTGTTCCATTAATTTACATGTCTATCCCTAAACCAATGCCTCAATCACTGTCTTGATTACTGAAGCATTAGCATAAATCCTGAAATCAGGATGGTTAGTCCTTAAACTTTGTTGTTCCTTTTTACAAAACCGTTTTGGTTCTTTTAAGTTCTTTTTATTTCCATATAGACTTTAAAACTCGTTTTTCAATTTCAACAGAAAGCCTACTGGGATTTATCTTGGGAATTAAATGAAATAAATGAATTTATTCAGGTCTTCTAAGATTCATCTGAATAATATTTTGCTCTTTTCGCTATGCAATCTTGTACATATTTTATTGTTGGTCCCAAGTATTTTATATTTTTGATGCTACTGTACATGATGTTTTTAAAATTTCAGTTTTCAATGGGATATTACTAGTATATGGTAATACATGTAAATTTTATACTAACATTGTATCATAAATACTTTGCTAAACTCATAGGTACTGATTCCTTTTTAAAAAATTTATTACAATTTTATACATAGCCTATCATGTTGTCTGAACAAAAACCTGACTGAATTTAACTATTCTCAAATTTATTTCCTTTTGATCTCTCTTTTTTCCTTCCTCTCTTTCTTCTTTCTTCTCTTTTTTAAGTTTTTCTTTCTTGAATTCTTTAAAAAGATATTGAATATAAATTATTAGAGCTAAAAACTTTGCTCTGTTCCTAATATTCAACAGTAGGAAAAATAGCATTTAAATATTAAGACGTGGACTTTAGTCCTTTATTATTAATGTTGATAATTTATAATAAATTATTTTATCTTAATCTTTTATTTTAATAGCTTATCAATCTTAATTATATTTTTAAAGGGCCAACTTTTATTTGATTGTTGCTATTCTTTAACCATATTCTATTTCATTGATTTTTATGTTTTTAATTCTGCTTAATTTCTCTCTCTCTCTAATGAGGTATACATTTAGATATTTTTAAAAATTTTTTCTGACTTACGCCTTTTAATATAAGCTTTTACTACTATGCCTATCCCTGCAAAGTGCTGCATTAACTGTGTGCCACAAATCTTGATATACTCCTTTCATCTTCATTCATTTCAATTTTTTTTTTCTTATTTTCCTTGTGATTTATCCTTTGATCAATGGGTATTTATTTAGTGATGTACTATTGAATATTCTAGTATTTGGGAATTTAGCCGTGATCAGAAAATTTACTTTGCATAAATTGAATTGTTTTGAATTTATTAATCCTTTAAAAAAAAAAAAAACTAACAAAAAAGAAGATCCAGAAAATTATATCAGTGAATGTTTCTTTTGCACTTGTGATGATACACATGATGATGTTATTGAGGAAAGCATTCTACAAAGGTCTGATAGAGTCTTAATTGATAATGTCAAGCAAGATTTGTATATATTTACAAATATTTTGGTTCACATATTTTAGAGAGTTTTTTTGAAATCATAAATATATTTATAGATATTTCTATTGATCTAATGAGTCATAATAGATGTTACCTATAAAATGTGGTGTTCTTTGCATACATATTTGAGCTTGTTACAGATTCTTAATTATTTTACCAGTTTATCATATAAAATTTGCTCTTTATCACTGTAATATTTATTCTGAAGTCTAAATTATGCAATATTAACATAGCTACTCACTTTCTTTTGATTAATGGTGGCATGGTATATGCTTTATTTGTTCTGTTACTTTTCAAATATCTATGCATTTATAGTTAATGTGACTTTATTATATGCAGCAAGTATTAGGTAACACTTTGCATTCAGGTTTAAGTGCTCTTAACTTTAAAGGAAATAATCAAGCCATTTAGTTTTCATGCAATTGTTAAGGTGATTATGGTTAACCATATCATGAGCTATTTGTTTTCTGTTTGTCCCGTTTGGTTTTGGTTTCCTTTTTTCTCATATCAATTATTTTATAATTTATTCTTATCATCCCTAACGGATTATGAAATATACTTTTTCATGTGTATCCGTGTGCATGCATGCGTGGTTGCCCTAGGGTTTTCATCATGCATTTTTAACCAACAAAATTCTACCTTAAAGTAATGTTGTATCACTTAATATACACTTTAGTATCTTACAAATATGTAATTTATAAATTAATTTCTTCATATTTTTTGCAATTATGTTTTTACTTACACGTTACACCACAGTTTATCATTACAGTCTGAATTGTAGCCTTAGTTTTATACTCAGTGATGTTTAAATGAGATCTTATAAATTTGAAATGTTCTGTGTTTACTCACACATTTATTTTTACCAGTACTGTTCATTTATTTTTGTAGGTAGAGACTTTTAAATGAGCTATATAATGATTAATTTTACATGTCAGTGTGGCTAGGGCTATTGTGCTTGGCTGTTTGTTTAAACACTATATGCTGCTGTGAAAGTATTTTTTATATCTGATTAACTTTTAAAATCAGTAGACTTTAAGTAAAATTGATTACCTCCATAATCGTGTGGGCCTCACTTAATCCATTGAAGGCCTTAGGAACAAAGACTGAGGTTTTACAAAGAAACAGAAATTCTGCTTCAAGACTGCATTATGGGAACCTTGCCTGAGTTTACAGCCTGCTGTCCTGCCCTGTGGGTTTTAGATTTAATTATGGACTCAAGGCTGTAACTTTTTTTTTTTTTTTTTTTGAGACGGAGTCTCGCTCTGCCGCCCAGGCTGAAGTGCGGTGGCGCGATCTCAGCTCACTGCAAGCTCCGCCTCCCGGGTTCCTGCCATTCTCCTGCCTCAGCCTCCCAAGTAGCTGGGACAACAGACGCCCGCCACTATGCCCAGCTAATTTTTTGTATTTTTAGTAGAGACGGGGATTCGCCGTGTTAGCCAGGATGGTCTGGATCTCCTGACCTCGTGATCCGCCCATCTCGGCCGCCCAAAGTGCTGGGATTACAGGTGTGAGCCACCGCGCCCGGCCTGTAACTCTTAACTCTAGATTTTGAGCCTACCAAATTTCAGGACTTCAGACTTACCAACCTCCGCAATCATATGAGCCAATTATTTAAAATCTCTTTCCTAACCCCCGCCCCCGTGTGTGTATGTGTGTTTGTGTGTGTGTGTGTATGTGTATGTGTGTGTCTGTGTCTGTATTTTATTGTCTTTCTTTCTCTGAAAAACCCTAATTGAGTATCATTTCCTTTTTGCATAAAAGACCAACAGTTCATCTCTGTTGCCAGTGATTTTCTCATCTTTTGCATGAATGGAAAAGACTTTATTTCACATTCAATTTATGAGATATTTTCACTTTGCCAAAACTCTGGGTTGATAGTTTTTCTTTTTTTTTTAGTATTTTAAGGCTGACTTTTAATTATCTTCTAGATTGCATAGCTTTTGATAACAAATTTCTTATAATTACGATTTATATTCTGTGTGCAGTTTCTTTTTTTCTGCCTACAATTAAGATTTTTTTCTTTTTCAGTGCTTCTCAGCAATTCATTTATTGTTTGCTTTAGTATGTCTTTTCTTATTATTTTATTTAACATTTGATTCTGCTTAAAATTTTATTTCTAGAATATGTGCTTTTATAGTTTTTATAACATTTCTGGTACTATTTCTTCAAGTAGTGTTTTTGTATATGACCCCCATCACTCTCACTTGTCTTACCCATTGGAGACTCTAATCAAATACATATTATACTGCTTAATTTCTTGATATTTTCTCTCAGGCTGCTGATGCTGTATTCATTTACTTTTTAGGTTTCTTTTTTCCCTATATTTTATTTTGGATTTTTATTGCTATTATACCAAAGTTCACTAATCATTTCTTCTTTCAGGTCTCATCTGCTGTAATTCCATCCAGCCTTTTTTGCTCTTTGTTTTGCATTGTTAGAAGTTTAATTTCCATCTTGTATTTAGCTTAGTGTTTTTCTTTTCATCATATTTATATATTTTTTCATCTTTTCACATAGGAACATATCTACAATTGCTTTTATTTTTTTCCGAATTTATTACCTCTCCCATTTGTTTTTGTTTTATTGACATTTTCCTCCTATATTTTGTTCACTCTTTCTTTATACACGTGGTGATTATTAATGCATTTTAAACATTGAGTACTATCTGTTTTATATCATTAAGCAGTGTTCAACTTCTTGAAGTCAGTTTGCTTGATAACCAGTTTGATCATGTCAAGGTTTGTTTCTAAGCTCTTTTTGTGGAGGCTTATAGTTGCCTTTATCTTAGGGCTAATTGAGTTCTACTTTAAAGGTAGAAAGCTTTGAGTTTTCTGTTACATGTCATCATTATTCATTAATATCTCTCCATTCTGACTGATAAAAGCTGAAACTATCATTAGCCCTAAGTGAGTTCTGGGAATTTTTATTCTTATGACTATTAAGTAATTGTTTCCTTCGCTACCCTTTCTGCTTTCTACCCTTGGTTGATTTCCCCCTATGCGTGCACAGATTGGTATTCAGCCAAAACTTATTGGGATTCCTATGCAGATTTCTAAAAATCTTCCTTTCTGTGTAGCTCCCTCAATTTGACTTATCTGCCCTACAAATTCTAGCTATCTCATATTCCTTGAACTCTATTATCTGTGTTCTCTTTCAAGAGAGATTTCTGTATTGATTTTAGTTTTTCCCTCATGTGACATTGAGAATTATATCATCTTCCAAAAGTCTACATAATGGTAGGACTCACAGAATTTGTTTCCTGTTTCTCAGAGATGACAGTATTTCATTGTCTATTGCCTATGACTGAAAATTGTTTCTTACAATTTCTCCAGTTTCTATTTGTTTATGGTGAGAGGATAATTTTCGATCATTTTGTTTTTTCATGACTGAAAATGTAAATCTCATGGGTTATTTAAAAATGCATTCCTTATTTTCTAAACTGGATTTAGTCTTCTTGGGATGCCATAAAAATGTATCACAGACTTGGTGGCTTGAACACCAGACTTTTGTTTTATCACAGCTCTGGAGCCTGGAGGTCCAAGATGAAGATGTAGCAATTGTTCATGTCTGGTGAGGCCTCTCTCCTTAACTTGAAAACAGTTGCCTTCTCACCATGTCCCTCATGACCTTTTCTTTATGTGCACACACTCCTGGCGTGTCTTCTTATAAGAACGCCGATGTTATAGAATTAGGGCCCTAGCTTTCTAACTTCATGTAACCTTAATAACCTCCTTAAAAGTTGTATCTTCAAATACAGTCAAATTGGGTGTTATGGCTTTAACATGTGAATATGTGGGGTGGGGAGCAATTCAGGCTGTAGCACAAACATATGCAATTTTTCTAGTTAACATTTTGATATAACTAAATACCAGCTTAATTCATATAATCTGTATATCAGTTTTTGAAATTTGCCAGAAATTGCCTCATGACTTTTGATATGGTTTGGCTATGTCCCCAACCATATCCCATCTTGAATTGTAATCCCCATAATCCTCATGTATTTTGGAGAGACCCAGTGGGAGGTAATGGAATCATTTGGGTGGTTTCCCCCATGCTGCTCTCCTGATAGTGAGTGAATTCTCAGGAGATCCGATGGTTATCTAAGTGTCTGACCTTTCCCCTGCTGTCATTCATTCTCTCTTCTGCCACCCTGTGAAGAGGTGCCTTCCACCATGATTGTAAGTTTCCTGAGGACTTCCCAGCCATGTGGAACTGTGAGTCAATTCCTCTTTCCTTTATAAATTACCCAGTCTCAGGTATTTCTTCATAGCAGCGTGAGAATGGGCTAACACAATTTTGTATATGGTCCTTTATAAATCTCAAAAATTTCTACACATAAAATTATGTTTATTATGTAGTTTTTATGTGTGCTGCTCATGCTTACTTTGTTCTTACGGAGTTTGCAAAAGTCTACAAACCACAAATGGCCACAGAAGATGGGATCAATATCCCAGATTTATCTCTTCTCCCTGATCCTGGCCTGGCCATTCTTCACAGTATTGTTAGTTTTCTGACTGCTTTAAGTGGCAGCGCCCTAACTTTTCTAATTGTCTTTAGTGGAAGAATTGGTCTGAATTACCTGGTCAACTGTTACTAAAGCATTAAAAAGGAACTCCTTACTGGTTCTCCTTTCTTGGTTGGGAATACTGATTGTATTAGTCCATTCCTACACTGCTATGAAGAAATACCTGAGACTTGGTAATAAATAAAGGAAAGAGGTTTAATTGACTCATGGTTCTGCATTGCTGAGAAGGCCTCAGGAAACTTAAAATCATGGCAGAAGGCAAATGGGAGGAGCAGGCACTTTCTTCACAGGGTGGCAGGATGGAGTGACTGCCAGCAGGAGAGATGCCTGATGCTTATGAAACCATCAGATTTCATGAGACTCACTCACTAGCAAAAGAACAGCATAGGGGAAACCACTCCCATGATCCAGTTACCTCCACCTGGTCCCACCCTTGACACGTGGGGATTATGGGGATTATAATTCAAGATGAGATTTGGGTAAGGACACAGACAAACCATATTACTGATGAAAAAGTCCAATTGAAGTCAACCGTCTTGTCTCAATACCCATAAGAGGAGTCAGAAATGCATACTTTTCTCTAAGTTTTATTCTAGGATATGTGTGTCTAATTGCTTGGATAAGACTACATTGAAAGAAGAGAAATGCTAAAAATATTCAAGGGCTCTAGTGGCTGTTTGTAACACTAATTTCTAACAATGCATAATATCACAGTCATTTTAATCTGTCAGCCAGTGTGAAGACATGTGAGACAGGCAGTTAATTAAATCCTGCCTCCTGTTTGCGCCTGGTTTTCTCAATGCAGCTATCAATTTATCCCTTGCTTTTTCCCTCATTCTTGCAATATTTGTGTTCCATATGCTATTGCTAAGTAACAACTTATTCAAAAACTTGGCATTATAAAATGTTTTATTACTACACTCATGGCATTTTTAAGTCAGGAGTTTGTATATAGTACACAGAGATGTTTTTTTTTTCAGCTCTACAATGTCTGGAGCATCAACTGGAAATCATGGCCAGCTTATTTTACTCGCTGTAAGCTACTAAAACCCACACTTTATGAAATCTGGGCTTCCATTTTTCCCAGTAGAGTTGGGGCAAATATGTATTAAAGAGTTATAGCCACATCAAATAGCCTTTATGATCGGACAGTGATTTTCAGAGGGCTAATCCAGTGACTAATTTTACCACATGCTTTTCTTTAAGTGGTACAATATTGATATATTTTCAAGTTAACTGTCTTCCTCTTTAGAGGAAAGAGCCACATTGTCCCATAGGCTCTACTACATAGTGTTGTGAACAGTAAGTATCACTGATGGGCCACTGGTTCTGTCATCTCACTTTTGTAAGGGGGACTTTTAACCAACTCTTCTGAAAGCAATTCAAATATAAAGTAGTCCTGAAGACTGTTATGTTCTGACTGTGTACCCCCCAAATGCATACTTTCAAACTTAATCACTGAGGGTTATGTTCAAGATGACTGATTAGAAGAAGCTACTGTATGCCATTCTAATGGAGAGGAAATAAAGTGGTGAATAAATACCAGTTCTTCAAGTGTATCATCTAAGAGACCATGTAAGGTGTTCCCTCAGGCTCCCACCACCTAAGCATTTTGCCTGCCCCTGCCTGAGAGTTTGGCCAGCAACTTGCAGACCAGCCTGCTCTCCTCATCACAGCCAGCATCTGACTCTGGGCTAGGGTGACTCTAGTCCAGTCCCTTCATACACACTGTCCAGAAGGCCATCTAGGGGCCTTGGAACTGGAGGAGCAACCAACCCCACATTCTAATTCTGCTGGAACCTAATCACCTCCCCCATGGCTAGAGGTCAGGCTGACCAAAGCAGCCAACACTACCACAACTAACATCCACTCACACAGGCCCAAAGGTAGAGCCCTCTCTTTAGAAGAGCAGTGCTGCCACATTGGAGAGCAGTCAAGCCTTAAAGCTTTCTGTATCAAGTTGTATGATGAGGTTATGCCCTGAAACCACTCCCACAAAGACTAGCAAAACAGGCATTCCCTGTGGCTTCCAACCACATTACAGTCTAGAGATAGACAACACTATGCATGTGAACTAGGAGTCACAAGTGGTAGAACAGGAATGTGATAGGGAAACAGATTGCATTCATGTCTATCTAGGATGGGGAGCCAATGCAACCCTCTCACAACCCCGGCAGAGACCTCAGTGCACTTCACCATGAGCTCCCTCCAGACACCCTGGTTAGGGCTGGTGACTGTGCCCACCATTGGGATATCCATGGGAAAGTCACCGGCTCCATCTGCACAGATGTGTTCCAGCACCCACAGGGAATAGGAAGTTCAGGGCACTGGGCACTCCACTGTTCAGCCCTACAACTGAAACAACAGAGGGCACTTTATAGTAAACAAAGATCAGGTCCATACACTTGCTTGTGTGGCAGCTGTCTCCTACCTGCCAATGCCATCCACTGGCCCTTGGGTCAAACCTACAGCCAAATACAAAACCTGCTGACAGAAGTGTGTGACACTATAGAAGCAAAGTTAAAAGACCCTATCAAACACAACCATCTCCAGATGAGAAGAAACGAGCATAAGATTTCTGCCACCATGAAAAATAAAATGTGACACCACCAAAGGCTTGCCTTAGCTCTCCAGCAGTTGTCCCTGGCCAAAATAGAGCAGAGAGATGAAAGATAAAGACTTCAAATTATGTATTCCAGGAAAACTCAATGAGATCCAAGATGAGATTGAAAATCAACACAAAGAAACACCTAAAACAATGCAGGAAAAAAGGAAGAAGTAAACATCTTAAAAAGAACCTAATCAGAGCTACTGCAACTGAAAAACTCACGTAATGAATTTCAAATGCAACAGAAACTTGTATCCATAGACTAGACCAAACAGAAAAAAGAATTTCAGAGCTTGAAGATTGGTCTTTCAAGCTAACTGAGTCAGATAAAAATAAAGGAAGAAGAGCTTTGTTTTAAATCAACTAAGTCTTTGAGGAATATGAGATTGCGTAAAGCTACGAAACCTCTAAATTAATGGCATTTCTGGGGGATAAGGATAAAATGCAGTCAACATGGAAAACATATTTGAGGGAATAATTCAAGAAAATTTCCCTAATCTTGCTAGAATTAGACATCCAGATACAAGACATACAGAGAATACCTAAGTGATGCTATACAAAACAAGCATCACCATGGCATATAGTCACCAGACATCTAAGGTCAATGCTAAAGAAAAAAATCTTAAAGGCAGCTAGAGAAGAAGGTCGATCATGTACAAATATAACCCCTTCAGGTTAGCAGCAGACTTCTCAGCAGAAGCCCTACAAGCCAGAAGAGACTAGGGGCCAATTTTCAGCATTGTCAAATAGAAGAAACTCCAGCGAAGAATTTCATTCCCTGCCCAACTAAACTTCATAAGCAAAGGAGAAATAAAATCTTTTTCAGATAAGTGATTGCTAAGAGAACTCATTATCACTAGACCAGCCTTACAAGAGATTTTTAAGGGATTTCTAGGCATGGAGATGAAAGAATGATATCTGCTACTACAAAACCATACCTAAGTACATTGGCCACAGACCCATTAAAGACATGGCATAATAGAAACTACAAAACAATCAGGTAACAATTTCACACTAGGATCAAAACCTCACACATTAGTATTAACCTTGAATGTAAATGCCCAACTTAAAAGGCACAAAGTATTGAGTTGGATAAGAAAATAAGACTTATATGTCTGCTGTCTTCAAGAGACCCATCTTTCATGTAACAACACTCCTGCACTCAAGGTAAAGGATTGGAGGAAGATCTATCATGCAAATAGAAAATAGACTTTAAACCAACAAAAATAGAAAAGAACAAAGATGGGCACTACATAATAATAAGGTTTTAACTACATAATAATAAAGGCTTCAATCCAACAAGATGACTTAACTATCTTAAATATAAGGCACCCAACATTGGAGCATCCAGATTCATAAAACAAATACTTCTATATCTACAAAAAGACTTAGACATTCACACAATAGTAGTGGGGGAATGTAATGCCCCACTGACAAGGCTAGACATATAATTGAGCCAGAAAACTAACAAATTTTGGACATAAATTTGACATTTGATCAATTGAATCTAATAGACATAGAACACTGCACCCCATTAACCACTGAATATATATTCTTTTCATCTGCACATGGAACATAGTCTAAGATCAATCACATGCTCGGCCGTAAAGCAATTCTCAATAAAGTCAGAAAAATAAAAATCATACCAAGCATACTTTTAGACCACAGTGGAATACAAATCAATACCAAGAAGTTCTCTCAAAAATCACACAAATACATGACAATTAAACAACTTTCTCCTGAATCACTTCTGGGTAAACAATGAAATTAAGTCAGAAATTTAAAAACTCTTTAAAAAAATGAAAACAGAGACACAACATACTAGTCTCTACAATGCAGCAAAAGCAGTGTTAGGAGGAAAGTTTAGAGCACTAAAAGCCTACATCAAGAAGTTAGAAAAATCTTAAATTAATTATGTAACATCATGTCTGGAGGAATTAGAAAAGCAAAGAACAAACAAACCTCAAAGCTAGCAGAAGAAAAGTCATAACTAAAATTAGAGCAAAACTGAATGGAATTGAGACCCCACCATCCATACAAAGGATCAATGAAACCAAAAGCTGGTTCTTCAAAAGGATTAACAAGATCAATAGACCAACAGCTAGCTTAACAAAGAAAAAAAAAGAGAAATCCCAAATAAGCACAATCAGAAACAGCAAAGATGACATTACAACCTATCCTACAGAATATGAAATGTCCTCAGAGACTACTATGAACACAGCTGTGCATAAAAACTAGAAAGTCTAGAGGAAATAGATAAATTCCTGGAAAATTACAGGCTCTCAAGACTGAATGAGGAAGAAATTGAAACTATAAACTAACCAATAATGAGTTCTAAAATTGAATCAGTAATCCTAACCCAAAAGAGCCCTGGACCAGGTGGGTTCTCAGGCAAATTCTACCAGATGTACAAAGAGTAGATACCAGTCCTACTAAAACCATTTCAAAAAAAAAAAAAAAAAAAAAAAATGGAGAAGGAGGGACTCTTCTCTAACTCATTCTGTGAAGCCAGCATCACTCTAATACCAAAATCTGACAATGACACAATGAAAAAAGAAAACAAGAGACCCAAATCCCTGATGAACATAGATGTAAAAATCCTGAACAAAACACTAGCAAATCAAATCCAGCAGTAAATCAAAAAGTTAATTAATTATAATAAAGTAGGTTTTATTCCTGTCATACAGGGCTGGTTTAACATATGCACAACAATAAATGTAATTCACAGCATAAACAGAATTTTTTAAAAATCCATATTATCATCTCATAGTCACAGAAAAAGATTTTGAAAAAAATCCAATATCCCTTCTTTATAAAAACTCTCAGCAAACTAGATTTCAAAAGAACATACCCCAAAATAATAGCAGTCATCCAAGACAAACCTACAATTACACTGAATGGGCACAAGCTGGAAGCATTCCATTTAAGAAGTGGAACAAGATAAGGACGCCCACTCTCACCACTCCTATTCAAAATAGTACTGGAAGTCCTAGCCAGAACAATCAGGCAGGAGAAAAAAATAAAAGACATCCGTATAGGAAAATAAGTCAAATTAGCCTTCTTTGCCTAAAGACTGCCAAAAGGTTCCTAGGCCTGATAAACGACTTCAGTAAAATCTCAGGATACAAAATCGATGCACAAAAATAAGTAGTATTTCTATATACCAATAACTTTAAAATTGAGAGGCAAATCAAGAATGTAATCTTATGTACAATAGCCACAAAAAATTAAAATACCTAGAAATAACATCTAACCAAGAAGGTGAAAAATATCTACAAGGAAATTACAAAACACTGATGAAAGAAGTTATCTTACAAACAAATGGAACACCATCCCATGTTCATAGGTCAGAAGAATCAATATTATTAAAATGGTCATATGGCCCAAAGCATCTACAGATTCAATGTTATTTCAGAAAGCCCAATTCTCCATTTTTACCCATCTGACATATTCATAATGTCAACTGATTCCAAGATATGAGCTATATTTTCAAAATAGGGTAGAAAATACCTACTGCAGTAAGCTATTAACTTATAAAAATGTGCTTGACACATTGGCCCTATGGAAGATATCCATGTCATTACTTAGCTCATTGATGAAATAACTAATATTCTTGCTTCCTAAAAATCACCAAAAAATGGAGCTATGTCCATTATTCAGCCCTGCATTTCAACAAGAAATGTTGGTAGGAGTTAAAATCTTTTAGAATATACAGTAAAAAAATTCATTTTCAGACATGATGTAGCCCTCAAATTCTTCACACCTTTTGCCAAGTTGTTTCTGGCATTTAGGACACAAGGTTAGCAGAAATAAAGATAGCAGCCTAATGTGCATTTATACATTGTGAGTTGACAGTTCAACATAGTGCAACTTTCCACCTTTCTCAGGTAAAATTAGGTATTCTCGCATCTAAAATTATATCTGAGGAACTAGTACAAAAAGAAGATATAGTTTGCAAATACTTTTTACCAATCTATGCTTGCCCTTTCATTTTGTTGATTGTGTTCATTGCTGTTAAAACCAAGCATTTAATAAGGGGTTACTATACAAGGTATATAAGGAACCCGTACAATTCAGTAGCAAATAAACAAGTATCTTGATCAAAAAATGGGGAAAGCAACCAAATAGACATTTTTCCAAAGAAGAATAAAGAAATGGCCAACAGATACATGAAATGGTGTCCAACATCACTAATCATTAGGGAAATGCAAATCAAAACCACAATGAGATTATTACGTCACATCTGTTAGGATGACTGTTACCAAAAGACAAGGATTGGAGAAGGTGCAAAGAAAATAGAAGCCTAATGCACTGTTGATGGTAATGTAAATTGGTACAGCCAATATGAAAAACAGTATGAAGGTTCCTGAAAATATTAAAAATAGAATCACTGTATAATCAGCAATCCCTCTTCAGCAATACCCAAAGGAAATAGAAATCACTACTTCAAAGATATATATTCATTCTAGTGTTCATTGCAACTTTGTTCACAATTAACAAAAATATGGAAACAACCTGTGTTCACAGATGGATTAAAAAATTCTGGTATATATTTATATACAATGTAATTCAACCTTAAAATCAAAGGAAATTCTGGCATTCGTAATAACAGGGATGGACCTGGAAAACATGCTACATGAAATAAGTGAGAAAGAAGAAGACAAATACTGCAATATCACTTATATAAGGAATCTAAAAAAAATTACATAGAAACAGAGTAGAATGGTGGTTGCCAGTGTTTAGAGGTTGGAGGAAATGAAGAGCTGTTGGTCAGAAGGTACAAACTTGCAGTTATAAGGTGAATACGTTCTGAAGAATTAATGTACAACATGGTGGCTACAGTTAATGACTCCATACATGTACACATGTATAGTCATGTGTCACTTAATGATGGGATATATTTTGAGATATATGTCGTGAGGTGATTTCATCACTGTGTGAATCGTAGAGTGGGCTTACACAAACCTGGATGGAATAGCGTACTACACCTCGAGGCTATGTAGTACAGTCTATTGCTCCTGTGGTACAAACCTGTACAGTATGTTACTGTACTGAATATTGTAGGCAATTGTAACACAATGTTGAGTGTTTGTACATCTAGACATAGAAAGGGTAATACCCTAGGAAGTCACTAGGTGATGGCAATTTTTCAGTTCCGATACAATTTTATGGGACCACTGTCATATATGCCGTCTGCCATTGACTGAAATGTCATGTACACATGACTGTATTTTATACTTGAAATGTAATAAGAGAGTACATCTTAAGTTTTTTCACCAAACCAAAAAAAAGTAGGGATGTTGGGTTATGGATATGTTAATTAGCTTGATTGTGGCAATTATTTCACTATATATACATATAATACAATTACATATATGTATATGTATGTTACATGTAATACATATATAAATATATATAACGCATGTATAATATATGTATATATGTAATACATATACACATATAATACAATTACAATGTATATGTATATTATATGTAATACATATACACTCTATAGCTAAAATATATATATATATATAAATGACTTGAATACATACCATTTTGTCACTTATACTTCAATAAATCTGGACAAAAAAGAACAATCTAAGATATATACCACCTTCTTCCTCTCCAGCATAAGGCATTCTATATCACATTATTGTCTTTTAAGTCTTTAAACATTCCTATAACTTTCCCACTATTTCTTTGCCATCTTTCTTTACCTGATTATTTTTGGCCTCTTTAACAGAACTCAATGCTGGTAAAAAAAAAAAAAAAAAATAATTAGTCTAATTGTTTGTTATGGTATCTCATCTGGAATAATACCTAATATCAAGTAGCTGCCTTATCAGTATTTTTGAGTAAATACATTTCAACTACTGAATGAATACCACCAATGGGTAACAAGTTCAATATCACTCTATTGGTATACTTTGCCTTCACTTTGACAATACTGAATTTGATCAGAACCGAAAGAGTGGGGTTTTTCTTCTGTGCTAGCAGAGATGATCCATATTGTATCCATCACTGAGAGTTTTCTCAGCTGTTTGGTTGACATATGCTGAGCCTCCACAACGTTTCAAGTGCAACTGGTCTGTGCTTTCCTGAATTTATGCTCATCTAGTTCCCTTCTTGGTCTGTTATAATCCTTCTGGGAGGACATTTCTTCATCCATTTCTCAACACACTGAACAAACATTGAAAACAGCATGTAAAAAATTTCAGTATTTCAAATAGCCACAATGTATTTCAAGCAACTAAATTGTAAGCTGTTAAACTCTAGGTACTAAATGCTTTTATTTTTCCTGAAGATTAGTAGCCTATCTATAATCCCTTTTAGACAAAGTTGCTGGGCCAGTGGATTTTGTAAATATTTTTATTTTATTCCGGTTCTTTTCATCAAAATGACCTAGTAAGTCAACACATTAAAGCACCTACTCTTCTTTGAATAAATCTATTTAGATAACAGATGGTGATAAATACATAAATAGATGTAGACAGATAGATACTAATTTTTTATAAATACAAATAAAAAAGTTAGCAGAGCTCTAAAATACAATTTATGTGATGGCCTAAAGGAAACAGAAATTAAAAATGATAAACACAGAATAGAACAAGACTTCTATAGTCTAGATGGGGAAGCAGACAGAGGCAACTGAAAATTCAATTACTGATAATAGGAACTAGCAATACTGTAAACAAGAAACACTAGATTTAACACTTCTCAGTCCAATATATTGTTTGAACCCAGTATCCAATTAGTGTCTAAATCAATGAGTGAAAAATAATTGATTTTCTTTTAATTAAACACCCTTAAAATTTTGAGATAATTGTATATTCACATGCAGTTGTAAGACAGTGTAGAGACAGCACACGTTCTTTACTCAGTTTCTTAAAACAGGTAACAGCAAAACTATAATGTAATATTATAATCAAGATATTGACACTAAGGCATTCAAAATACAAAATATTTGCATTACATAAAGGTTCCTTCATGTTACTCTTTACTAGCCACACCCAGGAAACCACTAGTCTAGTCTCCATCTCTATAATTCTGTCATTTCAAGGATGCTGTATCAATGGATTCACATACATTGTAACCTTTTGGGATTGACATTTTTTCCCTTCAGTCAGCATAATTCTCTGAAGATTCATCCAGACTGTTGCATGTCTCAGTAGTCCGTTATTTTTTATTGCTTAAAAATATTTTATGGTGGTTTCCAGCTTCATCCATGTCCCTACAAAGGACGTGAACTCATCATTTTTTATGGCTGCATAGTATTCCATGGTGTATATGTGCCACATTTTCTTAATCCAGTCTATCATTATTGGACATTTGGGTTGGTTCCAAGTCTTTGCTAAGGACAAAAAACCAAACACCGCATGTTCTCACTCATAGGTGGGAATTGAACAACGAGAACACATGGACACAGGAAGGGGAATGTCACACACAGGGGCCTGCTGTGGAGTGTGGGGAGCGGGGAGGGATAGCATTAGGAGATATACCTAATGTTAAATGACGAGTTAATGGGTGCAGCACACCAACATGGCACATGTATAAATATGTAACAAACCTGCATGTTGTGCACATGTACCCTAAAACTTAAAGTATAATAATAAAAAAAAAAATTTATGGTTTAAATATACCAAACTTTGTTTAAGCATTCATCCATTGGAGGGCATCTGTGTTGTTTCTAGCTTTTGCATATTATTAATAAGACCACTAAAATATTTTAATATGCGTTTATAATTCCTAGGTAAATAATATAATTCTTCAATAATTAAATATGTCAGTAATTGAGTACAGACAATGATTGGATACAGGAAATAATTCCTCATTATTTGGGTTAGATATCCAATAGTGCAATTATTGGTTATCTTGTAGTTAAAGGTTTAACTACTGTTTTAACAAATGGTCAGTCTCTTTTTCCAAGGTGCTTCTACTATTTACCTTCCAACCAGTGATATAGAGTGATCCAGTTTTTTCCACATCTTTGCCAGAATATGGTGCTATCGCTATATTTTTAGTTAATTAGTTAATTTTAATTTTCACTATTTAGCTACATGTGTATTAATATGTGATTGTGATATTAATTTTCATTTTCCAAATAGCTATGATGTTGAACATATTTTCATGTACTTGTCTTCTGTATATTATGTTTGAAAAAAGTCTCATTTATTTTGCTCATTTTCTAATTGGACCCTTTGGCTGTTTTATATTGAGTTTTGGGAATTTGTTATGTATTCTACATGGTGTTTGTTAAATATGTGATTTGAAAATATTTTATTTCACTTTGTAGCTTAATCTTTTTCGTCGTCTTCTGATCCGTAGTCAGACGCGTTATCCATTGCGCCACTGGCCCGCCTTTTTCGTCTTCTTAACAGGGGCTTTTATGAAACAAAAGTTAAATTTTTGAAGTCCAATTTATAATTTTTTTCTTTTATGTATCATGCCTTGGTATCAAGTTTAAAAACATTTATTTGCTTCTAGATTTCAAATATATCTTCCTACTTTTTTCCTGAAAGTTTTATAGTTTTATGTTTTGCATTAAGTACATTATTGATTTTAAGTAATTTTTAGAAAGCATGAGACCTAGGCAAGGTTTTTTTTTTTTTTTTTTTTTTTATATTTACCCTTTGCAGCTCTAATTTTTCTAGTACCATCTCTTGAAAAGGCTGTCTTTCCTTTATTGAATTACTTTAGTCAAAACTTGGTTGGATATATTTTGGGGGTGTATTTCTAGGTTCCTTCTTTTGTTCCATTGATTTATATGTCAATATCTCAACCAGTAATGATTTCTGTATCCTTATAATAGGTCTTGAATTTGGATAGACATGTATGAGCTATTCTAATTCCTTTTGTCTTTCCTTACAATTTTACAGTAATCTTGTCTATGTCTACAAGGTACTTGTGATTTTAATATGAATTGCATTAAACCTTTATTTCAATTTTGGGAGAATTGGAGCCTTTAATATATCACTTTTCCCCATCCATTAGCAGAGTGCACCTCTTCATTTATTTAGATATTTGGATGCTGTTATCGGTACTGTGTTTTATCAACATGCACTTCCTGGACATGTTTTGTTATATATATACCAAAGTATTTCCTTTCCTTGAGTGACAGTAAATTGTATTGTATACTTAATTTCTGTGTTTATGTAGTTATTGCTACAGTATAAGATACAAGTTTTGTGTCCTGCAACCTTACTGAGTGCTAATTATCTATCTATGTGTATATGTACACATATATATGCATATATATATAATAAAAATTCATTTAGACTTCTTCAGATTTCTATGTAGATAACCATGTTAACAGCAAAGAGAAACAGGTTTATTTCATCCTTTCCAATCTATATTCCTCTTATTTTCTCGTTTTATTCTGCTGGCTAAAATTTCTAGCATTATGTTGAACAGTGCTGACAGTGAACATCTTTGACTTGTCCCTAATATTAGAAAAGAAACATTCAGTATTTCACCATGGAGTAAAATGAACAAAATAAATTTGGTAGATATTCTTTACCTTGTTGAGCAAATCCCAGCTATTTTTGTTTTCCTGAGAGTTTTTTATGTTTATCATCAGTGCTGATATTTGTTAAATGATTTTCTCAATGATTGATAAAATCTTTTGATTTTTCTTCTTCAGACTGTTAATATGTTGGATTACACTGATTGGTATTAAAACATTACATTAGTCTTGCATTCATTTGGTCATGGTAAATAATTGATTTTTTAAAAATTGTGTAGTTATGTAATTTATTTAATTTTAACTGATTTGTTGATATATGATTACATATAAAAGCTTTACATGTTTAATATATACAATTTGATGTATTTGGAGATAAGTATACATCCGTAAAACCATTAAGTCATCATCACTATCAATGCCATAAACTTATCCATAACTTCCGAAACATTCTTCCTACCACCTTTGTGTTTCTCTTTTCCTCTTGCATTAAGAGCAGTTAAAATAAGATCTACCTTTTAGCAATATTTTAAGCATACAGTAATATGATATTAACCATAGGTTCTAAGTTGTATAGTAAATCTCCAGGTCTTATTTATTTCATATAACTGAAACTGTACCAGTAGACCAACGTCTCCCCATTTCCCTTTCTTTCCAGCTCCTGTCAATTACATTCTATTTTCTGTTTCTATGTGTTTGACTATTTTAGATTCTATATATAAATGATATCATGTAGTATTTGTCCTTCTGTGTTTGACTTTTTTCACTTAGCATAATGTCTTTCAGGTCTATCCACGTTGTCACAAATGGCAAAATTTGCTTTTTTGTTAAGGCTGAGTAATATTCCAGTGTGTGTATGTACCACAATTTGTTTATCTGTTAGTGCATCAATGGACACTTATGTTGTTTCTGTAGCTTAGTATTGTAAATAAATCTGCAATGAACAGCACAGTGCAGACCTCTGTTTGATATCCACGTTTTCATTTCTTTGGATGTACATCCATTGTGGGATTATTGAATCAAATTATAATTCTATTTGTGATTTTTTGGGAAACCTCCATATAATTTTTATAGATGCTGCACCAATTTACATTCCCACCACCAATGTGCAGGGGTTCCTTTTTCTCCATATACTCACCAACACTTATTCTTTTTCTGATAATAGCCATGCTAGTAGGTGTGAGGAGATATTTCATCAGGTTTTTTTTTTTTTTAACTGAAAACAAACATTTTACATATTTATGAGGTGCATGTGAGTATTTGTTACATTCACAGAATGTGTAATGATTGTCAGGGTATTTGGAGTACCCATAACCTTGAATATCTTTCATTTCCATGTATTGGCAACATTTCAAATCCTATCTTCTAGCAACTTTTAAATATACAATACACTGTGGCTAATTATAGTCACCCTACTCTGCTATCCCAAATGCAGGCTTATTTAATCAATCTAACTGAATTTTGTACTCATTAACCAGCCTTTCTGTATCCCCCTCCCACCCACACACCCTTTCCACTCTCTGGAATCTATTATTCTATTTTCTGTCTTCATAAGATTAACTTTTCTTTTAGCTCCCCCATATGAGTGGGAACATGCAATACGTATCTGTTCTTCTGTGCCTGACTTATTTCACCTAACATGATGACCTTCAGTTCCATTCATTTTGCTGCAAATAACATGATTTCATTATTTTTTATGGCCAAATAGTATTCCATATGTATGTATGTATATATATATGTATTTTTTTTTCTTATGTATTCATCCATCAATGGACACTTAAGTTGATTCCTTATCTTTGCTATTGTGAATAGTGCTGTGACAATCATGAGAGTGCAGGTATCCCTATGATATACAGATATATATGGCAACAGCAAGAGAAAATGAGGAGGCCGGGCGTGGTGGCTCACGCCTGTAATCCCAGCACTTTGGGAGGCCGAGGCGGGCGGATCACGAGGTCAGGAGATTGAGACCATCCCGGCTAAAACGGTGAAACCCCGTCTCTACTAAAAATACAAAAAAATTAGCCGGGCGTAGTGGCGGGCGCCTATAGTCCCAGCTACTTGGGAGGCTGAGGCAGGAGAATGGCGTGAACCCGGGAGGCGGAGCTTGCAGTGAGCCGAGATCCCGCCACTGCACTCCAGCCTGGGCGACAGAGCGAGACTCCGTCTCAAAAAAAAAAAAAAAAAAAAAAAAAAAAAAAAGAGAAAATGAGGAAGAAACAAAAGCAGAAACCCCTGATAAACCCATCAGGTCTCGTGAGACTTATTCACTCTCATGAGAGTAGCACAGGAAAGACAATCTCCATGATTCACTCCCCCTGGGTGTTTCCCACAACACATGGGAATTTTGGGAGATACAACTCAAGTCGAGATTTGGTGGGGACACAGCCAAGCCATATCACCAAGGTAAGTTGATATATCCTGTTGTTTTGGTTATATTTCTCTGATGATTAGGAAAATTGAGAATTTTTATATATCTATGAGCCATTTGTGTGTCTTCTTTTGAGAAATGCCTATTCATGTATTCATGTCTTTTGCCCACTTTTCAATTGGATTATTAGTTTTTTATTATTGAATTGTTTGAGTTCCTTGTATATTCTGGATATTAGTCTGTTGTCATACAGTTAGAAAATATATTTTCGCATTCAATAGGTTATCTTTTTACTCTAATGATTGTTTTCATTTGCTGTTCAGAGTTATTTAATTTAACATAGTTCCATTGTCTAATATTTTTATTGTTTTCTATGCTTTTGATGTCCCAGCCATGAAATCTTTGCTTATACTCATGCCTTGAAGTGGTTTTCCCTATATTTTTTTCTAGTAATTTTATAGTTTTGGGTCTTATGTTTAAGTATTGATTCAATCTTTTGCTGATTTTTATATATGGTAAATGATAAGAATACTCTCATTCTTCTGCCTATGAATCTACCATTTTCCCAGAACCATTTATTGACAAAGGTGCCCATTCTTCTGTATGTTTTTTGTGCATTTATTGAAAACTAGTTGGCTGTAAATATATGAATTTATTTCTGGACTCTATTCTTCCCATTGGTCCATGTGTCTGTTTTTATATCAGTGACATGCTGTTTTGCTTACTCTAGTCTTGTAATATAATTTGAAGTCAGGTAGTGTCATTCTCAAGCTTTGTTCTTTTAGCTCAGGATTGCTTTTGCTACCTGGGATCCTTTTTTGTTCTCTACAAATTTAAGAATTGTATTTTCTAATTCTGTGAAAAATAATGTTGGTATTTTGATAGAGATTGCATTGAATCTATATATTGTTTGGGGCAGTATGACCATTATAATATTTATTCTTTTGATCCATGAGCATAGAATCTCTTTCCATTTGTATCTTCTTCAATTTCTTTCATCAGTGTTTCGCAGTTTAACTGGCAGAGATCTTTCACCCCCTTAGTTATATTTATTCCTATGTATTTTTTTTTGGTAACTATTGTAAATGAGATTGCCTTGTTTACTTTATTGGTGTATAGAAATTCTACTGATTTTTGTATGTTAATTTTGTATCCGGCAACTTTATTGAATTTGTTTATCAGTTCTAAGAGATTTCTGGTGGAATATTTTGGTTTTGCTATATAAAAGATTAGGTTAGCCATAAAAAGGAACAATTTGATTTCCTCTTTTATTTCTTTTTATTGCCTGATTGCTCTGGCTAGGACTTTAATTACTCTATTGAATAGGAGTGGTGAAAGTGATCATACTAGACTCATTTTATACCTTAGAGTAAAGATTGTCAACTTTTTCTCACTTAATATGATATTAGCTTTGGGTTTGTCAATTATCACCTTTATTATTTTGACTTTTGTTCCTTCTGTGCCTAGGTTATTCAGATTTTTAATCGTGAAATGACACTAAATTTTGGGAAATACATTCCTCTGCATCAATTGAGATGATCATATGTTTCTTGTCTTTCATTTTGTTGATGTGCTGTATCACATTTATTGATTTGTATATATTGAACCATCCTTACATTCCTGGGTAAAAATATCACTTGGCCAGGGTGTGTTATCTTTTATACGTGCTGTTTAATTTTGTTTCCCAGTATTTTGTTGATGATTTTTGCATCTGTATTCATCAGGCATACTGTTCAGTTTTAGTTTTTGTTGTTGTTGTGTCCTTGCCTGGTTTTGATATCAGAGTAATGGTGACCTTTTACAGTGAATTAGAGAGAGTTCCCTTCTCTCCAATTTTTAAAAAATGGTATTAGGAGGAATGCTACAAGTTCTTTTTTATATGTTCAATAGAATTCAGCTGCAAATCCATGTGGTTCTGGGCTTTCTTTGTTTGGAGACATTTTATTACTGACTCAGCCTCACTAAGCATTATTGGTTTATTTAAGGTTTCTGTTTCTTCCTGATTCAGTCTTAGTAGGTTGTCTATTTAGACAATTTTATCCATTTCCTCTAGGTTTTCCAAGATGTCAGCATATAGTTGCTTATAATAGTCTCTGATAATCTTTTGTATTTCTTTGGTATCAGTTGTAATGTCTCCATTTTCATTTCTAATTTCGACCATTTGGATCTTCTCTCTTCTGAGTTAGTCTACCTAGTGGTTTATCAGTTTTGTTCATTTTTTTGAAGAACTTTTTGTTTTGTTGATACTTTGTATTGCTTTTTTAGCCTCTATTTTTGTTTAGTTCTGCTCTGCACTTTTTATTATTTCTTTCCTTCTGTAAATTTCAGGTTAGATTTGTTTTTGCTTTTCTAGATCCTTGAGGTGCATTCCTAGGTTGTTTACATGAAATCCTTCTACTTATTTGATGTAGGTGTTAATTGTTTCAAATTTCCATCTAAGCATGGTTTTTGCTGTAATCCATAGATTTAGGTATTTTGTGTTTTAATTTTAATTTGTTTCAATAAATGTTTTGATTTTCTTCTTAATTTCTTCATTCATCCAGTGGTTGTTTAAGAACATGTTGTTACATTTCCATGCATTTGTATAATTTCTAGTTTATTTCTGGTATTTATTTCTAGTTTAATTCTGCTGTGTTCTGAGATATTTGATATCATTTTGATTTTTAAAAATCTATTAAGGCCTGTTTTGTAGTCTAACATATGGCCTTTCTTGGAGAATATTTTATGTCCTGATGGATATTATATATATATATAGTTAAACATAATCCTCAAATGGCAATTGTTTTCTTTCAGCACTTTAAATATGTCATCTAATCCTCTCCTGGCCTGTAAGTTTTCTGTTGATAAATCTGCTGTTACTCTGATGGGAATTTCTTTATAGGTGACTAGATGCCTTTCTGTTTTTGTTTTTATTTTTTATTTTATAATCCTATTTTCTTCCTTGACTTTAGGCAATTTCACTATAATGTACCATGGGAAGAATCTTTTTCTGTTATATCTGTTTGGGGCTCTCTTTGCCTTCTCTATCTGGATGTCTACATCTCTTGCTGGACTTGAGAAGTTTTCATCTTACTGTTTTGTTAAATAGGTTTTCCAATGCGATTGTTATTTCTTCACCCGCTGAGACACCCAGAATTCAAATGTTTGTTTGATTTATATTTTCACAAATATCACGAAGATTTGACTTGTTCTTTTTTGTTCCTTTTTTTCTTTATTTTGTCTTTCACATGACCTGTCTTCAAGTTCTAATATTCTTTCTTCTGCTTGATTTAGTGTACTGTTGAAGTTTTCAAATGTATTTTGTATTTAATTCAGTGAATTCTTCAGTTCCAGAATTTTTTTTATATAAAATATCTATTTTTTGTTCATATCCTAAGTTGTTTTTCTGAATTCTTTGTATTGTTTTTCAGAATCCTGAGCTTATTTAGAATCAATATTTTGAATTATGTGTCTGGGATGTAATGAATTTCCTTTAGCTTGGGCTCTAATAATGGAGATTTATTGTGTTCCTTTGAAAGTGTCACATTTTCTTGTTTTTTGAGTGTTCTTGTGTCCTTAAATTTATATTGGTGCATCTGGTGTCACAGATACTTCTTCCAATTTTATGAATTTGCTTTCATGTGGAACAACTTTTTCATAAATATGTATCTGTTGTGTTGGTTGGATAGAGCATTTTAGTTTTGATTACAGGTGCATGTAACAGTGTAGTCTCTGTATGTTTTCCTTGGCTGTAAGTTGTGACAGTGATATCTTGATTTCCTCATTCTCTTAGGGTATGTTATTATGGAGGCTGTGGTGCAGTTTTGCCAGGGGCTGAGATGCCAATGGGACCAGTCTTTGGGCCTCAGTGGTGGCAATGATAGGTGGAGTGTGCCTGTCCTTGAGCCTGAGAGCAGAGTCTGGTGGCTCCAGTGTTAGTGGGTCTAGGCCAATTTTTGGGCCTCCAGGTGGATTTCTTGGATGCTAGCAGTGGCAGCAGAGAGGTGGAAATATGAGCACGTTCTTAGGTCCTGGGTAGTGGGTATGATGTTTATGATGGCAGTAGCAGTGGTGGAGCAACCCCCTGGAATCCAGTGGTCTGAAATGGTGTTAATGGTGGTTGTGGTGGGTTGGATGGGCTAGTTTCTTGGCCCACAGGTTGCACATGTGGGTGGATGCCAGCTGTGGTGGAATTGGCAGGTTGGGTCAGCCTGATCTCAGACCATAGGAGTGGTGTTCAGGTGCCCACAGCTGCAAATTGGAATGGACAACCCTCAAGCCTCTTGATGGTGTGCTTGGTACTGGAGAGACAGAACCAGGCCAGTGGCTTCTCTTCAGGCCCCTGGTAATGTGTTCAGGCACTAGCTGTGATAGGCAGGGGCAGCATGGTCCCTAGGTTATGGCAAAATGTTCAGGTGGGGGCGGTGGTGGTTGCACTGTGGGCCTGCCACTGGGGAGGATGAGACCACACTAGTGAGAACAGCATAGGTAGGAAGCGGTGGGGTGTGTGACTAGCTCACACCTCGGTCTCACAGCAAATTATAGCAGCAATAGCAGTGGGATTTGTTTTGGGGGGTACATTATTGGGGTCTTGATTTGCATTTCCTTGATGACTAGAGATGTTGAACACATTTTTATATATTTTTTGGCCATTTGTATATCTTCTTTGGAGAAATACCTATTCAGCTGCTTTGTCCATTATATATTGGGGTAATTTGTTAATTTGCTATTCAATTGTTCTTTATATGTTTTGGATATTAACCCTTATATGAGTTCCTTATATGTTTTGGATATTAACCCCTTGTCAGATATATGGTCTCCAAATTTATAAAAACAAAAGAGGTTTAATTGGTGCATGGTTCTGCAGGCTTTACAGGAAGCATGGTACTGGAAACTACTTGACTTCTAGGCAGGTCTCAGGAAACTTTCAATCATGGTGGAAGGTGAAGGGAGAGCAGACATGTTACATGGCGAGAATGGGAGCAAGCAAGATAGTGCAGGAGGTGACATACACTTTTTAATAACCAGATCTTATGTGAACTCAGAGTGAGAGCTCATTTATCACCAAGGGGATGGCCAAGCCATTCATGAGGGACCCACTCCCATGATGCAAACAGCTCCAGGCCCCACCTCCGACACTGCAGATTACATTTCAACATGAGACTTAGGTAGGAAAAAATATCCAAACTATATCAAACAATTCTTTGTGTGTTTTAATCTTTATGTATGTTTCTGAATTCTATATAATTTTTATTGATAATTTTTGTCTTTGTAATTATTATGGGTATTGTTCAGTATTCTTCCATTTTATGCTATCTTTGGTTTGATATCAGGAAATTCATAGCTTCTTAAAATGAATAGAAAATGTTTCCTCTTCTTCTATTTCTTGAGATATGATTGATGTTAATTCTTCCCTAAATGTTTGGTAGAATTTTTAATTAAAATTATGTAAGCTGGGGTTTCTTTTGGGGAATTTTTAAAATATAAATTTAAATCTCTTAGAGTTATAGAGCTAATAAAATTATCTCTTTTGTATTAGATATGTAGTGGTAGTTTTGTTGTCTAATGGATTGATTCATTTCATCTAAATTCTCAAATTTAGGTGTGTAGAATTTCTAATTGTGTTTTTTTTAATTGTCCTGCTGATGTCTGTGGCTTGTATAGTAATTTTCCTTTCTCAGTCCTGATATTGATAATTTGTCTCTGATCTCTTTTTACTTCATCGTGCTAGAACTTTATCAATTTTATTGTCCTTATTTAAACAACCACATTTTTGTTTCATTAATTTTCTTGATCATTGTTTTGCTTTTAATTATATTTTTTTCTTCTATAATTCTTATTTCTGGTCTTCCCTTTGTCTTATGCTTATTTTGCTCTTTGCTTTCTAGGCTTTTGATGTGGGATCTTAGATTAATATTGTGAAACTTTTCTTCCTGTCAAATGTACGCCTTTATATGTGATCAATCCACAAGAAGAACTAAAATGAGAGAACAAACTAATAAGTTTATATTAGAAAAATTAATAGTTTTATTATAGATTATTAAGCCCACTGCATTAGTAATTTTATCAAATTTAAATGAACAAAAATATCCATGCAAATAGTATTGTTCCTTGTATAAGGGCATATTCTTACTACAAATCTTTAGGCCAAAACAACCTTGACCATAAATCCTGTCTTTAGGTAGATTCATATAGTATTCTTGCTTTTCCTGCAGACACCTTACCTATGATATATAAGCCCAGGGTCTAGGGACTAATGGCACAGGGATCCCCTATCTTGTCTCACAGTCACCTGAGATATAGACATGGTTTCTGTTTGTTAGTCCCTACCAAATGTTTCTTTTTAAGAAACTGAATTTGTCAGCCTCTTTCTTCAGCTTCTCAGGTTCTCTGAAATTCTGAACTTTAGGGACAGATTTGCATAAGCCTTCCCACTGTCTCTCTTTATATATAGAAATTCTACTATTCAAATTTGTGCATGACATTGAGATTTATGAGGATTAGAGATAGAAGGAGAGGATGAGGAAGAGGAAGAGGAGGATAAGTAAAAGGAGAAGGAAGAAATGATTGAAGAGGAGAATAAAAAAGACAATAACAAGATCATCCTTAATAAGATAAGCAAATAAATGCAAATTATGAAAGATATAGAAGATGCATATAATAAAATTTACCAATGTAAACTTATTTATAAATGTAAAAATTATCTCAATATTGAAAAATTTCCCTGTTTTACCACATGCAAATGGGACGTCTTCCAAAACTGTCAAGTTAATTTCTCTAATACATTTCAAATAATAAAACATGATGTTGTCTGACTACAGTAGAATATGGGTAGAAACATTGGAATCTCTAAAAACATTGAAATCTCAGACTTGATAATTACTAAAAGATAAATCCATTATATGGGCGAAATACAATGTAAATTAGGAAATATTTTGAATGGAAGAGATGTTAATAAGTATCATAAAAATTAATAAGATTCAACTTGATATAATCACAGTTGTACTCTCAAATACATATATAAAAAAGGAGACATGATATTCTGATTATGCCATTTAAGAAATTAGAAAAAGAAGTGCATACTAAATCTACAATGGTAGATGAAATGGAAACATGAAGATAAGAACAGGTAAGATATTAGTGAATCAGGAAACAAATGAACAGAGACAAATTAACAAGGTAAATTTGATTTTTAGAGAGACTAATATAAAAACAGAATTAATGATGGGTGGAGAGACAACAAATTACCAGAATTAGTGAAGCCAGCTTAGAGATTCAATACCATACAAAACTCTGCTTTTTTGATTTCACCAAATCTTTTATATTGTCGCTATCAAAATTACCTCTTTATTCTTTATGTGTCCAATAACATATTTTTAAAATTATTTTTACATTTTTTCTTTTAAGTATTGTCAAAACATGAAGTGGTGTTAAAAAACCAAAAAGTACAATTATACTTGCTTTTATATTTTCTCATGCAATTATCTATACCTATAATTTTTATTTTTTTATATAGACTTGAGTTTCTGTCTAGTGTCCTTTCATTTCAACCCAAAAGACTACCTTCAGCATTTTTTGAAGGGCAATTTTAATAGTAACAAATCTCAGATTATGTTTATCTGAGACTATTTTAATTTATCCTTCATTTTAAAGTATAGTTTTGCTGAATAGAGAATTCTTGGTTGACAGTTTTCTTTTCATTGACCACTTAAAAAATTTTTTTTTTAGAGATGAGGTCTTGCTGTGTTACACGGAATATTCTTGAACTCCTGGCCTCAAGTGATTCTATAACCTCAGCCTCTTGAGTAGCTGAGGTTACAGGTATGAAGCACTGTGAATGGCCTCATTCAGTGCATTAAATATGCCATCTCACTCACTTCAGGTCTCCATGGATTCTTATTAGAAATAATCTCTTACTTTTATTGAGGATGCCTAGTAGGTAATGAGTCATTTCTTTCTTGCTGCTATTAAGATTCTCTTTGTCTTTGTCTTTCAAAAGTTTTGTTATAATGTGTCTTAGTGTAGATCTCTTTGAGCTTATTCTACTTAAAGTTTTTGAGCTTTTTGAATGTGTAGATTAATGTCTTCTATCAAATTTGAAACATTTTCAGTCATTATTCTTGAAAATATTCTTTTTTTCTCCCCTTGCTTTCTAGCACTCTCAAATGTGCATATTGTCTTAGTTAATTATGTCCCACAAATTCTATAGGCTCTTTTTTTCTGTTCACTTTTTTTCATTTTTTGCTTTATGCTCAGACTTGATAATTACAATTGCTGTATATTCAAATTCAGATTCTTCGTCTTCCCTGCTCAAATCTTCTGTTGAACCCCAAATAATATTTTAATTTCAGTTATTTTACTTTTCAGCTCCAGAATTTCTGTTTGTTTCCTTTAAATAATTTTTTTATCTATATCAATATTCTTATTTTGTATATTTTGTGCAATTGTCCTGCTTTCCTTGGTTCTTTATCCATGGTTTCCTTTAGCTTTTTAAGCACATTTAAGAAAATTTATGTAAAGTCTATGTCAGTAATTCTAATGTCTAATCCTCCTCAGGGATGATTTCTCTCCATTTATACTGTTTCTTTTAATGAGTCCTAGTCTCCTACTTCTTTGAATACCTTATAATTTTTTGTTGTTATTGAAGACAAAACATTTAGATATTATAATATGTATTTTTAAAAATATATTATCCTCCTTCAAATTAATAAGGATATTAGCAAAATCACTTGTTTACAAGGTCAGCATAAAGAATATAATCGTGTTCTTTTTATCCCAGCAACAAATTACTGTACTATGTTTAAGAAATAATGCCTTCTAAAATATCATCAAAATTTTTTGACACCTAGAAAGAAAGCTATCAAATGACATGTAAGACATCTCTTCCAAACTACAAGATAATATTGAAATAATTTTTAAGATGTAACTATATAAAATATTATACCTTTTTTCTTAACATTCTATATTATGAATATGTCAATTGTTATAATACGATCTATAGATTTGAGGCAAATCCAATTATTATTGAGTACCATTTTTATTTTCTTGCTGAAAAACACCAACCGTATCAAAATTTACTAAAGGAGAAATAGAAAATACAGTCATATGTTATCTACATAATATAATGTAATATTAAAAGACTCCACAAAAAATCTTGGAATAAAGGTTTCTAGATTTGATCATTTTATTTAACCATTTAAAAAAATGTTAATTATAATCCATCTGTAATTGAGACAGGTGGTATGGTACTGGCATAACAACCAATATGCCAATGAAGCAGAAGAGAGGGTCTAGAAACAGATTCATACCCACATATACATTCACTTGAATTAAATTGAATTAAAGCCAAGGTGATATTTCAGTGCAGTAGAGGTAAGATGGTTTTTTCAAGAAAAGGTGCTTAATCTACACGAAAAATATGAAACGTGACCTCTATATCATATAACATACAAGATTAATTCTAAATGAATTTTGAAATAATGGTAAAAATAAAAGTAATAATGCTTTCTGAAGCATTATTATGTAGGAAAAATATTAATCAATTTGGGATATAAATATAATTTGTTAAGCAGTCATGAAAGAGCATTAAATATAAAGATTAATATGCAAGAATAAATTAAAAGTAGAACTTTCCTTCATGAAGACACTATTAAGAAAGAAAACGGAAAGCCAAGCATGGTGGCCTGTGCCTGTAATCCAGGAGTTTGAGATCAGCCTGGGTGACATAGCAAGACCCTATTTCAAAGTATTAGGAAAAAGTAAAATGGATTGCTACCAATGGAAAATAACATGTTTATAATATTTAGATACTTGTTATGCATAGATAGTACTCCTGGAAATTAATTGTAAAAAGGTGGGAGAAGTCATAATTTATGCAATTTTTGTATGTGTTACACTTCAGTAAAATGCAACTAAATGAATAAATGAAAGAAAGGGAAAAAATTAAGCAGCTGGGTGAAAGGTAATTAAAATGTGAATTGCTTATTCTGTGAATGATACGCTGAATGGCATTGATGTTAAAGTGGGAGCCACATACAAGAGATGATGGTAATGAGACCTTAACTGATCATAGAAGAGATGGCAAGACACTAACAGGTGTAAAATTTCCACAGAGCTTGTGCTGAATTCTATGACAGCCCAAGGAGTCAAGATGCTCCTTTGTTTTAGTCCTGTCTAATACTGGGTGTGCACAGCTAAAAGAAAATAATGCTCTTTGCAGAGAAAAAAGATTGGTACTTTTTAAACCTCTTTGTAGGCATATTGAAAGTAACATAGACACATTTATGTTAAGAGTCCTTGAAAGCTAAATAAATTGAAAATGCTTATATATAGATTGCCACCTGAGAGTTAATAGATTATTTCTATAATTCTTTTTTGTTTGGGGGAACTCAGTGCCAAAAGTTAATCTTTGTAAAGGGAAAGTTAACCTAATGACATAGTTTTAAATACTGACCTATTTATTCATGTACGTATTATTATTTTGATTAATCTTTAGTTGCATGTTGGATAATAGTTATGGAAAAATATTAACATAAGTGATGTATAACAATGTTTCCTGTCTTTTTAAGCTACTCAGACAAAAAAATGGAAAAACTCACATTGTGATTTTATAAATAGAAGTTTTTATGAAAACTTTTCTCATTTAGATGTTAGTACTATATGGAGAATACGGTAAGGTCAGGCCTAAAAATCTTGGTATCTCAGAATCTATATTATATAATAGTGTTTACATGAAATGTTGCATTATTTAAGGACATTATTTAAAATTCACTTACACTTTCTTCTGATACTAAAACTACAAAATTACTCTAAATCTCTAAATGCAGGGCCATTTTTAATCAGTAAAGAATAATAATATGTATAAGGGGCAATTTTAGGCACTTTCATGATAGTTGATTACATGTATTTCTTCTAATTTTTGCAAGAACCCCAAGAAATCATTTTCTATTTCTTCTCATTTTTTGGGAGAGAATTATTCAATAATTTTTTGTTAGTTTTTAAATTATTTCCAAGTAATTCCTCACTTTTATTGTGATTATCATTATTATTATTATTGTTTTTTATTTTTAAAGGGAATGAGTACTCTTTTGGTTGCTTCTATGTAGGGTAAATCAGTTGATAATACTTAATCTAGAAGATGTAGAAGATGGAGACACACGCTAAGTAACTAGAGAATAAATGTATGTAAAGAAGTTGGCAAGGCCATTTGGAAGACTCACAGAATACTGATGTTGTATGTAAGATTAGTTTTACCTATTAAATCGTCTCACTCTAAAAATAAATTTATTCATGTATTTTCCTTTGCTAAAATTATAGTTTACTACAGTAAATTAAAATGTTTATTTTTTAAAAATTATATTTATTACATTAAAAGATGAGAACCCCAAAGAGTCACAGGATCATGATCCAGGAGCAAATTATGGCAATGTATCTTTGTAACAGCCTGGAAAGAAAGAAAAACAGATTGCTTTCTTCAGAGCACTGGCTTAAAACCCTGCCTGAAATTTAAAATCAGAGGGGAGGTTTAAAAAAATACCCATGGTCTGACCCATCTCAAGAAAATTATATCAGATCCCCTGTTTGTGGGGCCTAGTCATCATATTCTTTTTAAGATATTCTAGGTGAGTCTAATATGCATGTCAGATTGAAAACCTCTCATTAAAATTTTGATAGTCTGGAGGTTTTAATTTTTTTCCCCAGAGTAGTTAATAATTATATTGGTATGGGAAACAATCGGTTGATAATAATTGTTACTGTTTTATATAAATGTCTAAAAAAGAACTCCTTACATTTGTGAAGAGAAATAAATAAAATTAGAGTTAAGAAAAAGTGTTGTTATAATTTTAAAACCCTTAAAATTTGAAGACAAACAAGATCAATCAATTCATTGTCATAGAAGCAATCAGAGGCACCCAAAGTAATGTCTCTTTAAAAACAAACGTGAATGAAGATTTGTAAATAGTAATAGGAATTTTTAAGTGAATTTGAAAGAGTGCTGTTAGGCATTTCTTCCAAAAAATAGGGTTAAAAATATACTTTTGACATTTAGCTAAATGACTAGGCACATTATTGATTTCATTAAAAAAGAAATCATGTTAGTTCAACATTGTTTCAATTTTAGAGAGTTTCTAAATTAGTGGATTTAGAAATATTAAAAATGTTAGGTGTAACATTTTTGAGAAATTTGACGAGTTTTTGTTTGTGTCTTTGTTATTGTTGAGATTAAAAAGCTCTATATGAACTAGATGCTGGTAAAATTGATCCTGTTAATAATGATTTAAAAGACTTATTTAAACGCTGCTGATGAATGGCTCAGTGCCAGTTTAAGGAAAAGTTTTAGAGTTGGTGTTTTAATTTTTTTGTATTTTTCTGGACATAGTCATTATAAATGACCTAGATAGGGAAGGCAAATATATAGTTGTTAAGTTTGCAAATAATGTAAGTCTAAAAATTACAGTGCTCTATTGAATAAAAATACATATATAATATAATCTCTTAAGTAGCTCAACAGCTAAAGAAAGACACACAGAAGAGGGTAAGTGATTTCAACACAGAAAAACATGCTATAGTGGAGATTTGCTGTTATTGGTAGAGTGCATAATAGAGACACCTAAATCCGATCCTGGGATTGGTTAGGAAAGATTTCTAAGTGAGACTGGAATACTATCTTGTAGGTAAAAACTAAAGTATTACCGAAAGTACAGATATATAAAAGCAAACAGCATAGAAAACCCTAAGCTAGGAAACTTCAGGTAGCCAGAATGGTAGAAGCTGAAAAATTTTCCATGCCATGTAAAATATTGTAACATTTGTATTTCGTCCAAAATCATTGAGTATTCATCCAAGAATTTTTAAATGGGAAGAAAGTAGAAAACTAAAAATGCTTCACAGGTAAGATACAATTGGTCCTGAGCTTTAAAGAAAGTGCCAATTTGAGAACAGCAGAGAATGAAAGAAAGTAACTCCCAGGCTGTGGAAATGGTTGTCAGTAAATATAGATAAATTAAACTGTATCCTTTTTAAGAAAAAAAAAATAGTTTGTCCTATTTGACTATAATTGAGAGTTCTTTCAGATCAGCTGGAGCTTAGCTAGAGAGTTTGTATGAATATTAAAAATGGCTTTCAGTGAGAAAGTGATGATTCACATGGCAGTTCTGAACTCTCTCTTTACTTTCCTGAACCAGACTCTGGAAAAATTCAGTTCCATTGGAGAATATGTTTAAGGATGATACAGTGGTGCTTTTAATACATAGCAGTTTAACATACAGCCTAGGAAAGCATTGATAGGTTTAGGAGATATGTGTAAAAACTGAAATTGAGTCTTGTGTTCATGTACATTTTTGCTGAAAAGATAACTATAAATTTCATGAGATTCTGAAAAAAGGCATATGAACTCAAAAGATTAAAGACTTCCCCTCTTAGAGGTGAATGGCATTCCTAAATATAGAGTATTATAAGTTACAGTTGCTTCCTATAGAATGTGCCTTTTGTAACAGTGTTCAATGAAAGTAAAATTGAATTCGATTATATAGCATTCTGGATACCAATGTTGTGAACTTTCTATTCAGAATATTGGAGTGCTATTTAAAGGCTTTTTTTTTTTAAAGGAAATTGACATGTACAAAACAGTTTTAAATAGAAAATAGAGATTCATTTGTAATATCACTGAAATCATAGATTTTTTTATTTTTTTATTTTTTATTTTTTTTATTGTTATACTTTAAGTTTTAGGATACATGTGCACAATGTGCAGGTTAGTTACATATGTATACATGTGCCATGCTGGTGCGCTGCACCCACTAACTCGTCATCTAGCATTAGGTATATCTCCCAATGCTATCCCTCCCCCCTCCCCCCACCCCACAACAGGCCCCAGAGTGTGATGTTCCCCTTCCTGTGTCCATGTGTTCTCATTGTTCAATTCCCACCTATGAGTGAGATTTTAGAGTAGGATTCTTTTAAAATGTGTTTACATACTTTCTGATGGATTATTTGTACTAATGGTTAATAAAAGTTCCTTCAAGAATAGATGCAAATGTTTGCCCAGCTGGCTCTTTGCTATTTATGATTTTGTAGAACTTTCACTTTTTTTCGTGGAGTGACCAATTTGAACAAAATACTTGCTGATATGACTTGGCCAAACTTTAGTCAAGCTTATCCCCTTCCTGTAAGCGCCTGAACCTTGACCCATCTTTGAGCTTAAAAAGGCACTGAGACATGGAAAAATCACCCCTTTATAGCCCCTTCAAGAATTAGCAGGCCTCAGAGAAAGACCTGCCTAAACAGTTTGCTCGTCATGCCATATGCTCAGCCCATTTTTCAACCATCAGTACTTTTTAGGTTGTTTACTCTTTGCTCTAAAAGAAATGTCCTTTTGAAAAAGTAGAATAAGTGGCAAATAGTGATATGGGAGGGGGACACGGAAGTGCTGGGTAGAGAAGGGCGGGTCCTTGGCTAGGGCTCCACCCCTGGGTCTGTTCCCACTGACGTAGGTGAGGACAGGCATTTCTGTTTTCCTGCCCAAATGTTACGTTTCCCAAGACCACCCTGGCCTGCCATGCCCCGACCATCCCCCCGGCCCCCACTCTGCTCCTGTTCCTATAAAAACCTTGACACACACACAAGTAGGGGGATGTATAAAGGAATGCACCAGCATAAGAGCACTCTGGTAGACACTGGCATGCCGGCAGGCCATTGACCAGCGGAACGACATGGAGTTTGGCTGGGCAGTCGGAGGGGAGCTCAGCTGCTGAGCAGCCCAACTCAAGGGGAAAACCACTTATCCACTCCATCTGTCTTCTGGCTCCCCCATCTGCTGAGAGCTACTTCCACTCAGTACAACCTTACATTCATTCTCAAGCCCGTGTGTGATCCGATTCTTGTGGTACACCAAGGCTAGAAGCCCGGATACAGAAAGCCCTCTGTCCTTACAATAAGGCAGGGGGTCTAACTAAGCTGACAACACAAGCTGCTTACAGACTGCTAAACTGAAAGAACACACTGCTACACATGCCCACTAGGACTTCAGCTGTAAACATTCACCCCTAGACCCTGCTTTGGGGTCGGAGCCCTAAAACCTGCCCATCTGACTGCTCCCCCTAGAAGTTTGAGCAGTGGGCCACCGAAGAAGCCAGCCACAACCCCATCATGCATCCTGCAAGGGGGATAAGGGAACTTTTCCCATTTCAACGGGAGGCAGGACTAACTTGTGTCTCCCACTAGGACAGATAGAGGAGCATGTGGAGACTCATATCGTGAACTTTTGATCCACGAACTACTGCAGGAACATACCAGGAAAACTGAGAGAATCCATAGACCCTTTGAAGGAAGTGGCTTGCCAGTACAGGCTCCATGAGACAGCCAAAAAATTGCGAGTGCCCAAAGTGTTAGAAGGGAAATGTCCACCCCTGAACACACATCCTCACTGGGGAACATGAAGGTCCAGGTAATGGGAGAAGGATTTGCCCTTACCTGGAGCTGAGATGAATTTAGAGAGCTGAACAAAGTATAGGGGTAGAGGAAGCAGTAGGAAGAGCCCTGTGGACACTCTAGGTCTCCAGGGAAGCCATTCCTGACTTCGTCTTGCAGGGGTATTTGGGGAGGGCTGCCAGTGGAATTGGGGAATGACCATAGGGAGAAGGAAACTTCCAGCTGAACTTTGTAATAGTTTTGACCAAATGCAAAATTTCCTGGACAGAATCCAGGGGAGGGTGCGAATGGGAAGTGCAGATAAGAGCACAGAAACTGTGGCTGGTGGGGAGGTACAAAGCCTAATGCCCTGCTTGCTTTCTCAGCTGGGAGGATTGTAGCCTGGGGCAAGTTCCCAGCCCTGCTCACCAGCTGCTTGGACATAAACTTGCTGCTGTTGTGGGGGCATGGTGGGAGTGAGATTGGCCTTGCAAGCTGCATGGGAGAAGGGTGAGGCACATCACTGCCAACTTTCCCCCACTTCCCTGGCGACCTGTATGACACAGGACAGGCAGCCATAATCCCCCTGGGAACGTGACTCCATCTTCCAGCCTGAGAACCACACCCCATCCCCACAGCAGCTGCAGCAAGCCATGCCCAAGGAGCATCTGAGCTCAGACATGCCTAATCCTGCCTCCAACCTGATGGCATTTCTCTACCTGCCGTCATAGCCAAAGACAAAGGGCATAATCTCTTGGGCATTCTATGGCCTTGCCCATTGCCTGAGAAACCTGAATACTTATCCAGGTGACCCTAGGGTAAGCTTGTATCCTCCCTATACTACCACAGCTGATGCAGTTATGAAAGCCCCACCTCCTGGCTGGAAGCCAACCAACACAAAACCAGCACACTAAACAAAACTACAACCAAGGACCCTCACAGAGTCCACTTTACTCCCCTGCTACCATCAATGGAGCAGGTGCTGGAATCTAGGTCTGAAAGATCTGAACATGAATCATATCCCAGGACTTTTTGCAGACACTCCTCAGTACCAGCCTAGAGCCCAGTAGCCTCTCTGGGTGGCTAAATCCAGAAGAGCAATAACAATCTCTGCAGTTTGGCTCTCAGGAAGCCCCATCCCTAGGGTAAGGGAAAGAGCACCACATGTTTATAAATCTTAGGATTGGAAAATTCTTCTTATTGCAAGTCTTTTAAAATAAGATTGCCTCTTAAGTCCAGATTTGCTTTTATTTGATGGTGGTTCTATCTGTATTTCCCTTTATAGATAATATTTCTCTTTAGTTTTATGATTATTGGAAATGATGATACTGCTTATAAGGAATTTCCAATCAACATGTATTACTATTCTATGGTATCAATTTTTATTAACATCTTTATGAATAATTAATTTTTATATATAGCTAATTAGCTAAACAGTTTTGTCACTAAATAGCTAATGCATAGATTCAGCATCTTTGCAGTAACCATCTTTTCACAACTGATATGAAAAACTACCTACATGAAAGGATATGCACATATTCATATACATTTTAAACTTCTATTTCTGAGTTTTCTGTCCTATTGATATTTAGCCTTTGGCTATGACCACACTATTTTGATCATCATAGTTTTATAGTCTATTTTAATATCTGAGAGTTGTCATAATATTTTCTTTATTTTCAGTATTTTCTTGACTTTTCCATCACTTCTCTCATATTTTTAAGAACTCTTTGTTGATTTTCTGATCAGTTTATACATCTTTGAATGTGAAGAAGTTAGTTTGATACGTATTAATACTTGTTTTAGTTTAATTTTTCTTTTGTCTCTTCACTGTTTATTAGTATGCTAAAAATGAAGATCTAAATAATATAGTTCTGTGTAACCAGTTCAGTGAGTCAACAGTTGGGTAGAAGGTGGATCTGAGAACACAGGCCCTAGTGTAGTAGAGTACTCCTAGGGGAAAAAAAAAAAAAAAAAGGAAAGAAAAAAAGAAAAGAATAACAGCAACAAAAATCTTCTTTTCAAATATATTACCCTTTGACCTTCAGGAACAAGGTGATTCTAGGAGCAAGCTCTCCATATCTAATATTTTTATATAGCTCAGCCTTTGCTCTAGGTTTCCCTTTTGGTGTTTTCAACTGCCTCGCTGATGTGATTCCCTATGATGGAAGAAATTGCCTACTGCATCAGTATGAAACCACACGGGGAATGGAATGATTTGGGGCCCTGATTGCTTTCGGTTTGGTGGGGCACATTGGTTCTGAAACTTTTCACTTGAGCTAGTTTTGAATTGTGCGACCAAAATATTATAGTAGACTATGTCTCATGACCTAGACTGATTCCTAATTATCATCTTTTCCAATTAGAGCATCTAGAAGGAAGATTCCAATAATATCTCTCTTACTTTATTCCAATAATTTCTTTCAAAGACAAAATGTGTGATTTAGTTCTGTCTTAATGGAAATATATCTAATATTTAACTAATAAAAGCAGTTTTATTAGTTAACAGTTCATTGGTTATAAACATGCTTAAAAGAAAAATTCCTCTATCATGGCAAACTTTGTGTTGAAAAAGAAAAGTGTCATTAGCCACCACAGAGTACCTAAGATAAAATCAAATATTGATTTTATTTAAGAGACTACTCTTTAAGAGTTTTCTAACCACAGCTTAGTTAATCCTTATAAAAACAAAAGAAGAAAAATAAGTCCTACCAAGATATTTTTAATATCTTTCTAAAAATTCAGTTACACTTATATGACACACCTTAAAGAGACTACAGAAACCCCAACTTCAGAAAGAATGGAAAAACATTGTAATTATGTAGTATAATTATGAGTTTGTTCCTTCTGGTATGATAAAACATTTAATTTATCTAGGGGAAATATGGTCAGATTTGTTATATATTCATAATAATTTCCTCTAGTTTTTAGTACTAAATCACACATTCTATTATTTTAACCATTTGTCATTGTAAGAGGGATTATTTGCTTTGGTGAGGAAGAGGAGGGGGACTAGATTCTATAAACTGGTACTAATCTGGATGGAAGGTACAAAAATGAAACATTCATATATTTTTAACTTAAATAGATTGAATATTTTAATACAACTTAGAAACATTTGATTGTGATATTATCCACTACTGTATTTCTTTTATAATACTACAAATGTACCTGCAGTATATTTGCCCACAAGATTAGAAATTTAAACTTAAAAATAAAAACTCTCATTAAAGTCTTGGTGCGAAAAAGACATTTAAATTTGAAGACAAGTTTTGCTTTTGTATCAGTAGTATCGTAATTTTGTACTGTTCTTCATTGTCAGAAATATTTGGAAATTGTATACTCATTTATTTCATTAATAGGAATCATATTTGCTGGAATTTGAATCAATTACATAAAACTAAGTTAACACAAAATAATTCACAATTTTAATATAGGCATGTTATTCGATAAAACACAACATCACTTAAATCAGGGCTGTAACGTTTATAGCTTTCATGGGTTATTTTCATTATAGGCAGCAATTCCAAGGCTATGTGTTATAATCCATAGAAACATGGTCAGCTCATCATCTGGAGTTCATGATCAAGAAACTTTTTTTTAATTGAAATACCTACTGTTTGGAAAGCCTTACAGAATGGAATTATTATATATGTTATGTAGTAGATAATTATATTTTCCTTGCTTTAGGTATGATATGAATATTTAAATAACCAGACTTTCAAGGCCACACACTAAGATTGATGTCTTGCTAAGGAAGGAGTGAGGGCACTTTATTTATCAAAATAATATGTGGTCTACTAGCAAGTGTGAGTTTTCCCAAACATTATTATTTGTTTTTTGTTTGTCTGTTTGTTTGGTTTTTGATTTTGTTTTTGAGGCAGGGTCTTGCTTTGTCACCCATGCTGGATTGCAGTGGCACGATCTCGGCTCACTGCCATCTCAGCCTGCCAGGTCAAGCAATTCTCATACCTCAGCCTCCCGAGTAGCTGGAATCACAGGTGTGTGCCGCCATGCCTGGCTAATTTTTGTGTTTATAATATAAATGGGCTTTCACCACGTTGGCCAGGCTGGTCTTGAACTTTTCTGACCTCAAGTGATCCGCCCACCTCGGCCTCCCAAAGTGCTGGGATTACAGATGTGAGCCACAATGCCCGGCCCCAGACTATTTTTTAGGGGCCAAAAGTATGTATAAATTGATGTATAGAAAGGATTAACAAACTATTGTCCAGCCACAAGAGATGATGGTCACCTGATCTTGAATTGATGACTTACCTTGTGGTCCAAATATAGATCTTCAGGTGAAAAAGCCTCAGGGAGAATTGCCTTTAACTTAGCCAGGAAAATTCTACTTGTTAAGCATTCTTATTCTTTTTAAATGATGTTTTTAAATATAAAAAAGAGATAACATTTCACATTTTTAAAAAATTTATTCCTCCATTTGATGGCAAAAAAATACGTATACACATCTCTTCTTTTTAGAATTAACACAATGTTAAGATTAGCTACTCTCATGTTTTTACTTCATTATGCTCCTTTAGGAGCAACAGCATGCATTAGTGCTTATAGAGCTAATGATCTCGAAGTCATTCTCAGGAATCTTAAAACACAAAATGAAGCCCATTGGAGCTCAGTGGCTGTTCATTTTACACAATATAAGTATTGATGTTCCTAAGTGCACAGCCTATATAGCATAGCTCAGAACATTTTATCATACCAGAAGGAACAAACTCATAATTATACTACATAATTACAATGTTTTTCCATTCTTTCTGAAGTTGGGGTTTCTGTAGTCTCTTTAAGGTGTGTCATATAAGTGTAACTGAATTTTTAGAAAGATATTAAAAATATCTTGGTAGGACTTATTTTTCTTCTTTTGTTTTTATAAGGATTAACTAAGCTGTGGTTAGAAAACTCTTAAAGAGTAGTCTCTTAAATAAAATCAATATTTGATTTTATCTTAGGTACTCTGTGGTGGCTAATGACACTTTTCTTTTTCAACACAAAGTTTGCCATGATAGAGGAATTTTTCTTTTAAGCATGTTTATAACCAATGAACTGTTAATTGTATCATTTTATCTTAAATGCTGGTTTTGCTTGTTATATGCGAAATAGATAACTCACTGACATCAACATGTTTTACTTTTCACTTCAAAGTAGATCTATAAAAATATTTCTCTTTTTTTATGTAAAGATAAATATACTAGTGAAATATGTTGATTCCGTTATATGTTAGTTTGTTAAAAATAGTTTTTGAAATTATATTGAAGAAATACATGTGTTAACTATATTAAGCCTCAAAATAACTAAAATCACCATTCGTTTTCTAAATTTAAAGTAGTCAACTTTAGTATATATTTTAAGTTTTTTCAGACCTTTGGTATCAGCTGATGATATGGTTTGGCTCTGTCCCTTCCCAAATCTCATCTTGAATTTTAACTCCCACAATTCCCATGTGCCCTGGGAGGAACTCAGTGAGTGGGAGGTAATTGAATCATGGGGATGGGTCTTTCCCATGCTGTTCTTGTGATAGTGAATAGGTCTCATGAGATGTGATGATTTTAAAAATGGGAGTTTCCCTGCACAAGCTCTCTCTCTTCTCTTGTCTTCTATCATGTGAGATGTGCCTTTCACCTTCTGCCATGACTGTGAGGCCTTCCCAGACACGTGGAACTGTGAGTCTGGTAAACCTCTTTCTTTTGTAAATTGCCCAGTCTCTATGTCTTTATCAGCAGCATGAAAATGGGCTAATATAGCTGAATTACGCTTTCTGGAATTTACTTAAAATCTTTTTATTTGAAATGTTAAATTTAGCATGTATAAACCTGTAATATAAAGAGTCATTTGGGTCATTTGGGTAAGTACTAAAAGGCATAAATATATTTGATTAAGTCTCTATTTTAAATAATAAAACATCAGGCACTTCATGAAATTATGTTTTAGATTCCCCAAATTTTAAACCCTTTGTTTTAGTGATACTGAAGGATGTTCATTTTCAGGTTTGCAGTAGTTATTTGGTGCTAGTGATACTACATGTGCTCAACTATAAAATCATTTTCTGGTTCTTATTGAGAGTGCAATGTCCCTTCACATGTGAATTCTACTTAGAGTCATCAAAGTAGTTTATGTAATCAAACAAATCCTGACCAAATCATAGATTTTGGGCTTTTGTTTCAGCCAACTGATATTAGTAAAAAGCACATCTGATAATAACACATATAACATCAAATCCAATGTTTTTACCAAAAATGTTAGCTTAAGATTTCATAATAAGCTGTAAACTTCTGATATGTAACAAAGAAATGTAAAAACAGAATTACCAGTGATTATTGAGGTTTAACTCACACTAATTAAATGGGAGATCAAGAAACCACATTTTATAATAGTATTGATTTCTGCCTATGTATTTTCAGAACAACGGGGACAAAATGAGGCATATATTCGAATTTGTATCTATATAGAAAACATTTTCATGGCATATGGCATCATTAATAAATTTACAATTTTTATATTTCTCTTTACTATTGCATAATAATTAAATAAAATTAAAGGCTTTTTTGAATTTTAAACTACAATGTATTTTTAAAGTAAAATGCTTTGTAATGTTAGTTAATTAATCATTTATAGGCTATGCACTGACAATTTTCTAATTTGAAATCAACAAAAATAGAAATATTTTCTTAATCAGAAACTCTGAATCTATATCAATAAATATGAGCAATATGTTTGCATCATTATTAATGTGGCATATTTGATCTTAGCAAAGCATAGCTGACTGTAAAGATCAGTGGTCAGTTATCTTTGCTATACTATATTTCATCAAATCTAAGGTTTACATCTGTTGTAAGTCACATCATTATTTTATACGACACCAAGAAAGAGAAAGAGCAAACCTGTGAATCAAACTATGACTTGTTGGTTTTCTACCACATCAGTGGTATGGTAAATTCTCATTTCAGATATAATCAAATGTAGAAAAATGAACATCTTAGAATCAAAGAAATTAACTGAAAGCAAGTTAATAAAATAATTTTTTAATATTTTACATAGAAAAATGCTAGTTTTGTTATTTTTATTTGGAAAAAACTGTAAGAGATGTTTTCATCATGCCTATGATATGTAAGGAAAAGTAAATGTTACTGGAATATTCAGGAGCACCCTGTTTTTATATTTTCCCTTTAATCTTCTTTTGTTTGTGTGTATGTGTGCATTCAAACTCTATTCATTTTGCCTTGTGCCTCTTTCTCTTTCTTTACAGACATTGCCTATACTCAATGTCTTCAATAGAACTTTATAACTCTTCTATAATTCCTTTAAAATACAGACCAGCTTCAATGTATTTTTTCTTACCTACTCAGAAATGAAATATTTTATACTTAATCATTTGTTCCTTTTTAAATTTTTCCCTGCTTTGAATTTTGAGACAGCATGTTCTTGGTTCTCCCCTTAACTCTCTGATTTTCCTTCTCAGTCATTTTCACAACCATTAACTGTTAATTCTGTGTGATGTTATCCTTTTCTTCTTAATCATTTTAATTGCTCTCATAACTTCAACAAAAATCTATACAAGAAACACTCATATCTGCATTTCATTCCAGACTCATATTTTTTTAATGTTCAAAATCTCCATTCAGGCACTCAACAGTATAAAGAAAAAATGAACACTTTCCCTCCTTTGGAGCCCATCCAATCTTTTAAGCTGGAAATCTTAAAGCGATGCTCAATCTGTCCTTCTTTATCACCACTCACATTCATGTGTAGTGGATTCTATTTCACAATTTTTTTAAAAAAAACATACACTTCCTGTAAATTCCTAATGCAGCTTTATCAGAGTTCAAATCTGAAATTTCCTCATCTAGATCTGTAAAAACAAACAAACAACAAAATATAACAACAACAACAACAACAAAACCCAGCACTTTGGGACACCAAGGTGGGCAGGTCACTTGAGGTCAGGAGTTCGGGACCAGCCTGGCCAACATAGTAAAACCCCATATCAAAACTCCAAAAAAAAAAAAAAAAAAAAAAAAAAAAGAGCCAGGTGTGGTGTTGTGCACCTATAATCTCAACTACTTGGGAGGCTGAGGCAGGAGAATTGTCTGAACCTGGGAGGCAGAGGTTGCAGTGAACCGAGATCTTGCCACTGCACTCAAGCCTGGGTGACAGAGCGAGACTCCATCTCAAAAAACAAGAAACAAAAAAATCCTCTTATTAACTTTAATATTTCTTCATCATAGAATTCATTTTTATGCCAACTTTTAGGTACCTTATGTAGTTTCAATCTTTTTCTCTCTCCCAGTGTATTTTCAAGAATTTTTTCTGATATCGCTCAGATCACTAACCCTCTTCTTCTCTATCACTTCTACTCTTAAACTTATTAATTTTGTTTATATCTTATTTATTTTAATGTTATACATATTCTGTTTCTAGAATAACTACTTGGTTCATTTGTAAATCTGCTCTGTCACTTTTTAGAGCTTTATATTATTTATAGATATAATCAAGTCTGTTTTTTACTTCTTTAAATATATTTTACGTACCTAATATCAATCTGTGTCTGATAATTATAACTACTAATGTCCCTTTGAGTGTGCCTTAGCTATTTGTCTTGACTGGTTCTTGGTTATGGAGTGTAGTTTCCTCCAGTGCTTATTGCCTTTGGCTGTGTGCTAAATATAACTTTTGCAAAATACTATATTTATAGGGCTACTTTGAAGAATAGAATAAGATTATTTCTATTAAAAGAGGATTTGCATTTGTCTCTTGTGTGGTATCTGGTGCCTCTGCCAATTAGGGACCAATTGAAGTCAAGTCTAAGACTTGAAATTTTCTGGCTTACTTACTGGATTTGAACTGGGTTATTATTCTGCATGGGCTTCCCTTTTCCCTAAAGTAACTGACATTTGATTTTATACTTTTGAGAGGAAAGTTGTTCTTTTTATTCATCACCTTGAATGTAAACTGAGCTTTGATATTTAGAGTATTAGAAGAGAAGGGATCACATCTCACTTTATAAGCAAAAAAAAAAAAAGTCTTGTAGTAGAAAGCAATGCAGAAACCCTGGAAATCCTCAGGTTTCATAAGCAGAAGGGAGGAAAATACCTAAAATTTAGATGGTGGATTAAAATATTCTTGGCAAAACTGTGGTTCAGGTTTGCATACTTCCCCTTCTTCCCCATATTACATTTATACATGAGGTATTTACCTCCCATTTGAAGCTGTAGAATGAGCCCTGAAAGAAGACCGCACTAAGTTAAGTGGGTCTAAGACTCCCTGAGGAAAGACTGATGCAGTAAAGCATAATTCTTCTATCAATATTGCTGATGGTAGTTGAGAAAGGAGGATGAGATATCAGAAAACCTTGTACATGCTATATGTATTTCATAAGAATACCAAACAACTGAATGTGTTGGCAATGAAGCTGTAAAGAGGCAGAGTTTTGTGTTATTGAAGTTAAGCTATATAAATTCAAATTAGAGTGTGATAATTTTAGAATGTCAAATGTAACTCCCATAGTAACCATAAAAATATAGCTGTAGTATATGCACAAAGAAAAAGGAGGAAACATTTAAACACTTCAATTCAAAAAATCAACTAAACACAAAATAAGAAAATAATGCAGGAAATGAGAAACAAAAAAGGAGTAAAGCCTATAAAAACAAGTAGTGAAATAACAGAAGTCCCTCCTTATCTGTAATTACTTCCATGAAAATAAATTTAACCCTCCAATTAAAAGACAGAGATTGGCACCATGGATAAGAAGAGAGATACACTGTCTCCAAGAAACTCACTTTAAAAAAAAAAAAAAGAAAGAAAGAAACTACTTTAAATCCAAAGAAACAAGCAGATTGAAAGTGAAAAGATAGAAAAAGATTATTTCATGCAAATAGTAACCAAAAGAAATCAGAAATGGCTATATTAAAACCAAACAAAGTATATAAAAAAATTTTATAAGAGAAAAAGAAGGACATTACACAGGGTTCAATATAGGAAGAAGATAAAACATTTATAAAAGTTTACATACTTAAGGACAGGTCATCAAGATATATGGTCAAAAAAAGTCATGGAATTAAAGGGAAAAGAGAGTTTTACAATGATAGTTGGAGACTCCAAGTCTCCACTCAAGAGTGGATAAAATATCCAGACAGAAGATAAATGAAGAAATAGAGGACTTAACACATTGAACCAACTATGTCTAACGAGTATATATAGAACACCCTACTCCAAAAGAACAACATACACATTCTTTTTAACTGCACATGGGTCATTTTCTAGGATAGAACATATATTTGGTCACAAATTAAGTCTCAATAAATTTAGAATGAGAGATATCGCACAAAGTATCTTTTCTGACCACAACAGAATAAAGTTAGAAATCAATAGCAGAAGTAAAACTGGAAAATACACAAATTTATAGAAATGAAAAAATACACTCCTAAACTATCAGTATATCAAAGAAAAATAAAGAAATTTAGAAAATACATAAAGAGGAATGAAAACAAAAATACAACATACCAAAATTTACAGGGTGCATACTAAGTGGGAAATTGATAGCTATAAAAGCTTACTTTAATAAACTAGAAAAATCTGAAATCAACAACCTAATTGGACAACTTAAGGGGCTAGAAAAAAAAAAAAAAGAACAATCTAACCCAAAGCTAACAGAAGGAAAAGAACAATAAAGATTAGTGAAGAGTTAGAGAAAGAATAGAATCACTAAAACTGAATTTGTTCCTCAAAAGTTTAATAGAATTGAGAAAATTATAGCTAGACTAGACTATTCTAGTTTAATTAGTCTAGTCTTTAGCTAGAAATAAAAAATATTTTAAGAGAGTACTGTAAATAATTGTCCAAAAATAAATTGGATAACCAAGATAAACAGTAAAATGATTGAATTTAATGAAGAAAAGTGTCTCTAAAAAGAAAAGCTCTGGACCCGACAACTTCACTGATGAATTCTACCAAACATTTAAAAAACTAATACCAATTATTTTCAAACTTATGCAAAAAATTGAATAGGAGGTAATCCTTCTGAAATAATTCCATGAGGCCAGCATTACCGTTCTACAAAATTCAGCCAGAAACATCACTAGAAAAAACAAACACTATATGTCAATATAGCTTTTGAACACTAATGCAAAAATTCTCATCAAAATTCTAGCAAACTGAATTCAGCAGGATGTTAAAATGATTCTACATCATGAGCAAATGGGATTTATATCTGATTGCAAGGATTGTTCAACATATGAAAATTGATCAGTATAATATACCACGTTACAGAATTTTTACAAAAATCATCTGAACTCATGAAGACAAAGCATTTGACAAAATTCAACACCCTCTCATGATAAAAATACTCAATAAACTTTGAATAAAAGGAAACTACCTCCACATAGTAAAATCATATATGAAAAATCCAGTGTGAATATCATATTTAATGATAAAACACTGAAAACTTTTCCTCTAAGATCATGAACAAGACAAATATGTCACTTTTACCACTTCTATTTAATATAGTACGGGTGTACCTCATTGTATTATTTATTATGCTTTACTATATTGCAATTTTTTTAAAGTAAAGATTTGTGGCAATCATGCCTTGAGGAAGTCTATCAGTGCAATTTTTCCAACAGCATTTGCTTTGTGTCTCTCTGCCACATTTTGCTAATTCTCACACTATTTTGTACTTTTTCATTGTTATTACATTTGTTAATGTAGTTTGTGATCTGTGATCTTTGATGTTACTATTGTTTTGAGGTGCCACAAACTGTACCCATATAAGATGACAAACTTAGTCAATAAATGTGTGTGTTCTGACTGCTCCACAGACTGGCTTTTCACCCATATCTCCCCCTTTTTTCAGGTTTTTCTATAACCTTAGACACAGCAATATTGAAATTAGGCCAATTAATAACTCTACAATGACCTCTAAGTGTTCAAGTGAAAGAAAGAGTAGTATCTCTCTCACTTTTAAATCAAAAGCTAAAAATGATTAAGGTTTGTGAGAAAGACATGTCAAAAACTAAGACAGAGCAAAAACCTTAACTTCATCTGCCAAACAGTTGCCAAATTGGACATGCAAGGGAAAAGTTTTTAAAGAAAATTAAATGTGCCACCCCACTGAACACACAAATATAAAGGCAGCAAAAGAGCCTTATTGTTAATAGGGAAAAAGATCTAGGGGTCTAGATAGAAATTTGCCACAAAATTTATTTAAGCCAAATCCTAATCTAGAGCAAGGTCCTAACTATCTTCAATTCAATGAAGGCTCATAGGAGGTGAGTGACCTGCAGGAGAAAAGTGTAAAGCTATCAGAGCTTGATTCATTAAGTTTAAGGAAAGTAGCCATCTTCATAATATAAAAGTGCAAGGCAAAGCAGCAAGTGCTGATGTAGAAGTGACAGCAAGCTATCCAGAAAATCTTGCTAAAATCACTGACGAAGGTGGCTACACTAAACAGATTTTCGATGCAGATGAAACGGTCTTCTATTAGAAGAAGATACCATCTAAGGCCTTCATAGCCACAGAGAAGTCAATGCCTGGATTCAAAACTTCAAAAGACAGTGTGGTTCTCATGTTCAAGGCTAATGTAGCTGGTGACATTAAGTGAAGCCAATGCTCTTGTACTATTCCCAAATCTTAGGGCCCTTAAGAATTACACCATATTGACTTTGCCTGTGTTCTATAGATACAATAACAAAACCTGAATGACAGCACATCTGTTTACACCATGGTTTATTGAATATTTTAAGCCCACTGTTGAAACTCACTGCTCAGAAAAAAGATTACTGCTCATTGACAATGCACCTGGTCACCCAAGAGCTCTGGAAGATTTATAAGAAGATTAATGTTCTTTTTATGCCTCCTATCACAAACGTATTCTGTAGCCCATGGATCAGAGGGTAATTTCCACTTTTAAGTTGTACTATTGAGATACGCATTTTCTAAGGTGATAGCTCCCATAGATAGTGTTTCCTGTGATGTATCTGGGCAAATTTTATTTAAAACTTTCTGTGGCCAGGGGTAGTGGCTCATGCCTGTAATCCCAGCACTTTTGGAGGCCAAGGTGGTTGAATCACTTGAGGCCAGGAGTTCAGGACCAGCCATGGCAACATGGTGAAGACCCAACTCTACTAAAAATACCAAAACTAACTGGGCATGATAGTGCACGCTCATAATCCTAGCTACTGGGGTGGCTGAGGCAGGACAATCGCTTCAACCCGGGAGATGGAGGTTACAGTGAGCCGAGATCACACCACTGCACTCCAGCCTGAGTGACAGAATGCGAGTCCATCTCAAAAAATAAAAAAATAAATAATAAAATAAAAAACCTTCTGGAAACAATTCGCCATTCTAGATGCCATTAAAAACATTCATGCCTCACAAGAGGAGCTCAAAATATCACCACTAGCAAGAGTTTGGAAGAAGTTAATTCCAAACCTTATGGATGACTTTGAAGGATTCAAGACCGCATAGGAGGAAGTAACTGAAGATGTGTTGGGAATAACAAGAGAACAAGAATTAGAAGTGGAGGCAGAATAAAAAGAGAACCAGAATTAGAAGAAGCTGCAATATCATGTTAACTTTAACAAATGAAGAGTTGCTTCTTATAGATGAACAAAGAAAGTGTTTTTTTGAGATAGAATCTACTCCTGGTGAAGATGCTGTGAACATTGTTGAAATGTCAACAAAATGATTTAGAATATTACATAAAATTAGTAGATAAAGCTGCAGGAGAGTTTGAGAATATTGTCTCCAATTTTGAAAGAAGTTCTAGTGTGGGTAAAATGCTATCAAACAGCATGTTAAAAAGAAATATTTCTTTAAAGAAAGTATCAATTTAATATTGCAAACTTCATTTTTGTCTTTTTAAAAGAGTGTTTCACACCCTCCCCAACCTTCAGGTACCACTATTCTCATCAGTCAGCAGTAAGACTCTTCACAGGCAAGGAAATTACAACTCATTTAAGGTTCGATGATTGTTAGCAATTTTTAGCAATAAAGTATTTCTTAAGACATATATATGTATATGTGTTTATATATATGTGTATATGTGTGTGTGTATATATATATATATATATATATATATATATATATATATATGTGTTTTAAGACATAATGATATTACATACCTAAAGGAGTACAGTATAGTGCAAACATAACTTTTATATGCACTAGGGATCGAAAAAAACTTTTGACTTGCTTTATTAAGATATTTACTTAATTGTGGTTGTCTGTAACCAGGCCCACTGTATCACTGAGTTATGCCTGTACTGAATGTCCTAGCTAGAGCAATAAGGCAAGAAAAATAAATAAAAAGAATTCAAATTGGAAAGGAAGAAGTAAGATTTTGTCTGCTTGAAGACGACATAATTGTATATGTAGAAAACCCTAAGGATTCCACAAAAAACCCCTGCTAGAACTAATAAATAAACTCAGCAAAATATTAGAATACAAAATCAATGTGCAAAAATTAGTTGCATTTCTATATACAAATAATAAAATAATCTGAAAAGAAAATTATTAAAACAATTCCACATGTAATAGTATAAATATAATAAAATAATTAGAAATTAACCATGGAAGTAAAGAATTTGTACCATGTAAACTCTAAAACATTGCTAAAAAAATTGAAAACAAATAGTAACCTATCCCACATTCATGGATTGGAAGACATGATATTGTTAAAATATCCACTCTGCTCAAGGCAATCTACAGGTCAACCCAATCCCTATCTAAATCCCAGTGAATTATTTTGCAGAAATAGAAAAAAACCCATCCTAAAATTCAGACGGAATCTCCAGGTACCTTTAATAGTTAAAACAATTTTGAAAAAAAAAAAAAAAACTAAACTAGATGTTTCATACTTCCTTATTTCAAAATATACTAAAAAGCAAAAGTAATCAAATTAGGATATTACTAGTATAGAGACAGACATACACCAACAGAATAGAATGTACAGCACACAAATCAACCCTCATATACATATCTGTTCAAATAATTTTTGAAAAGAGTGCCAAGACATCGAATGGAGAAAAGATATTCTTTCTAACAAAATGGTTCTGGATATATATACCCAGGAGTGAGATTGCTGAATCATATGGTAGTTCTATTTTTAACATTTTTGAGGATCATCCATACTGTTTTTTTTTTTTTGTAATAGCTATACCAATTTACATCCCACCAACAATGTATAAAGATTCCCTTGTTTACTGAAGTATTTTTGTGTTCCTTTGGTGGTGCCATGTTTCCTTGTTTTGTTTTTTCGTGTGTGCTCCTTGAAGTCTTGTGTTTCTATCTTCATATTTGAAGAAGCAGTCATCATCTTCTCCTATCTTTTCTAACTTCAAGAGGAAAGTGCCTTCACCAGTTAGGCAAAGGATTTTGAGACTCTCTGAGACCTTTTCTTTTGTTTTCTGTTTTTTTTTTTTCCTTCATATCTTTTTTCATTTCCTGGGAGAATACTTAAGATATTATGTCTTTTCTCCATCAGCCAAAGCCTATGCTGAGAGCCTCCCATTTGTTTTCAATAGGGCGGTGCCCTGAAATGCTCCAGTTTCTGACTTTTTTTATTCCCATAGAATTATATCAGTTCTCCATAGGAGGAGATGCTTACACTTTCTATTTGTGTAAGCATACTGGGAGAGCAAGCCTGGTTGGGTGCTGGTGAGGCACACTGAGTGTATGGAGTGCCCAATGGCCAGTTATGGGAGGTACGTAGGTGAGGTGGCTCAAGCAGTCTATGAACAGGGTTCTTGTAGGCCATGGGGTTGTTAACAGGGTACATGGACCCTCTTCCCTATTCCCAGCATCTCCAAACCAGCTAACTGTGCTAATTACCTAAGTATTATGGGTGTGGCAAGAATGAAGTGGACTTCTTGGGGAGCATCCCACATAACTGGGGAAGCTGGGTGCTTACCCACTAATTTCTCACTTTCCTTTATGAGAGAAATTGTAAATGTATGGAATCTGTCTTAGCACTAAGTTGTAATGCCTTGAGGGAAGGGTGACACGTACAATGAAACTGTTCTTTAACATTGATTCTCAGATTTTTTGCTCCAATAGTGTGCTGAAATTTTTCTGCTGGATTCCTGGACACTCACAAGGGTACTTTCATCCATGGGTAACTGTCAAAATTGATGCATTTGCAAGAGGATTGATGGTAGAAATCCCCTATTTCACCAGCTTGACAACATCTGTTTATTTAGTATTTTTCACGTTTATATACATATACATATACATACACACATACATATACAGACATATATAAAATATATGTAATATAATGTATATATTATATATAATATTTATAAACATTAGAATAATGTTCATCCAGAACACAGTGGCAGCACAGGCATTCTAATTGTTGAGTACCTATGAAGTACAAGTTGTTGAATATTGTCAACATCACTCACAGGTATAAACAGAATATTTAGAGCTCTGGTGGTAACCACTTAAAACAAATACAAACTAATGGGGAGAGAAGTGGAGCAAGAGGTTGAATAGAAGGCTCCACCAGTCATTCCCCCAACACGGACACTAATTTAACCAACTATCTGCACAAAAGTGCACCTTCATAGGAATCAAAAATTAGCTAAGCACTCACAGTACCAGGTTTTAATTTCATGTCTCTAAAAGAAGCACTGGAGAGGGTAGGAAAGATATTTTTGAGTCGACAACATCACCCTTCCCCAATCCCATGGCAGTGGCTGCATGATGGAGAAAGAGCATCTGTGTGCATGGGGAAGGAGAGTGCAGCAATTGTGAGACATTACATTGAACTCAGTGCTATCCAGTCACAGCAGAAAGCAAACCCAGGCTAAACTCAGCTGATGTCAACCCATGGAGGGACTGTTTAATAAAATGGATCCCTATTTCTTTCCATATACGAAAATCAAATCAAAATGGATTAAAACTTATATCTAAGACTCCAAACTATAAAACTACTAACAAAAAACATTAGAGAAACTCTCCACAACATTTGTGTGTGCAAAGATTTCTGGAGTAATACCCCACCAGCACAGATAACCAAAGCAAAAGTGGACAAATGGGATCATATCAAGTTAAAAACTTTTCTGTACAACAAAGGAAACTGTCAGCAAAGTGAAGAGACAACCCACAGAATGGGAGAAAATATTTACAAACTACTCATCTGACAAGGAATTAATAACCAGAACATATAAGGAGCTCAAACAACTCTATAGGAAATAGTCTGATAATCCAATTAAAAATGGACAAAAGATTTGAACTGACATTTCTCAAAGGAAGACACACAAATGGCAAACAGTTATATGAAAAGGTGCCCAGCCTCACTGATAATCAGTGAAATGCAAATCAAAACTACAATGAGATATAATCTCACCCCAGTTAAAATGGCTTTGACCCAAAAGTTGGGAAATAGCAAATATTGGTGAGGATGTGGAAAAAGGGTATCTTCATACTCTGGTGGTGCAAATGTAAATTAGTGCAATCACTAGAAGAACAGTTTGGAGTTGGAGAAGAGTTGAAGAAGAATTCTCTAAAATCTAAAAATAGAGGTATCATATGATACAGCCATCCCACTGCTGGGTGTATATCTAAAAGAAAGAAAACCAGAATATTGGGGAGATATCTGCACTCTCATGTTTGTTATGGCACTGTTCACAGTGGCCAAGTTTGGAAGCAACCTAAGTGTCCTTCAACACATGAATAGGTAAAGAAAATGTGGTACATATACACAGTGGAGTACTACTCAGTCATAAAAAATAATGAGATTCAGTCATTTGCAACAACATGGATGGAATTGGAGGTCATCATGTTAAGTGAAACAAGCCAGGCACAGAAAAACAAACTTCACATGTTCTCATTTATTTGAGGGAGCTAAAAATGAAAATAATTGAATTCATCAAGATAGAGAGCAGAAGGATGGTTACCAGAGGCTGGGAAGAGTAGTGGGGTGTGGGGTGGATGGTTAATGGGTACAAAAAATAATTAGAAAGAATGAATAAGACCCAGTATTTGCTAGTATCAAAGGGTGACAATAGTAAAAAAAAAAGTAATTGTACATTTAAAAATAACTAGGAGTATAATTTAATTGTTTGTAACACAAAAGACAGATGCTTAAGGTGATGGATACCCCATTTACCCTGATGTGTTTATTACACATTACATGCCTGTATCAAAATATCTCGTGTAACATATATATATATATATATATATATATATATATATGCCTACTATGTACTCACAAAAAATAAAAGTATTAGAAATGTAGAGAATACCCAAAATCTTTTCAAAGAATAGTCCAAAATTGATATGTGAAATATGTAAAGAGGAAGATTTTAGCAGACATTAGAATAAGAGGAGATGCCTTAGTTAATCTCCCTGATTGCCTGATTGCCCTGGACCTAGCAGTATTATCCACTTGAATTTAGCATTTGCCATTTTGTGCTCATGTGTAATCATCCTGACACACAAGAGGACAGTACCGCAATGAGGTTGGGGAAATAGATTCAAATGGAGTAACTAAAAAGCTTACATTGATGCTCAGATTTCCAGTTCCTTGATGATTTTTCACTATATGTTTCTCTTATTTCTAGATTGAATAGGAGCAGCTTTGCATACTGAACTATAGGCTGCTTTATTTTAAAGACCATTAACATTTTTCCTGGCAAATTCATTGCATACAATAGTCCACCACAGGCTAGGTTTTCATTTTATTTGAGAACAAAAACAGAAAAAGCAGGTTTTCAGTAAGGCTATGTAATGTACATTTGTGATATAAACAAACATTATCAACACGATTAGCAAAGAGCAGATATGGGCCATGCTTTAGTTTTAAATTATGTATATAGTTATTGCAGTTGGAGTTTCTTATTTCTCATGTGATTGTATTTAGCCCTTGAGTCATTTAAGCTTATTTGTCTCACTGCTGTTTTTAAAATTTATAATATTTATGTTTCCCACATGACTAAATTTTGGGCCCCAAACCATGTAACATCAAAGAAATTAAATAAGAATTTATTGAAGGTCTATGCTATGTACTGATAACACTCCTATATGCTCTGGCAAAAATGGACTATCTACAAAATGTGCTTCGATATGAAAAGTGCTTTCTTTTGTGATGAGGGAAAGGGAGAAAGAAAGCATGTAGATGAATTATTAGGTGGCCTACATTAAAATATACAACACTAACAAAACTGATTTGGGGTGAGTCACTAAGTTTTGAAGAGTCCAAGTCAGACTTCATAATGACAAAGCCTTTACAAGTGAAGAAAAAGAAAGTTCCAATAAATTCTTTATCAACTTATCTAACTTGAACTTGATTCACTTGCAAATTATACATGTAAACAAATAGTGGAATTTTTATTATTAGATAAATCATAAAATGATCAGTAACCTAGGAGAAAATTGATCTCGAAATTCAAATTTAAAGAAAAAATTATATAAATATATATTTTTTCACAATTACTACTAAATCTTTATACTCATTCAGTATAGATTTAACATTTTTGTAAACCAGTAAGGGATAATTAATTTCAGTAGAAACTAGCATTCAGTAACTCATAGCCTAAAATACTTCCTCCTCCTCGCGCTCCCCCTCCCCCTCCCTCCTTCCTCCTCCCCCTCCCTCCTCTTTCCTCCCTCCTCCTCCTCCCTCTCCTCCTCCTCCTCCTCCTTCTCCTTCTCCTCCTCCTCCTTCTCCTTCTCCTCCTCCTCCTCCTTCTTCTTCTTCTCCTTCTTCTTCTCTTTCTCCTTCTTCTTCTTCTTCCTCTCCTCCTGCTTCTACCTCTGCTTCTGCTTCTACCTCTGCCTCTGCTTCTTCTGCTTCTGCTTCTTTCTTTTTCCTTCATATGAATATTTGAAAACTCAGCAGGGTGCTATACAATGCTATGTGTAATGTTATGTGGTAGGGGACCAAAAAGAGAAATAAGGTTTATTTCCTTTAATCCATTTCTGCATTCATTACATAGTGCAAAATATTACAAAATTATAATTACCAAATCACTTCTATGGAAACAAAAGACATTAACACGAGCACACACAGTAAACAGCATATGACTTACATTATTACAGCTTTTTTATTGAGACTATTTAATACCAACTTACTGCAACATAATTATAGTTAAAATGTCTAATATCTTTTTTCTGTATCATGATATTAATTACATATTATTGATAACAAATATATCTGTTAAACATTCCAGAAGAAAATGAATTAATATAATTGCAATTTTAAAACATTCCAAGTTAGGGGTAAGAAACTGTATGTTCAGGACCAATCTTGACTAGTGTAATATGTTGGAGGTTTTGGTTATTTTTTATTACTTCTCAACTTAATAGTCAGTGGTGTCTCAGACAAATTTGATAGATAAAATCTTATAAAGATAAAGAGATCAAAGTCATTAAACCTTGTAGTACAAATATTTGTGCATTAATTTTAAGAGAACTGACACCTTCTCAGTTTAAACAGTATGTATTCCCTAATTTTAAGAGTATAATAGAAATTCTACTCAAGAGCTATTTATAACAATACTCAGTTATTATGATTATTGATTATTGATTTATGATACATTTTGGTATAACAAATGTTTTGTTTAGCAGTGATTTAGATTGTTTTTTCTATACTCTTAAGTTTTCAATATCGCTAGGAGTACTTTTAAAATAAAGTGGTATGTTGTACTTTCTTTTGCATGAGATATTAGGTTGAGGTGTATAAAAATTCCGGTAGGTTACAAAATATTAGGTTTGTCCTATCAGATGGGCTACTTTTTTTCTTGTGCAACTGTTGTTTATCTTTATAAAATATTCTTAAAATATTATGTTTACTTTCTGATTTTATGCCTGATATCTATTTTTTAGTTGCAATACTGCTGTGATTATTCTATCATCTATATTTTTATTGCACAATACAGTCATGTTGAGAAGCCAAACAATAATTAATTTGTCTTGAGTCTCCAAATCTTAGAAATAATTATGCTTAACATATGAAGGTGGTTTGCATGATCTGAAATGTGGTTAATATGATTCCAAATATGTATTTTTGACCAGAGTATCTGGAGTTACTACTCATAAGATAGAATTTGTGCAGGGGAATACTGAATTTATCCAGGTGATAAATAATGAATCAAAAGTCATCTCTCCTATAACAGCAAATATCCAAAGTTATTCAGTGAGAAGAGAATCAATATTTTCAATGATACTATTACTTCTCTTGAATCCATAAACCTAGATTTTCTAATTCATTTGGTTATTACAAAACTCATGATAATAGAAAATATGACCCTCCTGCCCCATGGTTAAGCCTTCTCAGAAGTCACTTCTAAGCCCAAAAGTATAATTTCAGTGGGGGGAAAGGATCCTTTCTTGTTAAGGCAAGACTGCCTTTTGTAAAGCTTTTTGTTCATTGTTTGTGTTTGTGTGTTCTTTTAATTTCATTGTAGATCCTGAAAATTTTCCTTAATATTAAAACTCTCTATTAATTTTTATCTACCATTAATTTCAAATAGTGTCTACGTTCAGATTAGAGGAAAAAGCAAGCACATTAAAGAAATTCAGAAGGATCCTAGTTTTTCAGTCTTGAAGCATTCATAAATATACGTTCACATGCAGGCATCAACCAAGTGAATGAAGAAAGGTATTGATTTGCAGGAGAAAATTAAAACTATTGTGTGAAAAATAATGAATTCAGATAATTGCCATATTTTGCCAGTTTATTTGGTGACGCAATTTGCACTAAGAGGTTACCAGAGGATATTTTTCCAATATTTTAGAATGTATGTTGGAGATACATCTAATGTTTGCTAGCATATACAACTTTACTAAAAACTCTTTATGATATTAAAATGCTAGTATCATGAAATTATTTCTTACTGGTTACTTTTAAAGTAAATAATTAAAATTTACTTCTCACTTTTTATTTTTTTCAATGACTATTTAATAATCCACCAAAGACTTTGTCATTTTGTTTGGTCTATCGCACTCCTGTGCCCTTTATTTTTCACTCCACTGTCTTCAGGCAGACTTTCCTGTTCCACTGTGGTGAACATGTCTGATAGACACTTTCTCTCACAATGCATAATCCAAATTGTGTCATGTCAGGGATGGAGAAATGCTTTAGCCACATTTAACACTTGATTCCCTGCTGATATTTAATGAAACTTATTTCACTAAAATGGATCTTTTCTATGTATTTTAAGCTCTCACTTTGATAGATATATCAAAATATTTCATAATTTAATAGGATAAAGGATTCAGATATAAAAAGATAAATGATTTAAAGATTATATATTAGGAACATAATAGATGAAATGTACATATTCCAAATTATTTACTTCACTTAAATATTACTGTCTATAATGAATATTGTAATAAATGCAGTTAGATTTTAGGCACACTGTAAATTCACAATTTACGAAATGTAGGTTTGAAAATATCTTTAAGTATCAGTAAAGCCAATGTTTTCACTTTACAGAGGGAAAACAAATTTTCAGATACACCAAAAACCATAAACCACCTCAAATAATATAGCCAGGTCTAGAATGAGGTCTTTCTCCTAGCTTCTGTTATGGTCCATCCCGGACAAACTTACCAAATGAAGTAATACACAATGTAAATGCTAAAGATGGTTGGTCTCAGTATAAAACAAAGTCTCTCATTGATCTGTGTATTTATTTAGTTATTTTGAGTAACTTTCCTGATAAAAGCCAATACATTGTTAGATAATTGCAAAGGTATGCAGCATGTCTTTAGGATGCTGCTAGTTGTTAATTTCCTTCTTTATATATCTTCAAAATATTTTATAAAATCTCACTTCAGTAAGATATAGCACAGTAACTTAAAATTCTGTTTAATGTTGGAAAAGTTTTATATAACATGACATAAAGAATTACTTGAATTACATTGTCTCTCTCTGTCTCAATCTCTCTCTCTCTCTCTCTCTCTGTCTCAGTCTCTCTCACACACATACACACACACACACACACACACACACACACAAGTTTTCAGAATGAGAGAAGGAGATTGAGGGAGGGAGAAGAGAGAAACTGAACTTAATGCTGGTATCAATATTTAGATATATCAAAATATTTTCTTTTATCCTTTGTTTTAATGTTTCAATTGTCCCAATAAAAGTGCCAAATATCTAATCACAGAGGTTTCTATGTACAACAAAGAATTTGTGGCTCACCCTAAACATTTAGATAACATCAAACTTAGTTTCATTCTGGATTCAGCTTTCTGGCTAATTGGTAGTGTGACAATGAGCATGCAGTACTGCTATATATCCTTTACTTAAATGTAAAAACAAGGAATGGATAATATTAGGTTTCATTTTCTTTCTTATTCATTCAACTTGTGGCCATTTGTAGTTTATTTCTTTTTTTTTTTTTATGAGACTGTCGCCAGGCTGTCGCTCTGTTGCCCAGGCTGGAGTGCAGTGGCGCGATCTCGGCTCACTGCAAGGTCCACCTCCCGGGTTCATGCCATTCTCCTGGCTCAGCCTCCTGAGTAGCTGGGACTACAGGCGCCCGCCACCACGCCCGGCTAATTTTTTGTATTTTTAGTAGAGACGGGGTTTCACTGTGTTCGGATGGTCTCGATCTCCTGACATTGTGATCTGCCTGCCTCAGCCTTCTAAAGTGCTGGGATTACAGGCGCGAGCCACCGCGCCTGGCCTGCTTGTGGCCATTTTTAAAAAGTATTGAGTGGAAGTAAATTCTAAGGCTGCAGTCAACCTCTAAGTGACATGATCAATAAGTGATATCTGCCTTGCTTTTGAAAGAAAGATGACATACATGTCACATTTGTTATGATTCCAAATAAATAGATATTTTAATCCTCATTTGTTTCTAAATATAAAATGCTAAGTTACAGGCAAAAATACAACTAGATCTAAATTGCAGTTTTAGAGCTTATAATCACTAATGGATTTATTTTGGGTGCACTCATTTAATAAACATTAGATGATATGAAATTTCAAACTCTAGTGTTCGCTATTTCCATTCCTATACTTGTAACTTCTGTAGATCTGTCATGGTCCTCCCAATTTAAAGTGTCTCAAATGTGAAGCAGAAGTTCTTTCAGCCAGCTTAATTGTCCTAGATAGCAAGAGATGAGAGTTAAAAAGACAGAAGAGTAAGTAACAGGAAAGCCTTATCTAATTTTGTGCCCAAATATTTTAAGTGTAATTTAAAAGAGTCTGTACCCCTAACAGATTGTTTCTTACTACTGGCTTTGATAACATTCCCTTCATCTTTTTCTCTCCTTACAAGTTTTTTGCTTCACTTTAAAATATTTAAAAATTACATTGTCTTGAAAATCACTTTGTGTTCTTGAAAGGTTTTGAAGACCTTAGTAGTTTTCCATTGCTCTTAATTGCTTGAAATGCAAGGAAATGAGCAAAAGAAATCTCTCTTATTTCTTTTTGAGGTGATTCCTTTTTTATTTAGAGACCTTGGCAGAATTTATGGCATTTTTGACCTATTAATATAATTGTATTATCATCTAACACTCAAGTGAAGTAATCATGTAGACAATGCTAAACTAATAGACTGCAATGCAGGAAAAATACTCCAGTTGCTTCAGAACAGAATGTATATGCATATGATTATATGTATATGCACATATACATGCATATGCATGCACATACATACATATGTCATATAAAACAATACATATACACATATACATATAGTATATAAAATCAGAATTATTAGTGTATTTTTAAAAGATTCATTTCACAATGCAATGGACTTTGCATTACTGTTTTATATAGTCAATACAATCAGGACTCCTGACATAGAATCTCAACCCTGGAGACCTTTGCAAAAATTTCTCTATTACTTTGAAGGAATGGACAGCTATTGGATTACAGTTAAATTTAGGTAGAGATTGAAAGATGATATTTCAAGTTCTCAATATCAGAGTGTAGAGTATAAATATTATAATCAAATCCTGAATTAGATTTTGTGCTGGATTGGTAGATACATTAAGGAGTAGAAAATCAGGTTGACGTTTTATCTGTAGCTGCTTTTCTCATCAGAATTATTTGACTCTACATTGCTCATATTCATCTTGTTCTCCTACCAAGGGAGTTACACTGTAGAAAAAAATATTTATGTTACAATAGGCAACATGCTTATGGTAAAGAAAAGTTCATCCTGAAGATAGTTAGAAGTTTCCTGGTCAAAGAATATTATGAGTAGTACCTCCATTTATCAGAACAATGTTAAGTGATTAAACATTAAGTTATTTGGAACACATTAAAAGTCTTCTTTAAGAATATTTCTTATTTAATTTCTGCACTTGAATATTCTTTACATTTCTATATAAATCTCATTTATTTCTATATAAATCTTATTTCTATATAAATCTCTTTATTTTGTCTGTGATCATGTGTAGAACTATCTGTATTTCTCCCAGTTACCCAAATATCTGTGATAATGTGTCCATTATGAATTCATTTATTATCAACACAAAGGAAGTGTATAAAATCAGCACTCTGTAAGTCAATAATCTTATCAATTTGAATTTAATTCATACCATGTATTAATAGATAAATGAAGTTATTTTTTGGATATTTATACTAGATTTACTATATTCCTTTGTTTCTCTGACCCTCTATCTCATCATACATTTCTGCCTCAACATAATTGTATGTTCCCTCACAGATCTTAATAGAGTAGCCACATATTCAGTCTTTTCCGTGGAATGTTTTGTTTAACTTAAAGGTCTTAGTGGATTTTACACTCTTAGATGAACTCTACCACTGGGTATCTTAATCCATTCAGGTATTTAAAAAATAGCCATAAACATCATACTCTTGGATTTAACATTTTTATCAGGCACTTGTCTATTAAAGGCTTCTCACTTTATTTTTTACGAGTTTATGGTGACAAACAGCTGCTTCATCCTATACTGCATGTTCTTGAATTTGTGGGCCATATTTAATCTTCAGCTTTTGCTGAGATCAACTGATTTTTCCTTTTATTTTTATTTTTATAATTCTTTATCAAACACAGACAGGTCTTTCAACCTTTGTATCTAGGGCTACATGATCTTTAGGCGTATGACCTGCCTTCAGAATAATCACTGATAATATTTCACCAAAATCTGTCATTCTGTAATGTAGCTAACATTCTTTCAAAGCTCCAAATATCTGTTTCTCTATAGTTTGTACCCATTCCTAAGCCAAAGCCACATATTTTAAGTGTAGGTTATGGGAATGCACCTCATTGAGCAATATTAGTCAGGAAAAACTAGACTATGCTGAAGCAATAAACAACCCCAATGTCTCAGTAGCATAAGACAACATCATTTTATTTCTCACTTATGCTGCTTAACTATTACGGCAAAGCAAGGTACGATGCTCATCATAGTCAATAAAGACCAAGACTGAAGGAAAATCTTCCTTGACACCATGCTTCCACAACTATCAAAGTAAGGGAAAGACAGAATGGGAGATTTTCACACTGGCTCTAGACATTAGGCTTGAAAAGAACACTCTCCACTTCTACTAACGTATTGTTGGCCAACCTAAGTTATAAAAGCTTTTAAAAGTGCAGGGAACAATTCTTCTTGAATGATTCTAATTATCTTGTTCCTTTTTACAGTATTAAAACTTCTCATTTACTGTTTTTTACTGAAATATTATTATCATATTAATTTAAATCTAACATTTCATTGTTGCTCCCATAACTTCTGAAAACCTTTATATATTTGGTAAATAACCATAAATAAATCTTAGTCATATGTACAATGTTTGGCAATATTTATTGATCACATGGAATAACAGACTGGTGTAAGTACTTAGAACAATTATGTAATAAAGATATGTCACAATTTACAAGGAACAAATATTTTTAGTCATTTGTGTTTATTTCATCAGTTAATAGTCACCTCCATGATGACTTTATTTTTACTACTAGAGTTTAAAAGTGTTACCTACTTATTAAATATTTAAAGCTCATTCAGAAAGATCGATTCAATAAAGTCAAAACCTAAAAATTAATAAAATATTACGTTTATATTCTAAATTTAGAGTCAGCCATTAATCTAATTCATTTCTTCTAATCTTTAAAATTCATAATTAGTAATTGTAAATTAAAAACAAAGGCTCTGTTTATAGTACACTTATCTTATTATGGGACATTAAACTAAAATCAGATAGTCTGTATTATCTTTAAATGAGCAAACTCAGTGTAGGGTAAATAACAAGTGCTGAAAACACTCCAAATATTGTTTTATAATTTGTCAACTAATGATTAATATTTTAAATATTGCCTACATATTACAAAATACCAATTGACTGCAATTCTGTGCTTCAAATATCTGAAAATTATATCTTGTGAATGTGTGAGGATTTATGAATATGGTTAGGAATAATTTATATGTATTTATATATTTGTGTGTGTGTCTGTGAGAGAGACAAGAAAGGGAAAGTGAGAATTAACTTTCAAATTCAGTATTATTTAATGATATTTGGAATCTGAAAATTGAAATTTAAGTTTCAGTTCAGCATAAATACTGAGCTTTTATAGTTATGTTCATAATAATGGAAGAATTCTTAGAGAACTTAATTTTATGAATTCTATTCTTTACTCAGAAAATTACATTGTTGCCTTTCTATGGTGGAGAAGAAATACTCATAAGTATCTGTAAAATTAATTTGTGACTTATCTTCATATGGTCCGGTTCTAAGTATACAAATACCCACACAGTAACACTAGCTTGGGTTCCAAAGTAACTAAAAAATATATGTTAATGGTATTAATTATTGTGGAATAATCCCCACTAAAGTTACCAGACTGTGGTTATATAATTAAACCAAGAAATATTAATTTACTTACCCTTGTTTTTTCATCCCCATAACTCTATGATGCTTAATTTGCCTTGCCATAGTTTTGGTAGTTTTAAGAAAGGAACTTCTAAAGAGTAGTTGATATTATTACATCTTAATTGACTCCTGTTTTGAAATCAGTCCAATCCCATAAATATATACTGACCATTAAATATATATAGGGCATAGTACTAATGTTCTCTCATCTGTTTTCTAAAATTTAGTATTTCCCTGAGAATTTTGGCTATTGTGGAAAGACAAGATTATGTGAGTTGAATTTCTATTACAGAAATAGAAATTTCTATGATAGAAATTTATTTCAATGGGAAGAGTATTACCTTTTACTATTTACCTGAGTTTCATCTCTCATACAGATAATAACTACTCAAATTCCCAATATACAATAAAATAACTACCAAACAACTTTCTGGTCTTTATATTAGTGAGTGCATAGGAAACTGCTGGCTAAAAAATTTTCTTGAATGCTTCTTTATAATCATAGTGTATAATGAAACATTAACAAAAGGAAGAGCAATAATTTAAGTTGTTATATGTTGATAACCATAAAGTTTATACATTTTATCTTTTAAGATCAGTTGTATTCTTAAAAAATTTCTCATGAAAAGTAGTTTTTTGATGCTAAAACTAATATAATATACTAATATATATATAATATAATATACTAAGGTACATTATTTGTAGTTATATTTTTTACTGGCTTAATGCATAAAATATATTTTTACTTCATTTTGAGATAATAATCAGCATTGATTGTAGCCTCCAAAGAGGTAATTTTAAAAAAGAAAGTATTTGATTTATATATATAGTTCCTTGATAGTGAATGTCAGGAGGTATTAAACAAAACTAAGAAATACATACATTGATTTTACCTATTTTTAGGATAACAAATAATTAAAGTACCTTAGGTGATAGATAATTTTCTTTAAAAGTAAAATAAAATATTTCATGGTTTTTTCAAGTTTAGGAAATTGCAGATCAGGGTTTTTTGACTGATAATATTTGTTCTTTAGTTCCTGTCCTTTAACTATGGGGAAAATAGACACACTTTCCATTACTGAAGGTCACTGAATTTATATAAAAGAGATGAAGAAATACATCAATTTCAAGTAGTTGACAGTGACATTGGCTATAGGGATTTTATAAGCATCCTCTAATATTAAGCTGCCATCAACACTTCAGATAATATAGAGTAGCATTATCAGAATTGGCTTGATGAAGACCACTTGAAATAAAGAAATACAGTAAAACAAAATTAAACGGCAGAAGTGTCAATAGCTAAAAGTACATGTAGTAGCAGCAATGGAAATAACCACTACTGTGTCATAATACTAGAATATAAGAATTCCAAATATGAGGAGGAATTATTTTGAAATTCTATTGGGAAACTTTAATAATATTTATAGGAAAGTTTCGGAAACATGATTATTTAATGTATGTAAAATTAACAAAGACAAGAACATTTTGTTATTAAAGCTATCCTATACTTCATATTTGGAAACTGAACATGTCATTACTAGAATATCAAGTTCCATACCAACTTGACTGTCATTTATTCTAGTTTAAATTTTCAAGTTAAAACCTGGCATGGTTGAAAGGTTCTGAACCAGTTCATCAGGATGCCCTTACCTAACATTAAATCCAGATGTACGATTATTAGGTTCGAGTCAAAGGAAAACAGTCAGTTTGTATAACCATCAGAAGTCTACATTTAGCTGATCTTGTGATAAACATATGTAATGACAAGTTGCCCAACTGCTAAGAGATCAATGAAATTGAGAAAATCCTTCTGGGTAAAATAACACTACAACCATATGCTGAAGTTCCACTAGAGTCAGCAAGCCTGCTTTCAAATCCTAGCTCTATCACTTAGTAACTGTGTGACCTTGGCTACCTAGTTAACCTCTTTATTCCAGTTTTCTGATCTGTAAAATGGAAATAGTAGCCATGAGGTTGTTAGGTGGATTAAGTAAGTTAATATTTGTAAGGCACCTGGAACAGTTATTGACACATGCAAGGTCTAAATAACAGTTAAATAAAAATAAAATAAACAAAATAAATCTGCCTCAGATATACACAAATGAACAACATTAGAAGTTTAATCAGGTTTTGAATGGAAGAAAATCCAAGGCCCAGTTTGTTCTAACACAAAATAAAAGTTTTAGAGTTCTCAGATATTGTGCCTTGACCTGCCAGTGAGGAGCTGAAGCAGTTTTTAATGGGTTGATAGGTCTTTCTATGATAAGTGAAAATGCTCTCTTGCCTTTCTTTTGCATAAATGTGGTCAAAACAGGTTTGTAGGTTTTGCTTGCTAATTTGCTTAGGGCACCTTCTTTGGAGAAATTAGGAAACAACTGACATCCATCACCAGAGGGAACTGAGATTTTGAGACCACCTGCTACTTACTTTGACACATCAATGCCAACCTTTTGGAAAGTGTCTAAGCCACAGGGGGTAATGACCAGGTGTGCTGGCATATTTTGCCACTTCATTTCTGTGTTTGATCTGATTAAAGTGCAAGCAGGTTATTGTAGGAATTTTTAATTTTTGCTGAATGTATTTCTAATATTATGTTTCCCTGGTTATGCTTGCAGAAAAGTTTTTGAAAACGCCTTCACTGAAGAACAGTTTTCGTAAATTCCTGATTTTGTTTTAACTTTCAGTTCTTTGCTTTTATGTAGTAACTGTCATTATCTCCTCCAAACTCCTTTTACACTTACCTCTGTTAACATCTTTACCACATATTTTAATTGTTTGTCTCTTTCATTTAAATTCAACTTCCTAATGATAAGGGTCCTATTATTCTTAATATCTGCTTTAGAGTTCCATTTACAAATGGCATAGGTGGAATACATAAACCTCATAGAGGAAAGGAAAAGCAACTGCTAACTCACCAGAGAAAACTGTGTCTATTGAGAACTGTTACTTTGTTCTAACCTAATAATAAAAATAAGGAGGCCTAATATTCAAATAAAATGCCTTTAGATTGACAAGCAAAAGTATTTTATGTTTTTTAAAATCGAAATTAAGAATCAAATATGTTTTTAAAGAGAAGACTGAAAAAGACATTTGTGGTTTTGGGATATAAATGTTTTGATAGTTTCTCTGTGAATTAGTCTTTGAAGGAGATTTTTCCTATTTTTCATAAGTAGTTGAGATCGTGTGCAAATAGAATCAAGCAGAACTCTATTTTCCAAGTGGAGCAAAGCTACTTGCATGAATACTGGCCCAAATATTACAAGGCCCAATAAGATTCTTGATTTCATATTTTAGGTCTTCATTTTGAACTCATTTTTTGAAAACAGAAATCATATAACTTTATATCTTTCAAACTCCTTTGTAATTAATATTGACAATTTCTATACAATTTGATAAATTCTATTATCATGAAACTGCCCTTTTCAAATCAAACCTGATGCAAGTATGAGAATCTCAGTGGAAAGAAGGGCCTATGTCCATTATCTTTCTTTTTGTTCTACCTCAATTGCTCTGACATCTTTTGGAAAGATGACTTGGAGAAACTGAGGAAGGAGAAGGGAAGGTGGGAGCAGAAAAGGCCTTATTTGATTCTAGTATTTTGGCTGCAACAGACATTTAAAGCTTATTGCTATTTTATTCTCAAGGGGCACATTATTCCTGGTGATTAAGAAATAAAGCAGCCCTGAGATCCGGAGACTAACCTAACACTGGTAGATAGGCCTCAGTCGTATTACAATATTGTCTGACACTCTGACCTAACGCCTCGGTATTATCACAAGTTAAACTGACACTGATAGATAAGTCTTGTTATACTCCTGATTGATATACATTATATCTCCCAGAAAACCAACATCAGACAAGGTCATTCTAAGAACATGATGAAGTAAGACAAAAGTGAGATCACTGTGTTCTGCTAAAATCAGTAACGTCTACTCATTTATCAGTTAAGTTTTGTCCTCAATCTAGTCTGTCCTTTCCACAGGTAAGATTTCTTGAGATACCCACTCATAGAATTGCTCCATTTTCTCACAACAACCAATGGAGAATGAATCCCTGTTTCCTTAAGAAAGGAAACCAGAACCCAAGTTGGGTCATAAGTTCTTTCTAATACTCTCTTACTTAGATACTTCATAGTTTTCTACAGTAAGCAACCTGTCTATGTGCAAAGAGTAATATACTCAACTTTGTAGACTACAGTGTGCTTTTGGTAGTATTTTGGTAAGAGCATTGACACAAGGTTGTCCAGAAATCCCTTAAAAATGGGGATCTCCCATGTGCACTTCTCTTAACATGAATAGAAGTTTCTTTCTGTTGGCATTTTATTGCCGCTCTCTCCACATTTACATGTTTGTCTTCTTGACATCTTTACTCCATTATCTATTAAGCATTAAGCATTTATTAAGCTTTTTAAACTTAACACGTGGGGTAAAACATAATTATAATATCTCCTTTTCCAAATATATTTCTTCCATCATTTTCCCTATTTCAATAAGTAGTACCTCCACTCTGCCAGTAGCTCAGGCCAAATATCTAAAAGTCATCCTTGAATCTTCTTTTCTCTCAAAGACCACAGCCAATTATCACAGGACATTCACTGACTTGAGAATGACTTTTCTTTGAAATAAGTCTTCCATTTTACAACGTGTACATTGAACACTTCCTGTAACAAAGATCACCTTAAATACTTTAGTACATTTCTAATTTCTCTCATTTCATTGTCCCTTTTCTTCCTATGATATACCTTCTACATAGCAATCTAAGAGAACTCTTTAAAATGTGAGATTCCATGTCTTAGCTCCTGAAAACCCTCTGAAATAATGTCATCTCACTCTAGTGAAATCCAAAGCCCTTATTATTATCAGCCAGTTCTTATAAATTCAGTCCTTTAACCATCATTCTAATATCATCCCCTTATAGTCTCTTATTTCTCCTATTTATCTTTTTAATCAAAGGTATAATTTATGCCTGTTTTCTTGATGTTTATAAAGCAAGCCAAGAATGCTGCCAATAGGGGCTTTATTTACTGCTTAAAGTTATACTTAGCATTATTTCCCCCACTTATCTACATGGTTTCTTTGATTTTTTTCTCATGTTCTCTGCTCAAACACCATCAAAAAATGGTATCCATGAAGATATTTGTAAAATGGCAACACTACTCATCAATCTCTATTCTCTTTATTTTGCTTTATTTTAGTTACAGCATTTATATCTAACAACAGAAAAAATTAGTAATGTACAAATAGAGGAAGAGATACATAAAACATAGAAAACAAAAGAAAATGGCAATGCTAGTCCTACTTTTTCAGTAAATGGATTAAACACTTCAATAGTAAGTCAGAGATTGACAAAAGAGAAAAAAGAAGCACAATCCAACAATTAGCTACCTATAAGAGACACACTTTATATTCAAATACAACCTATATTGCTTACAAGAAAGATAAAATACATCATACAAATTGTAACTAAGTAAAAGCTTGAGTAGCTATACCAATATTAGACAAAATAAGCTTTAAGTAAAAAGAATGTTACTAGAATAAGACGGATATTTTATAATAATAAAAGTATCAGTGCCTCAGTTAAAAACATATTTGCCTAACAGTGAGCCTCAAGATAAGAAGCAAAAATTGCAGAATTGAAGAGAGTAACACACAATTAAAAAACAATACTGGTCCATTTACTATCTCACAGGTAGAATGAATGAATGAAACAACTAGGCAGAAAATTAAAAAGAAATAGGACTCTTGAACAATACTATAAACTAACTAGATCTAACAGACAAATCAACAAGCAAAAAAAAGAAAACCATTAAAAAATGAGCAAAGATCATGTACAGACACTGCTTAAAAGAAGACATCCAAGTGCCCAAGAAATATAAGAAAAAATGCTCACATGACTAACCATCAGAGAAATGCAAATCAAAACCACAGTAAGAAATCTTGTACCAGTAAGAATGGTTATTATTAAATAGTCAACAGATGCTGGCAAGGATGTGGAGAAAAGAGAATGCTTATACACTGTAGATGGGGATATAAAGTATTTCAGACACTGGAAAGTAATTTAGAAATGTCTCAAAGAACTTAAAAAAGAACTACCACTCAAGTCAGCAATCCCATTACTGGGTATATATACCCCCCAAAAATAAATTATTCTACAAAAAGGACACATGCACTTGTATGTTCATCACAGCACTATTCACAATAGCAAGGACATGGAATCAACCTAAGTGCCCATCACTGGTAGATTGGGTAAAGAAAAAAGGTACATGTACACCGTGGAATACTACACACCCATAGAAGAAAAGTAAAATCATATCCTTTGCAGTGATATAAATACAGCTGTGGGCGATTATCCTCTGAGAATTAACATAGGAACAGAAAACCAAATACCACATGTTCTCTCTTTTTTTTTTTTTATTATACTTTAAGTTTTAGGGTACATGTGCACATTGTGCAGGTTAGTTACATATGTATACATGTGCCATGCTGGCGCACTGCACCCACTAACTCGTCATCTAGCATTAGGTATATCTCCCAATGCTATCCCTCCCCCCTCCCCCCACCCCACAACCGTCCCCAGAGTGTGATATTCCCCTTCCTGTGTCCATGTGATCTCATTGTTCAATTCCCACCTATGAGTGAGAATATGCGGTGTTTGGTTTTTTGTTCTTGCGATAGTTTACTGAGAATGATGATTTCCAATTTCATCCATGTCCCTACAAAGGACATGAACTCATCCTTTTTTTTTTTTTTTTGAGACGGAGTCTCGCTCTGTCGCCCAGGCTGGAGTGCAGTGGCGGGATCTCGGCTCACTGCAAGCTCCGCCTCCCGGGTTCACGCCATTCTCCTGCCTCAGCCTCCCAAGTAGCTGGGACTACAGGCGCCCGCCACTACGCCCGGCTAATTTTTTGTATTTTTAGTAGAGACGGGGTTTCACCGTTTTAGCCGGGTTGGTCTCGATCTCCTGACCTCGTGATCCGCCCGCCTCGGCCTCCCAAAGTGGAACTCATCCTTTTTTATGGCTGCATAGTATTCCCTGGTGTATATGTGCCACATTTTCTTAATCCAGTCTATTATTGTTGGAAATTTGGGTTGGTGCTGGGAAAACTGGCTAGCCATATGTAGAAAGCTGAAACTGGATCCCTTCCTTACACCTTATACAAAAATCAATTCAAGATGCATTAAAGATTTAAACGTTAGACCTAAAACCATAAAAACCCTAGAAGAAAACCTAGGCATTACCATTCAGGACATAGGCATGGGCAAGGACTTCATGTCCAAAACACCAAAAGCAATGGCAACAAAAGCCAAAATTGACAAATGGGATCTAATTAAACTAAAGAGCTTCTGCACAGCAAAAGAAACTACCATCAGAGTGAACAGGCAACCTACCAGATGGGAGAAAATTTTCGCAACCTACTCATGTGACAAAGGGCTAATATCCAGAATCTACAATGAACTCAGACGAATTTACAAGAAAAAAACAAACAACCCCATCAAAAAGTGGGCGAAGGACATGAACAGACACTTCTCAAAAGAAGACATTTATGCAGCCAAAAAACACATGACAAAATGCTCATCATCACTCGCCATCAGAGAAATGCAAATCAAAACCACTATGAGATATCATCTCACACCAGTTAGAATGGCAATCATTAAAAAGTCAGGAAACAACAGGTGCTGGAGAGGATGTGGAGAAATAGGAACACTTTTACACTGTTGGTGGGACTGTAAACTAGTTCAACCATTGTGGAAGTCACTGTGGCGATTCCTCAGGGATCTAGAACTAGAAATACCATTTGACCCAGCCATCCCATTATTGGGTATATACCCAAAGGACTATAAATCATGCTGCTATAAAGACACATGCACACATATGTTTATTGAGGCATTATTCACAATAGCAAAGACTTGGAACATGTTCTCTCTTATAAGGGAGAGCTAAACATTGCGTACACATAGACACTAAGATGGCAGCAGTAGACACTAGTGACTCAGAAAAGGGAGTTAGAGGGAGGGTGTAAGGGCTGACAAACTACCTGTCAGGTACTGTGCTCACTACCTAAGTGATGGGATCAATTGTACGCCGAAGCTCAGCATTATGCAATGTACCAACATAACAAACCCACAAATGTATCTCTTGAATCTAAAATAAAAGTTTAAACTAGAAAAAAGTAATAATAATTCAGAACCATCTCAAATTAATAATCTAAGCAGATGGCTGGAAAAAGAAGAGCAAACTGATCTCTAAAAGTCATAAGAAAGGAAAACAATAAAGAACAAAGTAGAAATAAATGAAATAACATAAAACCAGTAGAAGAGTATCAGTAAAACCAAGAGTTTATTCCTTCAAAATATAATAAAATAGACAAATATTTAGCTATACTAACAAAAAAAAACAATTTAAATTACTAAAAATAGAATTAAAAAGGATGTCACTTTCAGTAACAACTATATTCCAAAAAATTAGATAACTTAGATTAAGTAGACAAATTCCTAAAAAGGAAACATAATACCAATACTGATGCAAACTATTAGAATATCTGGATAGACCTATAAAAAAGCAATATATTGAATTATTAACTTAAAATACTTTCCACCGAAAAGTATGTCAGCTCCTGATGGCTTAAATGTGAATTCTATCAAACATTTAAAGAATAACTAATATTATTTCTTCATAGGCACTTGCAAAGTAAAATAGAACAGGGGGTACACTTTCTACCTCTTATTTCAGTTCTAGGAAGACAGCATTACCCTCATGTCTAAATCAAAATAAAACTACAGACAAATCATCTTTATGAATATATATGCAAATATCCTCAACAAAATATTAGCAAAGTAAAATCCAGCAACATATATAAGATTAGGCACATGACCAAGTGAATTTCTGTTAGTAATGCAAGGTTACCATGGAAAAAATCAAAAAAGCATTTGACATAAGCACGCGTGCGCGCGTGCGCGCACACACACACACTCACACACACACACACACACACACACTTAATGAAGTAGGAATAGAAGGGGATCTCTTAAACCTCAATGGCCATGTATGAAAAACCCACAGATAAGATCATACTTAATGGAGAAAGACAAAATGTTTTCTCCCGAAGGTCAGGCTCAGGATAGAATATCTGCTCTGTACTTCACATTTCTGCTCAGTATTGCACTGAAAGTTCTAACCAGGCCAATTAGGAAAAAAAAAAAAAAAAAAGACTTAAAATGCATTCAAGTTGGAAAAACTATCTTATTTACAAATTTTATCATCTTGTATATAGAACATCTTGAGGAATCAATTAAAAATAATTAGAACTAATATATTATTTCCACAAGTTTGCAGGATACAAGATTAATATAGAAATATCAATATAGAAAATGAGTACTATATATATATATATAGAGAGAGAGAGAGAGAGACGGAGAGAGAGAGAGAGAGACAGAGAGACAGAGAGACAGAGAGAGACGGAGTCTTGCTCTGTCACCCAGGCAGGAGTGCAGTGGCGCGATCTTGGCTCACTGCAACCTTCACCTCCCTGGTTCAAGCAATTCTCCTACCTCAGCCTTCCGAGTAGCTGGGATTACAGGCACACACCACCACACCTGGCTAATTGTTTTGTATTTTTAGTATTTTTTACTATTTTTAGTATTTTTTTGTATTTTTAGTAGAGACGGGGTTTTACCATGTTGGCCAGACTAGTCCTGACCTCAGGCAATCAGTCTGCCTCAGCCTTCCACAGTGCTGGGATTACAGTCATGAGCCACTGCGTCCTACCAGAAAATGAATATATTGATAAACACATAGTGAACAATGTGCAAAAATTATTATGAAAACAATTCCATTTAAAATAGCATCAAAAATAATTTTTTAATACTTAGGAATACATTTAACAAAAAAGCGCCAACATTGTACGTTGAAACTACAAAACATTATTGAATGTAATTAAAGAATAATACATAGATAAATGGAAAGACATATCATGTCAATAGTTGGAAAACTTAACATAAAGATGGCAATACTTCCAAAATTTATTTATGTATTCAGCACAATCTCTATCAAAATCTAGCTGCCATTTTTGCAAAAAATAAAACAGCAAGTTGAACCTATAATGTATATGACAATGCAAAAGACCTAGAAAAGCCAAAACAGTCTTGAAAAAGAAGAAAGTTGAAGGATTCAAACATCCAGGCTTCAACTTTTATTACAAAGCTATGGTAATGGAGATTAGGTAGCATAAACATATAAATTAATTGAGCAGAATTTAGAGTCCAGAAGTATACCACCACATCTATGGCCAATTGAATTTTGGCCATAAGATGCCAAGACAATTCAATAGAAGAATTTATTTGTCTGATTTATTTATTTATTTATTTTTACAAATGGTACTAGGACAGGTGGCCATCCATGTCATGTAGAATGAAATTATACCTCTTTATTACATCTTACACAAAAAATAACACCAGTGGATCATACACGTAAATATAAGAGGTATAATGATAAAATACTTAGAGGAATATTTATCAGTGAATATTTGACACCTTAGGTTAGGTAATGTTTTATTAGATATGACACAAAAATCACAAATGATGGAAACTGACCTTACCAAAATTAGAAAAAAAGTACTACAAATGATACTATAAAAAAGTGATAAGACAATCTACGAGATGGGAGAAAATATTTATAAATGGTACATTGGGTAATGGTCTTATATTCACAATATAGAAAGCAACACTACAATTAAATAATTAAAAGATAAATGTGTTAAAACTTAGGCAAAGCTTTACTAGGCATTTCTTTATAAAAGATGCCTGGCCAATAAGTACATTTTAAAAATGTGTAGTAACATTTTTGATTAGGGAAATGCAAATAAAAACATGATGAGACAGTACTTCGATACACAAGGATGACTTCAATGAAAAAGACTAACAATAATGAGTATTGGTAAGTGTGTGGAGATGTCCAAATCCTCATAAATTGCCAATGGAAATATAAAATGGCATAGCCACTTTGGAGTAGTTTGTCATTTCCTTAAAAATGAGAAAATGTTAAAAGAGTTAACCTATGGAATGAATATTTCACTCCTAGATATATATTTAATGGAAATGAAAACACTATGTCCACACAAAGTTTGTTCAAAGGAGCATTATTCAAAATAGACAAAAAAAGTGAATTGAATCCAAATGTCCATCAACTGATAAAAGGGTAAATTAAATAAGGTGTATCTATACATAAAACATATATTTTATAATAAACAATCATAAATTACTGATACATTCCACTAAATGGATTAACCTTGAAAACATCAAAGTAAGTAAAAGAAATAAGTTCTAATTATCACAAATTTCTTGATTCTCTTTACATGAAATATCAAGATAAGTCAACTCTATAGAGACAGAAAGCAGATTAGTGGAAATCTGAAGCTGGAGAGAGAAGGCTGCTGAAACTGGGAAGAGATGACTACTAATGAGTATAGAGTTTCTTTTTGGGGTGATGAAAATATTTTAAAATTAGATTATCATGATTGCATAATTCTGTTAATAAATTAAAAATTATTGAATTATACATTTACATGGCTAACATGTTATGTGAGTCATACCTTAATAAAACTAATTTTTAAAATTATGAAACATTGCAATTAATAGACCAATACTGGATTATAAAGTAAATTTTAATAACTTTTAAAAATTAGTTTATTCTGTTTTATATTATGCAATATCTTTTACAGTAAATGATGTATATGAAATGCATATATACAGTTTAAAGATGCATTAAAAACCCAGCATAAGAAATAAAATATCAGCAACATAGATATTTTCCTGTGCCTTTCCCTGGACACTTGCCTTTATTCCCACTCCAGAGGTAAGAACAAACTGTAAGTGTTATTATTCACTCCCTTGAGTGTCTTTAAAAGTTCACCACATGTATGGCTCTTAAAATAATTTGATCTGGCTTTCTTTAATTTTGAACTTTAGGTGAAATGAAAGAGTATAGGTTTTATTATTACTAGATTCTTTCAAAAAACGTGTTTTGTGATTTATTCCTATTGATGCTTAGAGCATAGTTATTTATTTATTTAATTGATATTTAATAATTATGCATATTTTGGAGGTACATGTGATTTTGATACCTGTACACAATGTGTAATGATCAAATCAGGGCAATTGGGATATCCATCAACTCAAATATGTCTTTCTTTCTTTGTGTTGGAAACATTACAAATCTCTTCTACCTATTTTGAAATATATAATAAATCCTATTGCGCTACTGAATGCTAGAACTTATTCCTTCTACCATTGATTTACAGCATTCTATTTAATGTATATGTGAAAATGTATTTACTCTCTACTTCTCATGCATATTTGTGTGGTTTCTGGTACTACAGTTTAAAGAAAATGCTTCTTTACATATGCACACAAACAGTATATGCACATATATGTATATGGATGTTTGCATGTTATACAATGCTATAGTTATTTCAAAATGAAATTAATATACATTTTCTGAACTTAATCTTTTTAATATGGTTTGTAACACTTAGAAATGTTTGTAACATTTCAGTTTGAACGCTATATTGTCATCAGAAATACCTTCTCTCTATTTAAATTGTATACAATTTATAGTGAAAAAACATTGTCACATACTTAAAATATTCTAATAATATTTTTCTCAGAATTACATTTAAATAAAATTTAAATAAAATTAATTTAAAATTATTTACTCACTCATTGTTCTAGCCATATTACAATGCTGCATAGCCGCAGGTGCCTAGTGACTACCATACTGACAGTGTTGTTCTAGACACACCAGAGATTCTGTGTTCTAGTAGAAGTTAGCAGGAGAGCACCTACAAAGTAGGTGGTTGGCATTCAGGAAAACTTAACCATGACAGTGAACCAGGAACTGATAATTCCAGTTCATTGAAGGGTCAGTGTGATTAATCACACTTTTTCTTATGTCCTGACCTCTTTCTTCTCCAATCTTTATTTCATTTTCTTTATTTCAGAAAAAAATGTAGCTCCTTCAATATTTTCCCAACTTTAAAACTCTCAATGTTCTATGACATATTGCTCAACTTATTATGATTACCTATTTTTCAATGTCTATGTGCAACATAAACAAAAGCAGAACACTAAAAAATTATTTGCAAAAGACCATGTACCTTCTATTAGTTTATATTCAGTAGTAGAAAATAATGCTTCTTTAATAAAATACCCTAAATTAACGCATAATAAGCCTTAAGTTTAGTGACTATGAATTTCTCTCATACATTTCCTCAAAGATGTAATCTAAAGAACGATTACCTTTCCTTTCTTCAAAAAGAAACTGTATTCAACTAAAAATTAATACTTAAAAAGTCATAAATCGAGTAACTTAGAATGTTATAATGTTTCCTGAAAGCTACTTTTCTACTTTTAAAAATATAACTCTCTAATTCCTGAAAGCTACTTTTCTACTTTTAAAAATATAACTCTCTAATTCCTGAATAATCTTGGGAAAAATCATAATATTCTAACATGTCCAGAATTTTAGACAGTTTTGATAGAGATAGAATACAAACATGTCAATATTAATTGCTTTTATTTTTAAAAGTAAATAGACTACTTAAAAATGAGTTATAGGTACAATTTTCTCTTTGCCAGAGAGCATTTGATCTTTCATCTAACTTGTGTCCATATTCCATGTTTTTTTTTGATAGAGGAATAGAGATTATAAAGTTTGTTAAGTATGAAAATTTAGCAGATTGAATTTAAATAGAGGGCAGGTATGGTGGCTTATGCCTGTAATCCCTTAGCTTTAGGAAGCCAAGATAGAAGGATTACTTGAGGTCAGGAGTTCGAGACCGGTCTGGGGAACAGTAAGTAATTTAAAATTAATTTTATTTAAATATAATTCATTTAAAATCAGTCCAGTCATTGGAAAATGTCTAAGTATTAGAATATTTTAAGTATGTGATAATGTTTTTCATGCATCTCTACAAAGTATTTAAAAAATAACCAGACATGGTGGCATACACCTGTAGTCCTTGCTACTCAGGAGACTGAGGCAGTAGGATCACTTGAGGCTGGGAGTTGGAGGTTACAGTGAGCTATGATCGTGCCACTGCACTCCAGCCTGGGAGATAGAGCAAGCCCCTAACTCTAAATAAATGAATAAATAAATGAATACATAAATATCAAGGAGAAATGTCACAGAAGCTAAATCACTTATTTTGGAGAAATTTCAGAAAGACAATGTTTTATAGGTGTATGAATCTCTATTCTTTTTCTTTTCCTACATAATGGCATATATTAAACGTTTACATTATATCCAAGATTGTTAAACATTTGGAAAGTAGTAACCCCTAAACATCACTGGTAGGAATGAATTTAATAACATCTTCAGAAAGACAATATGACAATATACACTAAATGTTTAAATGTTTGTTTTTTAGTTTTTCCACAACTTGATTTAGATATTTTAAAAATTACTTATGTTTTAAATTGATACATAATAATTTTACATATTTATGAAATATATAGTGATTTTTTCAATTCAACACAATATATACTGATCAATTCAGGATAATTACCCTATTCATCATGTCTAACATTTATTATTTCTTGCATTGGGAACATTACAAATTATCTCTTCCAGCTATTTGAAAATATATAATAAGTTGTTGTTAACTACAGATACCCTACAGTGCTATAGAACACGAGAGCTTATTCCTCCTATCTGCCTGCAATTTTTATCCTTTAACCATCATCTTTCCCTATCCCCCTGCCACTTTCCAGCCTCTAGTAACCACTATTCTACTATCTACCTCTAGAAGTGGATCTCTATTCTTTTTGCACTCTATCTCATCATCAGACCATCAGAATTTCTCTGACATGAAAAAGAGAATAATAAAAGTACACAAGGCATAGCTAACAGGATATGACAGTGGGTAATCTCAAATGTAATACTTGAAGAAGGCAATTCTCCAAAATTGGAATTTAAAGCTATATGGGCAAGCTGTTACTACCATGCTTCTGAAAATGCTCCTACTAAACTTCGTGAAACGTACATTGTTGTAATGATGCGTGGGGTGAGAGGGCATTAAATGGGAAGACATTAAGCAATGTTGAAATGGAACTCTTGGTCAAAACAGTAATTAAAGTGAGATTTCCTTGGGCCATCGTATTTCTTATTCCTACTAATACCCAATAATGCTCCTACTGGTTTCAACTCATACTAAAATCAGGCTTTTCTTGCTTCTTTATGTTACTCTATACTCCATCAAAGTAAGATAATAAATGAAAGAACAGTTCTTGAGAGCAGAATCATGTTCTAATGGCATCTTTGATTTTGTGTGTTAAAAAGTCAGACTATTTTCAAAATTGCAGGAACCTAATGTAGCCTGTTCCTTTTTTTCAGTAAGATTTCATATGTGAAGAATTCTTCAATTATTCAATAAAATTTATATTTAGTAAAGAGGTCTTCATTTTTAATGAAGAGCCCATAATAAGGTAACTTTATATTAATTTTTAATGATTTTTAAGTATATTTTATTGAAATTTTTACATGCTATATATGTTTTGGTTCACAACTCTCATATTATTTCTCTTTTGCTCTTGCTCTATTCTAAATAAAAACTCTTATGAACTTCTTTTCTAAATGATTAAAATTAATAATATAAATAACAGTATAAATCAAAAGGTAATATTCTGAATTTGACATTTTAATAATCCTACAACATGCCTAGCATTCAACCTTTTCTTAGTTGAAAAATAAGTCTCCTGACTTGCTTATTCAAATACCAAAATTTATTGTTAATTGATGGATTTAATTAGGAGAGTGATACCTGAATTTTTGTCCTAGTTCTAAGGCTTATGTAAAGAGAGACTAATAAGTTTTTAAAGTATCGTTTTTGTAAAATAATACATATTTTTTTAAAAAATGCAATTTAAAATATACTCTATAATACTTGAATCAGCACAGAATTTCACAACACTTTTTGGATTTGTGCAAAGGTTCACTGATGCCCATTACCTACTCTATTGACTCCAGCTATTTGCCTTTCTTCACCCACCCTGAGATTATCTCATCAACTGCACATGTTTTTATGAGATAGTCCTTTTTGCTTGTTGATTCTCTGACATTTTTGTTATTTGCTTTGTCTCCAGAGCCTGGCCAAATTTGAGTTTAATTTTCTCAAAGGGAATGCTCAATCTTTGATTTTGAAATTTTAAACGTATTAAACATGAAAATGTTTCATTTTGGTTCACTGGCAAAGATAATCACCCCGATTTTGTAGCTAAGACGCTCAAAGAAGGAACAATCATTATTAAAACTTTTTCAAGAATCAGAAACTTGATAAAACACGACTAAGATGTATATAAAAGATATATCATGCATATATCATTACATAAATAAGATTTTATTTTTCAGTGCTCTTGTGAGTTTACTATTTGAGATTAGATATAATTAGTTTAGAGATTAGATATAATTTGGACATTAGTAAAGATATAAACAGTTTATCATGTAACATATATTTATTGCCAAATATACATATCCTTTATATGAAGAAATTCTATGTAAAACTTATGTATAATTCATACAAATAAAGAGTTTTAGTATATAATATATATTAATGACTATGTATAATGGTAAATGACAAAAGAATAACAGAAAAACTTATCCTATCTATATTTTTATCCTACTTCTACCAAGGTATCCTTTCATTTTTATCCTGGTTCCACTTACATAACCAATCCTATTTCCACTTAGTGTTTTCTTTGTTGATGTTTTTGTTTGTTGGTTTTGTCCACTGGGTCCATTGCTTGAATCTTAAGTTCTGTTTTTCATATAATCTGCACAACTTTTCTTACTCTTGATAGTAGGGGCCATGTCAGCCTTTACTATATTTTTCATGGTTCCTTGCACAGATCTTGGTTCATGAAATGAAGTTACAAAACACATATCAAATCCGAAGATGAATATCTTCATAGGCATCTATAATTTATTTACATTTACAGATACAATTGCATTTCACAGGTGTTACGTAAAATATTTGTAAAGTTCTTAAACATATAGTGCTGTAAAAATGCCAGCCACCAGAAGACGGTGATCACTGCCATTTTATTAAGTAATGACAGAGGTCAATATTATATAATTTTTAAATTTTATTTGGCAGTATTTTAAACTTGTCTTTCAATATGACTTTTTTATTACTATAACTAAGAACGCATTATTGGCTTCATATGTTCTTATTGAATGTGTTAATACTTGTCATTTAAATCAAACCTCATTGCCAAAATTACCTATTAAAGATTGGAAGCTGTCTAGCAAAATTAACAAACACCTCATGGGAAAGTAGTACAAATCGATGATGGTGCCTCAATTTAATTATAACATTTAGTTATAAATTATTTTACTTTTTTGCTTTTGTCTATGGTACCCTGAAATCCTTCAATACTTTTAACTAAAGTATATCAAAGAACAAAGCATCAGTTCTCAAGGAGAATTCTTCCAGTTTTTTTCCATTCGGTATCATGTTGGCTGTGGGTTTGTCATAGATGTCTCTTATTACTTTGAAGTATGTTCCTTTGATGTGTAGTTTCTTGAGGGTTATCATAAAAGCATTGGATTTTATAGAAAGATTTTTCTGCATCTGTTGAGATGATGGAATCAACCTAGTAGGTGCCCATCAATGTGGATTTGACAAAGAAAATTTGGTACATGTATAGCATGGAATACTATGCAGCCATTAAAAAGAAAGAAAGAATGTCCTTTGCAGCAATATGGATGCAGCTGGAGGCCATTATGCTAGGAAAATTAATACAAGAATGGAAAGCCAAATATTCCATGTTCTCATTTATAAGTGGGAGCTAAAAACATCAGGTATTCATGGACATGAAGATGTCAACAATAGACTTTGGGGACTACTATAGGGATAGGGAGGGAGGAGGGCAATGGTTGAAAAACTAACTGATAGGTCTTTGCTCAGTACCTAGGTGACAGTATCAATCATACCCCCAATCTCAGCCTCATTCAACATTCCCAGGTAAAAAACCTGCACATGTGCCCCCTGAATCTAAAATAAAAGTTGAAAAAGAAAAAAAAGAATGATAAAAAAGTGCTATTCACTAAATATTTCCAGCTCTCTACTTCCCAAATTGTGTAAAAAATGGAAAACTAATCTATATCCAAAAGAAATAAAATTAATATATTGGATATATGTATCCTCATGTTCATTGTACCATTATTCACAATAGCCAAGATATGAAAATGACCTGTTTATCAACCAATAATGGATTGAAAAAAATTTGGTGTCTGTATTTGTGTGCATGTTTTTATACATGCACAGTGGAATATATTCTGCCATAAAAAAAGTGGGAAATCCTACCATTTGTGAAAACATGAATGAGCCTAGAGGGCATTATGAGAAGTGCAATAAGCCAGAAACAAAAAGACAAGTATTGTATTATCTTATTTGTGGAAACTAAAAAATCAAATTCATAGAAACAGAGTAGGACAGTGCTTACTAGGGGATTGCAAGTGAGGAATAGCAAGAGACATTGGTAAAACAGTATAAAGTTTCACTTATAAGTTCTGGGTTCTAAGATACGGTATGTGTGGTGATGAATGTATTAATTTAATTGTGGCAGTCACTACACTGTATATATCAAATTATGTTGTACCCTTGAATATATACATATTTGTTAATTAAATATATTTTTAAGTGTAAAAAACAAAACACATTTAAGACAATTTCACAAAAAGAATGATTTCTATAATTCTTCTAAAACTAACAAAAAAAAACCCCACTATATTAGTATAAAGTGGTGGTTTACCTCTCATGATGTCAGGTTCAATATACCTGTCCGAAACAACATAAAGACCTTCAAATACAAAATAATACAAATAACTTCATATAACCTGCTAATTTAATTAATTGATACCTGAAAGAGATTGTAATATTGCATGTAGGTATTGTAAGTATCCATTATCAATGGTGATGCAAACTTCTAGTGTCTTTATATTAAAAGGAAAAAAATTAAGCTAATTCAGATAATGGTGAATAAGGAAAGTAAATAGCCCTAATTAATGAATAATACAGAAACTTATTAAAGAGTAATACAATTAAAAAATAAGGATTCTTGTTCCTTTTTAACATACATATAAATTAATTTGAGATAAATTCAAATAAACATTTGTTAAATGTAAGACAAAAACACTAATGATATACAAGTGTTTGTATATAGATACTGTTTGTATCTATGAATTCAGGCCATGGATTGAATTATTATAAAGCAGTAGAATTGCTTGGAATGAATGAAAATAAAATGATAATCTGAGTATCCATGGTGATATCCTCTAAACAAGAATGTTTCACAGGATTTCTGTTAGTGTATACTGCATAGATCTCCAGTGATGAGAAATGTCTTCCATGTAAGGAAAGTGTGTGTTTATATGCTGCTCAAAACATATTTTAAGGTTATATAAAAAAGAACCTCAGACCTTAACACCTTTACTTTATGTTTTACTAATCTAAATAGTATATGGCCTTAATAGGAGCTAATGGAATGATCAAATCCTTTAGAGGTAATTTATATATTATTAGTAATAAAGTATGTATGAAGCAAAAACAAAGTAAAATTCTTTATAGTTGCATATTAAATATTTTATCCACAAAAAGATTTTATGAAAATTTTTGTTTGATGTTTTATTTGATTCTAAAAGTGATTTTACAAATTTTGTTTTGAAAATAAAACCCAAAACAATATTTGATAAATATCTTGTTTCAAAGGGAAGCAAATTATAAAATAAATTATAATCAAATATTAGAGTGGAAAGAAAAATAGAGCTTATTGGCAGGTATATGCAATTGAAAAAATTCCTTTTTAACTAGATACAATGTTTGCAATGATAAGTGAATTGGTATTATTGGAATGATAATCATTTGAGCCAATTTTTAAGGTGAATTAATGTTTCCCTTAATTAGGAGAAAATTTTTTAAGGCTTTCGTGTTCTTTTACTTGCTGCTACCTCAGCTCATGTGAAAATCAAGAATCTAATTATCTATTTGTTACACATTACATATCAAATACTATTTACAATGAAAATAAATCTCTACTCAGCTTAAAATGTACAGTATAGCTCAAAAGTATTTTCTATTATTTTAGATGAAATGAATTGTCCTAGGTAGGACTGGGATGTAGCGGAGTTAGTATTGCATTTGCATAAGAAAATGACAATCTAGATGAACATTTCTATATCTCCTTGATCTATTAAATGCAAACAATGCATACATTTTATTTAGATGATAAGTCTCATTTACTTTGTGCTGTTTTCTTAAGTATAGTTTTCAGGGGGAAACCTTATTTGTCCCTCAAATAATAATTTTAAAATGCTAAACCTATAAATATACACGATAAGCAGGAGAATATGAAAACTAACTCACATTTTCTGTCACTAGAAATCTGAAGAGGGGCTTTATTGTCAAGACTTCTACTAGTGTCTGGAACAATGGAAATCCTTATGAAATACAGGTAGAGGGTTGAATAAAAACAGAGTAAAATTTGACGAACAAATTAACAAATATGTACTGAATTCCTCAATTCAATCCCAAATGCGTAAAGTCCTTTTTTGAATGTAACTTTTTCCAACCCTTTATCGTAAAGAATCAATACAGATCAGTATAACTTTCCAGAGGCCAGTTAAAATGTTTCATAAGATTTATTTTCACCCAGGAGCTAGAGTCATGGCTAGTGTAACTGAATATAGTATTTCTTTTCTAGAATCCAACATGTGTAATAAGTATAAGGTAATATTTTTGGAGTATATTGTTTGGGGTCTTATATGCTTTTCTCCAAAATGCACAAGTTATGCATAAAAATGTCTACACTTTAGAAGTTTTAAACTTTTTAATCAGAAAACATTTTTATATAGAGGGATTGCATTTAAAGTAGCAGAAAATTGTTTTATGACCCCCAAATAGATGTTTTTAACAAATACTTTGTGATTAAATAATCCATCAAATAGCTCAATTAAAATAATTACTTGACTTAATCAATGAATTAACTAAGCAAAGTTCTTAGCAATAGCATCATCCAGCGAAATGAATTTATTTAAATATTTGATTAGTGTTTAACACAGTTCATTATGTGCTTTAGCAATATTGGAATAATTTGCTTAATAGTCCTAGGATATAGCCTAGGGGCATAGTATACAATATTAAAATCTTGGCGCTCTTCTTGGAGATGATCTTGGGATATTGCAACTTCATTCCAAATTAGAAGCTTAAGGAAAATTAATGAGGGTGTTACAGATACAAAGAGCAGAATAAATAAGTAGTCAGTCTGTAAATAAAAAAAATTATCCCTTGGGTGAGCTCTGGGTTAATTTCTTGTCTTCATTGCACTCATTATATAATTAAAACATGTTTGTAGAATATAGAAATCTATTGACACACGTATTTAATCTAACTCAAAGCAATTTAAAATTAATATGAGAAAATATTTCTGTGAATAATTCAACAATAACAAATTTACCTTTCTAGAAGTAATATTGAGTTACATGGATCTTTAATATAACTTATCTATATTTCCCAACACTGTTTTGGTGATACTGATTATCCCATTTTGGTATTTACCAATGAAATGTGACTGTTTTATTTCTCAGTTTGTTTTCAGTACATATGATAGTCTCTATACAAATGTATTTTTAATAATTTTTTTTTAGGTAGACAAATCTAAGACTTATCAGGAAAGGTTGGTGTGGTTGTGTGAAAGAAAAGCCTCTTAATTTCTCAATAAGACATAGAGACTATTGGTATTTTAGTATTAGACCATAATCTTTTTCTTTTCACTGTTGCTGTGAACCTCAGGAAAACACTGTTCACTTCCAAATGATCAAGATATGGACCATAAGAATGTTGACCTAGAACCCAGAGCTACTAAGAATTTTAGTCATTAAAATAAAAGCGATTATTATTTTGACTTTTAAAGGCAAAATATGCCTTCAGAATCCAGATTGAAAATGTATACAGCAACATATAACATGTATCCAACTATGCAAAATTATTAATAATTAAAGAGAAGCTACCACCTGAAAGTAGCTTTAATTACAAGCTTGTCTTTGCCTTTTATGTAGCTAGTTATTTTGTAAATATCACAACTTGTCCAGTTGCTCTAAGTACTTATACTAAACATGTCCTTACTTTCCCTCTTATTTTTTACTTTTCTTTTTTTAAAATTAACATATCCATTGTTTAACTATGAAATAGTACTGATACATTTAATTTTTAAAGCAATCAGTGTTCTTAACTCCTCTCCACACTTTTCTCCTTTATCCATTCTCAGAAGAACCACTGATATGGTTTGGCTGTGTCTCCACCCAAAATCTCTTCTTAAATTGTACTTTGCATCATCCTCATAATCCCCATGTGTCAAAGGAGAGACCAGGTGGAGGTAAATGAATCATAGGGGTAGTTTCCCTCCTGCTGTTCTCATGATAGTGACTGAGTTCTAACATGATCTGATGGTTTTTATAAGAGGATCTTCTCCCTTTGCTGGTCACTTCTCCTTCCTGCTCCCTTGTGAAGAAGGTTCCTTACTTCCCCGTTGCCTTCTGCCATGGTTGTAAGTTTCCTGAGGCCTCTCCAGCCATGCTGAACTGTGAGTCAATTAAACCTCTTTACTTTATAAATTACCCAGTCTTGGGCAGTTCTTTATAGCAGTGTAGAAATGGACTAATATAACCACTTTAATTATTTTAGCTATTTTTATGCTATTTCCACTTCTACATATTTCTAAATACCATGCAACTTGTTAGATTAAGTTTACCCTAAAGCTCCCTCCTTACATATTTTAAGTTCAGCCTAAAAATTTCTCTGGACCTACTGAACTGTAATCTAACTGGATGCTTAAACAGACTGTGACCTACTCTTGTGCCAGTCATTGAGTTTTAGCCAATCAAGGGTGGCCAACTTTTTGAAGAGTGTTCAAATAAGGCAATCACTGAACTGTAACCAATCCAGCTGTTTCTGTACTTGAATTCTCTTTTCTGTACTTGACTTTCCTTTTTCGGGCCATAAATCTTTCACTGTGTGACTGCACTGCAGCCTCTATGAACCTATTGTGGTTTAGGGGCTGCCAGATTTGTGAATCATTTTTTGTTCAATTAAATCCTGTTAAGCTTAATTTGTCTAAGGTTTTTCTATTAACAGCCACTACTGCTATCTTCTGATTCATTAAGTTTGAAGGTTATATATTGACATCCCATTTTGGTATGTCAGGATATAAAAATGGTGGGTTAGTTAAAAATATACCTTTGCAAATACTCACATATGATTATTACAGTGTGCCATGATTATGTTTCTCATTTTTTTAATGTTCTGGAATAACTGTAGACTTACATGAGGTTGTAAAGATAGTACAGAAGTTGTACTTTTGACGCAGTTTTCTCCAGTGCTTACATCCTATAGCTATACAGTGCAGTATCAAAATCAGGAAAGTGACCGTGGTAGAATGTGATGTATGGCTTCACATGTCCTTTTATCACAATGCAGTTTTCTGTAATTATTTGCATTGTAATGAAAATACAGAACTCTTCCATCATCACGGAGTTCTTCCTTAAGTGTTTTTACACCAACACCTCTGAAATATCTAACTCCTGGCAACCCTAAACTCTTTTACATGTTTTTGATTAAGCAGTTTTGAGAATTCTATAAAAATGAGAATATGCAGTATGTGAACTTCCAAAATTTTTTTTCCACCCAGCATAATGCCATTGAGGTCTATTTAAGCTGTAGATGTATCAGTAGATTATTGCTTTGTATTGTTGAGTAGTGTTCCATGGTTTGAATACACCACTGTTTGTTTAATCATTAACTTATTGAGGGAAGTTGTGTCTGTTTCTAATTTTGAGCTATTAGAATTCACACTGCTATGAACAATCATGCACAATTTTTTGTGGACATAAGCCTTAATCAACTTCTCTGATTCAGGAGTGCAATATCTGGCATTTATGATGAATGTCCTTTTAGTTGTTCAAGAACCTGCTGAACTATTTCCCAAAGTGCCTGTACCATTTTACATACCCACAATGTACAAGGGATGCAGTTTCTCCACATCGTTGCCAACATTTGGTATTTTCATAATTTGTTGTTTTAGTTCTTCTGAGGGATGTACTGATATCTCATTATAGTCTTAATCTGTGTTTCTAGTGATGTCCAACATATTTTCAAGTGCTTATTTGTTATTAATATATCCTTTGTAGTGAAATGTTTCTCCATGTCTTTTGCCCATTTTCCTGAGTGGTTGGTTTGTTTACTGTTCAATGTTGAGAATTGTTTATATGATTTTGACACAGATCCTTTGTTTAGTTTGCAGACATTTTCTCCCAGTCTGTAGCTTGTCTTTTGATCCTCCTAGTGAGGTCTTTCAAAAGGTTTTCATTGTAGCAAAGCCCAATGTATTAATTTGCTCTTTTTTGGTTTGTGCTTTTAGTGTCATGTCTGAACTTTTCACCATGCCCTGGGGCTTAAAGATTTTCACCTATATTATGTCCTAAAAGTTTCATAGTCTTAAATTTTACATTTTTTCCACTTTGAATTAATTTTTAAATAGGCCATGAGGTTTACATTGAGGTTTATATTTTTTTCCTGTGAATATATTCAATTACTCCACCACCGTTTCTTGACTATCATTCCTTCATTAAATGGTTTTTATACCTTTGTTTAAAAAAATAGTTGATCGTATTTGTGTGGATGCATTCCTGGGTTTTCTATTATGTTTCATTGCTATGTGTGTTTATCCCTCCCCAAGTACTACACAGTCTTTATTACTGTAGCTGTATCTTATGTCTTTGAAATCAATTTAAGCGATCCCTCCCATCTTATTTTTTATAATTGTTTTAGCTACTTTAGGGCTTATGTCTTTCCATGTCAATTTTAGAATAAATCTATCTATTTTTATAAATAATCTTCTTGGGATTTTGATAGGAATTGCCCTAAATTTATAGATTAATTTGGAAAGAAATGGCATCATTTTTATATTGAATCTCCCAACAGACAAAATACGGTATGTCTTCCATTTATTCAGAATTTCTTTGATTTCTTTCACCAGCATTTTTCAGTTTCAGCATAGAAGTGCTATATATGTGTTAGATTTGTACCTATTTCATTTCTATGGAGTGACATTAAGTATTCTTGTATTTTAAATTTTGGTTTCCTTTGTCCATTGTTAGTATGTAGAAGTGCAATTGATTTTTTATACTGATCTTATGTCTTGTAACTCCCTTGCTCTGAACTCACTTACTCATTTTACAGGTGTTGTATTTGTTTCTTTCATTTTGTTTGGTTGTTTTGATATTGGATTTTTTAACAGACCACCCTGTCATCTAGTGATAGGGAAAGTTTTATTTGTATCTTTATAAACTTGGTGCCTCATATTTTTTCCTTTTATTATTGTGCTATCTGTAATGCCCAATGTCCATAATATGCTGAATAGCAATGATGAGGACAGATATCTTTGCCTGGTTCCCAGCCTTTTACCATTAAATATGATTATAGCTGTAAATATTTTGTAGAATGCTGTATCAAATTAAGGATATTTCTATCAATTTTCTGACAGTTTTTTAACTGAAATGTGTCGAGATTATTGAATCATTTTTATAGATCAATTGATATGATCATGTGATTTTATTTTATACTTTAAAATAATGAAGCACATAAAATTTCAATTATCAATCCAACTTTAAATCCCTGGAATATATCCCAGTGGTCATGGTATATAATTTTCTATAATATAAATACACACACACACACACACACACATGCATGCACACACACACACGTACATGCTCCTAGATATATATGTAAACCATGATTTTTTAATTAAGATATTTGAGTGTATATGCATAATGGATATTGATCTGTAGTTTTCTTTTTTTAACTGTCTTTATCCGATTTTGGCATTGTGATAATACTAGGTTCATAAAAGAAATTAAGAAGTGTTCTTTCCTCTTTTTTCTGGAAGAGAAATTATACGTTATTAATAATTCCTTAAATGTTTGATAGAGATCTTCAGGGAAACCATCTAGGGTTGGAGATTTCTTTTTTATTAGTTTTATAGAGTATATTAGCATCATAGTCTTCATCTAAGTATTAGATTTCTCTAAGGCTGCTTGAAAATGTGTACAACCAAACATTTCTATTCTTAAACCCTGTTAAAGTTCGTAGTGAGAAACTGCAAAGAAGAAACAAGATGACACTAAGAAACTTCTGAGTTTGGTTACAGTTCTCATCAGTAGGTGGGAAGATCATTATTCATCGATGTATCCTCCAACACATGATCCCAACTTCCATCTTCCAGGAATGCAGTGTCCTTCATAGGAAGATACACGCAAAACCTTTTTTAAAAAAACAAATAAATTATATTTATATAGCAGTTTTAGGTTTACAGAAAAGTTGGACAGAACCCCCTTCCCCTCTTGCCCCATACCCACATAGTTTGCCCTATTATTAGTATCTCTCGTTAGTGTAATAAATTTGTTACATTTGGTGAGCCACTATAGACACTATTATTAACTAAAGCCCATAGCTTATATTAGGCTTTGCTCTTTGTTTTGTACAGTACAATGGTTTTGACAAATGTATAGTGTCATGAATCTATCTTCACAGTGTCATATCGTATAGAATAGTTTCACTGCCCTAAATACACCTTTTGCTTCATGCATGTATTTCCCCCTTCTCCCCCCAATTTTCTGGCAACTACTGATCTTGCACTATTTCTTTGAGTGATTTAGTCCTCACAGGAACTCTGTGAAATTGTTATTAGTAGTATAACCTATTATCCCTATATAACAAATGAGGAAACTTGTTGAGGGTCATGCAGCGAATAAAGTCAGGACTTAAAAGCAGGAATTCTGACTCCAGATACCAAACTCTTAATCATTATGTTATACGTACTGCAACATGAATTAATGTCACAAGTGACAAAGGAGAATTCTTAAAAATTAATAAAATAGTTTCTTTTGGTTTTAAAAATGAAAGCTCATAAAAAATAAAATAGTGAAATGGAGTAGTTAAAACATAAAGGATCAAAATCCTTATACATTTCTCTCTCTCTCTCCCCATATCTATGTTTTTATGTATATAATATGTATATATACTGTATATATATCCTTTACATACATATACATATATATGTGTGTGTGTGTGTGTATGTATGTATATATACACACACATATATACGTATATATATACACACACACACATATATATATATATATATATATATATATACACACACACACACACATATATATATATATATATATTACAGACCAGACCAGGATCAGGTCGCTGAGAGACTGAGACCAAATCCAGTGGATTATACAATATTTCCCTCCCTATCACCTTGTCACCACTCATATTCATATCTGTAGATATCAGAGGCTAAAATTAACTATAGTCTTCTTATTTTCATCTCCCCTTTGTCATTGTGTTTATCTAGATATTATTTCTTAAATAGGTTATAAGCTTTGCAGGTCTTTTACCTGTAATTCACTGTTACCATATAAGAGTCTGATTCATGTACTGGTAAGTATAATAGATTCAGTGCCTGGATCATTTTAGGCACTCAACAAATGCAAGCTATTATTAATGTCTTTTTTTGGAGGAAAAATGTCCTTACAGAAAGTATAGTATGTGTCTTTACAGAGATTAAATTACTATACTTTGGGTACTAGACACTTCTCATGAATTAAATGAAAGTTGTAAATCATTACTACTTGCTAAGTATCTATAAAGCCCGATTTCTAATGGTAGAAAGTACTTTTATACTTACTTTTGGATTCATAGAAATTATGAAAAAATTATTCTGCTCTGACCTAAATTAAATTATTTACATTGATTTACAAACAAGCTTAGGTGATTAGAGAAAGAGAATTGCATTTTAATGGTCAAAAAAGATGGTCATTCTGAATGTTATTTCACACAAAGAAGCCCACATGCTGCTGATATCTTAGTAAATGTACAGCCACATGACGAGACCATTGTTCTGACTACTTGATAACTCCCTTGCTCTTAATATGTTTGTGTGTCTGAATTGAAAGCCATAATAGAATTGTTTGAATTGTTGGTATCAATAGGTTTAATATTTTGGCTGTGTTAAATCATCTGTGAGTTAATATTACAAAAAATGAACTTTTTTTTTTTTTTTTTTTTTTTTTTAATAAAAGGAGTCTCACTGTCTCACCCAGTCTGAGACTGTAGGGCATGATCTCAGGGTTTGCCATGTGGGTCAGGCTGGTCTCGAACTCCTGGCCTCAAGTGATCCACCTGCCTCGGCCTCCCAAAGTGCTGGGATAACAGGCATGAACCATCATGTCTGGCCTGTCATTTTTTTTTTGAATTATTTTTAAGTAAGAATTTTTTTTTTTTTTTTTTTAGCTAGCACAAATTCATCTCCTAAATGTAGATTTATAGATGTTCTGTGTCATCTGAAATGTAAGGAAATGCCACTGTTACCAAGTAGTTTTTCTGCCAGTCTCCATGAAGCACTGCAAAACTTTTCTTTAAATCTTTTACCCATTTACTCCTGTCCTTCTTTGGATCTACTAAGAAAAATTTTGGACTACAGATAACAATTATTCCATCATGACTCTTTCTATGTTCATATCATATTAATATGATTCATGATGCTTAATATTCTTTTTAAGTTTATGTAAAAAATATAACCTATCTTCTCCTCATATTACTTGACCACTTCAACTTGCTTTTTAGAAGCAATGTTATAATGATTTAGAGCTATTCCAAACCCACTAGTGTTTGCATCTGAAAGAAACATTCATTTTATTAATAATGAAAGGCCAAAATATTCTTGATATTAAATTCTGTTGTTGTCAACTCTTGGTTTGGATTTTTAAAAAAGATATGTCAGGGATGCAAATAGACAAGCAATAATACAGTCTCACACATGATACACATATACACAAAAATTCCAGACCAGTTCAGAGGTTTATTTGTTTATTAACTGATATATTTACTCACATAAAAATAAATCCTTTTACTTGCATTCTCCTATTTGATTTTTATTGAGTTTATTCTAGATAAACACAGGACTGCTTTACAGATCTTTCCTTGAAAAAGAGTCAAGCACTGTGAAATATATGAAATTTATTCTGAGCCAAATATTAGTGACCAAGGCCTAAGCCACAGTCTCAAGAGATCCTGAAAAGATGTGTCCAAGATGATTGGGTATAGGTTGGTTTTATATGTTTTAGGAAGACATAAGACATCAATCAATACATGTATGGTATGCATTGGTTCAGTCTAGAAAGACAGGACAATTTAAAGCAGGGGCTTACAGGCCATAGGTGGATTCAAAGATTGTCTGAATGGCAATTTGTTGAAAGAGTTAGTTATTAGCTAAAACCGGGAATCAATACAAAGGAGTGTGTGGGTTAAGATAAGGGGTTGTGGAGACTGAGGTTCTTATTATGTAGAATAGGTGGTGAATGTTTCTTATCGGGCCTTAAAAGGTGCCAGACTTAGTTAAATCTCTCCAGGATCAAGAAAAGACTTGGAAGCAGGAGGAGATGCTCTACAGAATATAGGTTTTCCCTACAAGAGACAATTTTGCAGAGTCATTTTAAAATGTGTCAAAGGAATATTATTTTGGGGTAACATACTTGCATTTCTTTTAGGGTCTGCTGTCTGTCATGTGGTGTTATACCAGAGTCAGGTTGGAATTTGATATCTTACTGCTGTAGTCTGTTTTGTTAGGTTTAAGGTCTCTGTTTTATATTAATGCTGGTCAGTTGTTCCTGAATTCCAAAAGGAGGAGGGTATAATGAGGCACTTCTGACTCCCCCTTGCCATCATGGCCTCAACTGTTCTTTCAGATTGATGTTATAATCCTACTGGCCAAGAAAAAGGGGTCCATTCAGTCAGGTGAGTGGCTTAGAATTTTCTTTGTGGTTTACAGATCCCATTCTGAATTTTTTTCTTAGTTCTAGAAATAATATCACAAAAATATTCAGTACATAATATAGACAATAAAGATAATATAAAATAATGATCTCAATGACACAGAATATTAAACATTTTGAATGTAATGGCAATGCATGTATTCATGGCTGAAATTTACCTGCAAAGAAATAACACTTCACACTTCAAGATTAATTGCTGTTCATATACCATTTTTGTAAATATTGAAGAAAAATATTCATGAAGAATTGGTTATTTTAAAATGTGCAGTAATTTACTCTATAGAAATAAATTAGAATTCCCACTCCACTACATAAAAATGAAAGCTAAGTAATGAAGGTTAAGCAGTGACCAATATTAGTGAGATAATATTTGTTTGTTTTCTAATTCAACTTTCAACTTCCTAAAGATGCTCCAAAGGAAATAAAACTATGCAGTAAAGAAACTTCTTGAATATAAATGGAATTTTAAATTGACTGCTTGTCCATTTTGCTCTGTAAATGGACCATCCTGAAGGAAACTGGTTACTATAGGCAGTGAGAAGGAAGAACAGGACCAGTGCGCCCTAGGAAACCACCAGAAGGATCTTCACTTGCTAACTGCAGTATTTTCAGGACAAGAAAATTCTGTTTCTAAGGAAACAAGAGGGACCTTTGTGCCTTTTTTCAAGGTACATTCAAAATCTTTCTTAGGGAGTCTAGTAATGGGGCATTGCTACTGATTAAGCCTATTTGTTTAAGAAAGGAAACCTGATGATTATTTCCAGATAGTTAAGGGGAAAAAAAATACCAGTCACACACAAACTCTTCCAGCAAACAGAAAACAAGAGAAACATTCCAAATTGTTTCATGTGTCCATTTATAAATATCTCAATGCCAGTGTGAGACAAGAATACTGAAAAAGAAAAAAAATACAAATTAATCCTACACAACATAGATTTAAAATTTCTAAACAAAATATTAACAAAACAAATCCATCTGTCTGTCCTATCCATCTGACTTACCTAACTAAAGGAAATAGATATCAAAATAATGAGCTTTCAATAAATGCAATGCAGAAATATCAAGCCATGTAATTCACCATATTAAGAAAATGAACGAGAAACAAAAACATATGGTATTCATTTAAATGTTTATAAGTAACTGCAGGAGTATAATTTCCTATAATTTAATGCACATCTGAAACTGCTTGGAAAACTAGGAAGATTTATTTTAACCTCATAAAGTGTATTTATTTTAAAAAGGAAGATTAAAAACCAAAAATAACAAGAGTAAACACATATTCAGTAATGAATGGCTGAAGTGTTGAAATTGTTCCTCCTGAGATACAAAGTACAATAAGGATGCTCAATAAAACACACCATTTGAGGCTATACCGGCATTCTTATCAGCACAAAGGGCAAAGAAAAATGATAACTTGCTATTTGTAAATAACATAAGTTTATGAATAAAAAACCTGAAGACTCTGTACTTAAGCTCATAATTTAACAATTTAAGCAAGCTTGATGGATACAAAAATTTATATGCACACACACACGCGCATATTTATATATTTCCATATATAATATACAGAGCTATTTGTCATATTTTTATATACCTACCAAGATTTTAGAAATGTCATGTTAAAATTATGCTATGAAAATAGCATGCAAAGCATAAAATATCAAGCTAAAAATATGAATGATATACAAAACCTCTACACAGAATAAAAACAAAACATCATTGAGATTTACTAAAAGGAGAGCTAACTAAATGGAGACATATAGCAAATATAGTATATGAATGGGTTGGAAAAATCAATGTTAAAAGATTATGTTTTTAAATCTCTAGAGTCAATGCATCACAATCAAAACCACGTGTTTTATGAGGGAAAATTGACAATTTGATTCTTAAGCTTATGTATAAAATTACAATGGTATGGGGAAAACCTAGACAATCTTGACTTTAAAAAGGGCTGGAAAACTTACACTATTATGTGCTCATCTATTAAGAAGTTACATTAATTTAGATACTGCTTAAAGAAAATCAAATAAGGTTATTGAAACACCATAAGTGGTCCAGAAACAAACTTACAACTATTTCATCACTGTATTTATGAAATTGCAATGCTGCCATCCCATGTAGAAACAGTAGGCTGTATAATTAAAAATCCTGGAAAAATTTGGTATTCATATGGGAAACTTTGCCTTTATTTTATTCTGTGTGAAAATCGATTCCATATGAAGTATAGATACATATTTCAAATGCAAAATAATACATATTCCGGGTGAAAACATTAAAGAGTATCTTCACAGTCTTTAGCTAGCAAAATATTTATTCAAAGATTACAAAAAATATTAACTATAGAAAAGGTTAAATGGTGAGGGTCCATCTAGTAAACTACTTAAGACCAGTATTCCCAGAGGAGGTTTTTTACTTCATTGTCACATAGTCAAACCAGGCTGTCTCCCAGTTATGCGAGATAAAACCATGAATAAACAAACTTGTCTTAGGAATTACCAAGGGAGTTTTAAACTTGAGGCAACATGTCGTCATCTCCACTAGTCTTATCAGAAACAATGATTTGATGGAGAAAAGAAATGTAGATGGACCCATTAGATTATTGGCGCAAGATAATGAATGACATTTATCTCTTTCTATTTATGGCTACTTCTTCACAACCTGGACCTCTAAATGTTGAGTTTATCAGATGCTGTTCCAAAATGTACATTTGGTGGATACTTTCTTTAGTGGGTTGAATAGTGGTCCCCAAAAGAAATATCCACGTCCTAATCGCCAAATTCTATGAGTGTTATTTTACTTAGTAAAAGGGTCTTTGTATACATAATTAAGGATCCTGAGATAAAATATTTCTGAATGAGCCCTAAATCAAATAAATGGTGCCCTATTAAGAGACAAAAGAGGAGAAGACACAGACAGAAGAGAGGGCTGTGTGCAGACAGATGCAGGGATTGTGTTGATGCAGCCACAAATCAAGGCATGCTGACAGCCACTTGAAGCTGGAAGATGCGAGAAATGGAATCTCCCTTCACACCTCTAGTAGTAGTGTGGGCCAGATGGCACCTTAATTTCTGACTTGTGGCCTCCAGAACTGTGAGAAAATAATTTCTGTTTTAGCCACCCAGTTTTCGATGATTTATTATGTCAGCCATAGGAAACTAATACACTCTCTTTAATTTTTTATTACCATGAAAGGAAAAATTAATTTTTCACAACTTAAATATAAATAAAGTTATTTAGAATTTAGTTAACCAAAGTACTTTAATTTCTTATGGCATTTTAAAAATTAACATAATACAGTTATGCCTTATTTAGCCCTTTGGAAAAGATTACATTTTTGTTCCCTTATTCTTCTTATCTAATTTTAAAAGGTTTAAACAGCTGGTAATTTCTGAAAGAAAATTGACTTTAAAAACATGAATTCATCTAGTCAGGTATAACAAAATAGGTGCAACAAATGCAAGAGAAAGGTAACATCTATTGCAACTTTTATCCCAAATGAATGTTGTTGAAACATAATTTGTGTATATTTTCACCATGACGATGAATTGTTATAGAACTATCTAGAGTATTAAATAAGTCCATCATTCATTTGTTCACTAAATCATTGTTTATATGCCAAAAAAAAGGATGAGAAGTAACCAAAACAAATGGCAGCTATATTGGCTTCTTTGCTTAGAATAAATTATATACAGGAAAAAACACTTATTGTTTATCCTGAAATTTGGACCAACAAGATGGGCACATATGTAAAGTACTTTAGGTGAGGTCATTTAAAATTGTAGAATAGAAAAAATTATGCCTTGAAAAGCTGGGAACTATACTTATATTTTCTCAGTTACACAGTTGTGATTCTACATTACTTATCTTTCATCCTATATTGTGTTAGCTATGAATTATAAAATAATTATTTTAAATTAAGTTCTTAAAAAAGAGATATTGTGATGGCCAGGGATAACTGTACGTCCAATAAAGGATTACAGTGTGAATTTGAACTTCTTATTCACTTATTAGTCAATACGTAAATATTGACTGTAAGGGCTTTTTAAAAATTCTACCTAGGTTTTGGATTCCTTCTTTATCTTTGGCGATAATACAACCTCCAACTTGCCTTAGAAACTTCCTCCTAGATTTTTCCTTCAGGTCAGGGAAAAATATGCCAAAGATGGCTTAAACTGTACCATTACTTATGCAAGTCAAGTTTTTTATTTAATAAGAATATGTAAAATTAAAATATTAATTAGAAAGTGAGGAAAGATCTGTCAGAACATTTAAGCAGTGTGTTCCATAAACAGCAGTGTGCTTCTCCTGCCCCATGTGTAATCTGGTAACATGGTGTCTCCTTTTAGCTTATGACTCAAATATACCCTTTGGCTTTGCAATTCTTTCCTCAGCAACTGGCCTGTGAATAGTCAATCTGAGTAATGATGTGGATAAGAAGTACTCTTAAGTTGGTATATTTAGTTTCCTCATAAGGAGTTTTAATACCACTTCATAATGGTAATAGCAGTAATAATTGCTTCATTCTGAAGAGATTGTATTGCCTTGGAAATGTTTTATGTATTAGGAAAATACCTGTTTCCTAGAGGACAGAGAGGAAGTATGACATCCTTGGTTTGTTTGCATGTGAAGTTATGAGAAAATCTGAAGACTGTTAGGGTAATTACCATAATTCTGTATTGCTAACAATATTTTACAAGAAAAATAATATGAGTTGTCCTGTGTTTGACACAAATACAAGATTAATGCCATTAGTTATTGGGGATTTTCAAAAGTATATCAGTAAAGCCTAAAACCATATTCTAAGCATGTTAAAAGGTATGATTTAAAAGTAAACATATTATGTGTTTTATAACATCAAATAATATTCTTCAATTATTTTGTCATTCAGTTATATTTATGGAACTAAACGGACAATCTACTATAGTATGTTCTTTAACAAAATACGATTAAGCAGTACATGATGGTAAGCTAGCCACGAAAGGGTTTATTAACTTTTTCAGGAACTTGCAACACTATTGGGTGGCTATCAGGCACTGCAGTGATGTGAATAATAATTAACAACAAAAGGACATGATAAATCTTACATAAGAATTACTTATGATTCAAATACACTCTTAACATTCAATTTTTACTGTAGTAAATGGTACTCTGTACTTTCAAAAGGCAATGAAATTAAACAAATTTGCTCTCAAGTGTGTAGAGTGGCATACAATTTTAATCGCTTCTTGCACATCAAGAGTTACATGTTCAGGGAACATGTATCAGCCTCTTCTGGCTACCTCTCAGACTTACCTGGTGTCCTGACACTGATATAATCCAAAATTTAAAAAAATTAATAGAATGTGATGGAGGAGGGCTTTTTTATCTAAAGATACTATGATGGCTTATGGCTTTGAGTACCATATTTAATTTGGGAGTACTGATTAATGTACCTCCAGTTTATTAAGAATTGAAGACTGTTTTTCTCTTCTGCAATGGTAACATTGATTACTACTCTTCTTGTTCTTAGGTAAATACATTGCACACATCTTTACAATGATTTTATGACAGCAGTGATCAATCTCTGAAATGCCAGTTTGAAAATTAGGAAACAATATTTCAAAACTATATTTTTCAAGAAAAAAGTGATAGTGAGAAATCAGATTATTTTAACCTTACCTGTTAATTCTATAACAATAGTTTTCAATTCTGGCTGTGCATTAAATTTAACCTTTACTCTTTACAGGATCTGGGATTTTAAAAAATTATAGATGTCTGCTTTTAAGATTTATAAACATGACACTTCTACATTAATCTTTTGCAGGACGTTTTCAATCCACATTTAGTCTCTAAATTTCATAGATATGTTAATTCAGTTGTAGCTTATTTTCTTCCTTGAAGTGTATTTTTTGTATATAAATATAGCATAGTATAACTATCCATTCTCTGTTGAATGGAGTTTTGAACTGATCTCAGTGCCAGCATCTTACCATTATAATGTTTCTGTGGACATCTTTGTACATGTCCCTGATATGTACACCTGGAGACTGGATTACTGAGACATAGTTTGTGCATGTTTAACCACAGAAGATACTGCCAGATTATATTTTAGAAGATGCTACTGCAGTTTACCTTCCTATAGCAATTGTGCCTGATGCTCTGATTCTTTAATGAAACGTGAACTGGTAAGACCTCTTATTTACTTTTGCAATTATAGTGGGTATAATAACTTTATAATGTTAATTTATAATTTTCTGGTGAATATAAAATTATGCTTATTCTTATTTATTATGGACATATATTCTTACTGCATTTAGTAATGTTTTATTTTTAATTGTGAGTTCAAGAGCATTTGTTTAGTTACTATGCTGTATAGACATTATGTTGTCTACAAACTGCTTCTTAATATTTCAATATTGAGAGTAAAAATTATATATTGTTTTATTTAATTGAATTTTGAGGTATAAAAATGATTGATTGGCTTGTTTGTCTTGAAGATTGACTTGCTTTTTATTCAATGTCACAATCTCTACAATTTACTTAGAGTGTTAATGAATAATTGGACCATTTGCCATTAATATAATTTTGGGTATTATAGGATTTAAGCCTACTATATTACTATTACTTTATGCCTTCTTTTAATACCATCTATTATTCTTTTTCCTTCTTTTTTGAATAAGTAAATTATTTTTATCAATCAACTTTATTTTATAGTCAATTAGATTTAAAATGAATTTTAACTTACATTAATGAAAATCACCTTTGATACATTATTTTACTTCACATATAAGAAACTTAGAGCAGCATCATTCTATGTATCTCCCTTTATTTGTATTAATGTCATTATTTATTTGCTTTTTATTACACGTTAGAACTCTCATGATATAAAATTAGTATTTTTAATAGTCAATTTGGTTTTAGTACATTTAAATTATTTTACTACATATTTATAATTTCTACAATTTTTCATCCCTTCATGTGTGCTACTTTCCATCTGCAACTCTGTTGATTGTCTTTACTGTACACTCAGTTTAAAATTTATTCTTTTCTGGAAATAGAATTCTAGCTTGAAAGCCCTCTTCTCCCCCAACAACCCTAAACATATTGAAGATGTTATTTTATTGGTTTCATGTGCATGTAATTTCAGAAAAGACTGCTATTTTGCACATCTGTGTTACACTTCGTTGTACTTTAAAGATTTTCTTTTTGTCACATGTTTGCACCAATTTGATTATGACAGGATATAGTTTGGTTTTCTTTTGTCTAAGTTATATGATATTCCTGAATTTGTAGTATTTGAAATTTTAATCAAATTTGGAAAACTTTTTGTGTTTATTTTTTCATACATATTTCTGTATCTCTTCCTTTCCAGTTATACTTAATATTAAACTCTAGTTACACATAGTATTAGACAATTTGTAATTGTTTTACAGGCAGTGAGTCTCTGTTGTTATTGTTTTCTCTCTCTCTGTATTATTCAGGGTTCTCCAGACAGACAGAACTAACAGGATGGTTGGATAGAAAGATAGATGATAGATAGATAGATAGATAGATAGATAGATAGATTTATGAAAGGGAATTTATTAAAGGGTTTGGCTGATATAACTATGGAGATTGAGAAGTTCCATGACAGGGTGTCTGCAAGTTGGAGCCATTGGAATACTGGTAGCATGGCTCAGTTGAAGCCCAAAGACGTCAGAATTAGGAAAGCCAAAGATGTGACTCTCAGTTCAAGGGCATAGACCTGAGAACCTGTGGGGCACTGTTGTAAGTCCTGGGGTCCATTGGCCAAGGAGCATAGAGTTGTTGTCCAAGGACTGGAAAGAAAGATTATATTCCACTGCTGGTACCAATTTTTGTCTTAGTTTATATTCTGTTGCTTATAACAGAATACCTAACACAGTGCTGTGTGTATGTATGTGTGTGTGTGTGTGTGTGTGTGTGTATATATATATATATATATATATGTATATATATATATATATATGTAAAGAGGTTTAGTTAGCTCATGCTTATTAAGGCTGAGAAGTTCAAGGGCATGGCTCTGGCTTCTGATGAGGGCTTTCGTACTATGTTATAACATGATAGAGAAGGTCAAAGTGGAAGTGGACTCATGCAAAAAAATAAATTCCTGATGATTGTCCATATCCAAACTATAGTACTATTTGTACTTTCATTTGAAGAAATTCTCTTATGTATTCATTTTAATATTTGCTACTATAGTGCATAAGCTACTGCATATCCCATCCAGTAAAATTTTCATTTGGTATATTTTATATATAGGTTCTAGAAATTCCATTTAGTTCTACGTCCTTGCTTTTTGTGAGCTTTTGAAATTGCTCATCCTAAAATTCTGCAGTATTTTTAAGCTCTGTATTGTAAAGTCTCATCATAAGCATGACTGATTTAATACTCAGCCAATACTCAAAGCAATTGTGATATAGATTTTTTGTGGATTTCTTCTCCATAACTTTCTCTTCTCCTAAAACATGTCTCAAAACTATCAGCTTCCTCAGCTTTGACAATCTCAAACTCCATTTCCCCAAATCATCCTGACGACCAGAATTTTTAATATGTTTACTCCCTGTACTCATAGTCATATAAATACATTCATCCAGAATTCCGAAGTAATTGTGGGACTTACCTCATTTTTTTTTTCATGTCAAATAAGGATCACAGTTTTTGACTACGCTTAGACCATTATTTAAAACTGTTGTTTCCTTTCTCCCAGTTTTATGGTTGTTTACAGTTTGAAGATTCATTTCTGTTTCTTCTTCATGGCCAGTCATAGAAATCTGTGTATATTTGCTTTAACTTTCACCCTCAAGTAGGTCATTAGAATTATACATCTCATTAATATGCACAATGGGGCAGGGGCTTACTAGTCTTAAAAACTTCTAATCATGAGACCAAATATCAGATCTAAGTACCACAACAACACTGCTACAAAACAGTTATTTGTTAGCATAGAGGCTATTAATTTTATGCTTGTTTTTTAATGATTAGTGTTCTTACTGTGTGTATTTTAAAGATCCATGTATCCTTGCATGAAATGGATTCAAGTGCCTGGTAGGCCACTAGATTAACACTTTTGAGTGGCATTTTATGTTTAGTCCTTGTCTTGGCCTTATGTTCTCTTACAGAACACAAAATAAAAGATTTTATAGTACTCTCAGAATATGTTTTGTCATTTATGCTACTGATACGTTGTTTCTAATTCTAATGTACCTCTTGCAGAGTGCGTAACTGGCACCATGGATAGTGTGTCATTGACTAGAGTGTAGACTGGTTTGATGATTGCCAATAAGTGGCTGGTTGTGTCATAAAATCACAAATTAAACACAATTAATTGCAAAAACATTGTAGTAACCAAGAAACTACAACATACTGTCACCTCTAAAAGTTGTTCCTTGTTACAAGAGCCTGACAAGTATAAATGGCCAAATTGTTTAAACAACAACTTTATAGTTAGATAGACATACATTGATATATCTTTATATTTTTATATATGTACATAAAGACAGAGATATATAGGTATATTGATATATCTATCCATCTAGGGTGTATATGTATATTCATAATAAAATTATAATGCCCATATCCCAATACTAGAATTCTCAATATTCTGGAGTGGCATACACGTTTGTATTTTTTAAAATATCCACAAGTTATTCTGTTACAGTCAAGTCTAAAGATAATAGAACATTTTCAAGAGACCTAACAGTTGATATAATTTGACTCCTTTTTTAACATAAGAAAGATGAATTAGAGGATTTTTTTAAGTCACTCAGCCAGATAGTGTGAAATTTGGTTTCTAAGAGCTTTCAGTTCATTTCATTTTTTCTTACACCATGCAAATCACATCCTTTTAATTTATAGATTTATTAATGAATAAATTGATTAGATACAATGTTTTATGTTATAATGTGTTTCTGCATGCATTTAGTTTCCCCTTTTAATCCAGTATTAGTATTGTCATCAGTTGTTATTTTATCTGCTGAGTAACAGCAAGAACAAAGAAGAAATACCTTAGGTGTTAAGTGCCATTTTTAAAGACACAATTTCAGTTACATTATGCTACTTATCCTCAATTTAAATAATAAGGGTACATGAATTTATATTGTGACTCATTGTCATGCAAATGTATGAAGAGTTCATAAATTTAAATGTTTTTCAGACAACTGTTTGACCTGTTGTGGAAAGTTTTTCCTCAGGGGGAACTCATCTACTTCACATTTGATAACATGACACTTTCTGCATCTCATTGTCATATTTTAGAAAAAAAAAAAATAGCATACCATCCTTGTGAGAACAGAATGCAACCAACTGGTAATACTTTAATTCTAGTTTGAAAAATGAGTTGAGCTGGGCATGTCATTCAAAGCTCTAGCTCCCTGAAATGTGATTTTAGAAAATAAATTTGCTGAACAGTAACAATGATTGGCATGAATTCCAACAAAAATGGACACCAGGAAAGCTTAGTGTTTTGTTTGGCTTTGTTGTAACATGTTATTCAGATATTTGAAAATTCATTTACTGTTTACTTATGAATTTTAAATCAATGAAAAGAACATCTTAATATATGCACTTCATATAAAGTCCTGAAAATATGAATATTCAGAAGATATTGACAAGCAGATGGTCATTCTGTGTATTTTAGTCAACTTTCTGGACTGAGGCTTTTGCTTCAAGGTTCAGAGAAAAGTTTTATTTTAGTTAGTTTGAATATACAAATAACAGAAAGAATGTTGATGGAAATTCAGAGAAACATAAGACCATAAATCCTAAGTATTGTATTATTAAAAGTCTAGATGACTAGTTTAATGTGAATAACTAAATACTTTTGACAATTTTTAGGATGCAAAGTCTAAGTAGAACTGAGAAAACTTAATTTGGTACCACCTTAACATGAGAAACAATGTGCTCTATACTTTTTAAACAATCTTTTAAAAAACATTGGATTATAATACACATGCAGAAGAAACACAAATCATGACTGCACAACTTGGTACATTCTGTAAACTGAATATGTTCATACAACCAGCAATAGATTAAGAAACAGAATATTACCTATAACCCAGAAGCCTCATATTCCCTTCCAGTCAAAATCAAATTTCCAGAATGACTTCTAACAACCCGTATTAGTTTTGCCTTCTAGTACTTTATATCTGACTAGATCAGAAAAGATGTCTTCAGTAACTTACGAACATCACAACGTTTGTGAGACTCTGCCATATTTTGGAACATCGTAGTATTTGTTTGCCTCAGCTTTCTTTCTTTTTAAAATAGACTAAACAGCATTAGTGAGAACATTTTAATTCTTGGAATTAAGACTCTATGTCTGAAGTGAACAATCTAAAGAAAAGGTGAATAAAAAAATCTTAGTGCTATTACTTAAGAAATGATACCTCAAGATACCTTAAAGATATATTAAGTGATATCTTTTTTTTTTTTGAGACGGAGTCTCGCTCTGTCGCCCAGGCTGGAGTGCAGTGGCGCGATCTCGGCTCACTGCAAGCTCCGCCTCCTGGGTTCACGCCATTCTCCTGCCTCAGCCTCCCAAGTAGCTGGGACTACAGGCGCCCGCCACCACGCCCGGCTAATTTTTTGTATTTTTAGTAGAGGCGGGGTTTCACTGTGTTAGCCAGGATGGTCTCGATCTCCTGACCTCATGATCCGCCCGCCTCTGCCTCCCAAAGTGCTGGGATTACAAGCGTGAGCCACCGCGCCCGGCCATATTAAGTGATATCTTAAGAAAAGATATGTAAGCCTTTGAAACAACAATTTAAAGACTGAATATAACATTGTGCTTCTTCAAAAGGTAGCCTTTCAGAGTATTAATTTGATATCAACTAAAGTAAATGTTCTGTTTAAAAATAATTTTCTATTAAAAAAGACAACATTTCCCGAAAAATAATGCGGTCCTTAATGTTTGAAATAAATGAAAATCAATGGTCTTCTTTTTATAAATATAGTTAAATGATGATTATTATAACTTAAATAATAAAAAAGCCAACACTGCTGTCAGTGTTTTGCTGAAAGCATCTAAGTTCATAACAAATAAATAGTTAATAAAAGTAATGCTTTATCCACAAATTAGAAATTATGGCCCTATTTTCCATGAACAGGTGTCCAGTGTGAATGAAATACCATGAACATTTGCTTTTTTGTTGATCTCACTGATTTCTGTTTTAATTTTGTTTCTCTAGTAGGAAAGAGCTTTTTATGATTACTGTTTCCATCACTGAGAGTAAAATAGAGGTGATTTTACTTGGCTGCATGAATCCCTACAGATAAACTCCCCAACCATGCATACTTACAAAGTATGACATAGTATTTATTACATAGTAATTATGACAGTATTATTATTACATGAAAAATGCAATACATTACCACTCTGTGCTTTACAATAGATTAACAAAAACATTTTGTTGGATATTCAGAAGACTATCCAATCTTGAACATCTTTATTTCGTTATTTTATTTATTTATTTATTTATTTTTTGAGATGGAGTTTCACTCTGTCTCCCAGGCTGAAGTGCATTGGTGCAATCTTGGCTCACTGCAACCTCTGCCTCCAGGATTCAAGTGATTCTCCTGCCTCAGCCTCATACCCAGATAATTTTTGTATTTTTAGTAGAGACGGGGTTTCACCATGTTGGCCAGGCTGGTCTCAGTCTCCTGACCTTGTGATCCACCCGCCTCAGCCTCCCAAAGTGCTGGGATTACAGTGCCATCATTTTTACTAAAACACAGTTTGTCTATTTCCATAGGATACTAGCCCGGGGTTTAAATAAATGTAGTATTTTACCCTACTAAAGATGGATGTTACCTTCAGGTTTTAGTCATAATGTTTGTTCTTGCTTTTAACCATCTCTACTGGAGGTAGAGTTGGTTACAGTTGCAGTGCCTACCTCCATGCCCTTCTGGCAATAGGTGTTTAAAATACATTTGTTCTGCTACTGAGAACATTTCTCTTGAATAGAAAACATTTTCACTTTCTAGATTAAGAAAAATATTTGGAAATTTTAAGTGATGTATTACCTAATTCACTCTGGACATTTAATTCTGTCAAAATCACCCATGGCTTTGTTAGTGTAAAAGTAAAAGAATTCCACAATTGGGAATCACTGTGGTTTCACACTACAGTTTTCACCAACGGTATTGCTGGATATTTTAGGATATTCTTAAGTTCTCTGTAGTTGCTTTTACCAAATAACTTTACTAGACATTTTTAACTTAAGACTTATCTGTCATTTTTTAAGAAGAAAACAAACCAATATTACATCCTTCATGAATATTACTTTTAATTTTATTGTAAATATATTAACAAATTAATAATTCACACCTATGATATTTAATAAACATGGCCTCATCCAATAGGAAATGAAGTTACTACAATGGAAGCCTTAACACCTGTGCTGAGTGAGGATTGCTCCTAGCAGATGAGCTCAGGACCAAGGGCTAGCTACCTTTGAGTTAGGCTGGTGGAGATTCTTCTGTATTCTTAGCTTTTGCAGTCCTTTCCTCATTGAATATGGTGCTTCCTAAGCTTTCAGTGGAATGCGAGTAGCAGAGACTACCATACTGTTATATAGAGACAACTTTTCTCCAAAGTACTATTCCTCAATTTCAACTCCCTAGACAACACTAATCTTTATATCTCCCTGAACTCCTGATCCCCCAGTTTTCTGCACTGTTGTCTGTTCTCTTCCTCTTTAGTGAATATATTCTAGCTTCTCTCACTTTTCAGGCCCCCATGGCTTCATTGCCTAATCAGCACAATTATTACAGAGATCACTGGAGTGGGGTCTTTGCAGAGAAGCATAGAGAAATTAATATTTCTTTCCTGAAGGGCGTGAGAAGCAAAAGTAATAAATGTCCATTAAAATATTAATTGTCCCAGCAGTTTGGGAAGCTGAAGTGGGCGGATCACAAGATCAGGAGTTTGAAACTAGACTGGCCAATATAGTGAAACCCCATCTCTACTAAAAAACAAAAATTTAGCCGGGCGTGGTGGCTGGCACCTGTAATCCCAGCTATTTGGGAGGCTGAGGCAGGAGGATCACTTGAACCTGGAGGTGGAGGTTGCAGTGAGCCAAGATCGCACCACTGAATTCAGCCCAGGTGACAGTGCGAGATTCTGTCTCAAAAAAAAATGTATATATATATATAAAATATATATATATAAATTGATATAATTGATCTCAATTGATATACTGAGATCAATATAAATTGATCTCAACTGCATTTTGTCCCCAGTAAATCTTTGCAGACCCCAGCAAAAAGGCAACAAAACACTTTGGTTCACAAACTCAACTGTCTCCACCTGATGAAGGAATATTACAGTCTTAATCATCAATGTGACTGTATTTGCATAAAGGGCCTTTAGGAAGCTAATTACTATTAAATGAGATCATAAGGGTGTTGGCCTAATCCAATAAAACTGGTGTCTATATAAGAAGTGATAACAAGACTGTAGACACAGAGGAAAGGCTGTACAAGGACACAGTGAAAAAGCTGCTGTCTGCAAGCCAGGAACAGAGGCCACACCTGGAAACCAATTTTTCCAGTACCTTGATTTTGAACTTCCAGCCTCCACAACTGTTAGAAAAATAAATTCGTGTTAGTTAAGCCACCCATTCTTTGATATTCTGTTATGGCAACTAGAGCAGACAAATACAGTATGGTTGCTTTGTGAATTAAATAAAATAATATACCTGAAACACAAGATATATACATAATAAAGAATCAATGCATGTCACTGATGATGGAGAGAATATTTTAGCTACATCATAAGCTCATTCCTCATACATTTTTCTTGATATGAATAAGACACCATCTTGATCTGGTTATTTCTTTGCAGGAATGTGTTTCATTATACATTTTGATATATTTACTTAAAATACTAATAACCAGAGTTCCTACTTGTTTCTCTTTTGATAACCTGCATTTTTCTAAAATATTATCAATTTCATTTGAATTGAAAATTATAGCCTGAAGTTTATCAAAATTATGTATTTTATTTTCTTTAAACATTCATAGGATTAGCAGTCATAATTTGTGTTTCCTTTTTTGCTCGATCAGTGTTGCTGTGATTTGCCAAATTTATTAGCTTTTAAGAAGAGGTAACTTGCTTTTATTTATTTTATTTTATTTAAGGTATCTTTGATATCTGTTTTCTTAATTCTTGATGTTATCTTTTTATTGTTAATTGTATACATATTTCTCTACTTTCATATTTATTTTGCTTTTTCTTTTCTAATTTTTTAATGTAAAAACTTAACTCACTATTTATCAGTCCTTTTTTTTAACTGATGTGAGCACTTAAAGTTATGAATTTCTCTCCAGGCAAAGTTTTGGCTGCATCTCATATGTTTTGATACATTGTAGCTGCATCGTCATTCGGTTAAATATATTTGTTAATTTTTATTGTGATTTGAATCTAAATCCTTTTAAGTGTAAAGAGTTAAAACTAGTCAATAAGAACATGTTATTCAGAATAAATACCATTATTACCTGATGAGGAATAGGTGTCATATGGAAATATTAGAAATGAGAAAATCCTCTGGTATCTTTAACTTACATCAAACATTTAATAACTTAATTTGAATTATCTTAAATAGACTTTTTAAATATTTCTATATTAGTCTGTTTGAAATTTTTTTTCTGATTGAAGTGACAGTGTTTCATAATCAAATAGTAACAAAACTGGTCTTTTCATCTTTCATTTTTTATTATTTAGATGAAATAAAATAAAAGGAAATAATTATAAAATAAAAATAGTTAAATAATATCAGATAGTATGTAATTCATTGACTGTATTGCTATATTTGCTATACCAATTATTTTTATTGATACAAAATATTTTACATATTTATGGGGTGCCTATAATTTTTTGTTACATGCATAGACTGTGTCGTAATCAAGTCAGGGTATTTGTGGTGTCCATTGCCTTAAGTATTTATCAATTCTATATATTGGGAACATTTCAAGTCCTCTCTTTTAGCTATTTTGAAATTTACAATAAAATATTGTTAAGTGTAGTCATTCTCCTTTGCTGTAAAACATTCAAACTTGTATCTCCTATTTAGCTGTATATTTATACCCCCTGACCAACCTCTCTTCATTTCCCCTCCCACCCACACACTCTTCCCAGCCTCTGGTATCTATTATTCTACGCTCTACTTCCATGAGATCAACTTGTTTAGCTTCCACATATGAGTGAGAGCATGCAATATTTGTCGTTCTGTGCCTGGATTATATCATGTAACATAATATCCTCCATCTTTCTTGCTGCAAATAATATGGTTGTATTTTTTTTGGTCAAATAGTATGCCATTGTGTGTATACACCACATTTTCTTTATTCATTCATCTGTTGATGGACAGACACTTAGGTTGATTCCATATGTTTGCTATTGTGAATAGTGCTGCAATAAACATGGGATTGCAGGTATTCCTTTGATATACTGATTTTTTTTCTTTTGATCAAATACACAGTACTGGAATTACTGGGTTATATGGTAGTTCTATTTTTTTAGTTTTTTGAGAAAGTTCCATAACTGCTTTCAATATTGGCTGTACTAACTTACATTCCCACCAACAGCATACCAGTTTCCTTTTCTCCACATCCTTGCCAGTATGTATTAGTCCATTTTCATACTGCTGTGAAGAAATACCCAAGACTGGGTAATTTATAAAGAAAAAGAGGTTTAGTGGGCTCACAGTTCTGCATGACCAGGGAGGCCTCATAATCATGGCGGAAGGTGAAGGAGGAGCAAAGGCACGTCTTGCATAGTGGCAGGCAAGAGAGCTTGTGCAAGGGAACTGCCCCTTATAAAACCATCGGATCTGATGAGACTCATTCACTGTCACAAGAACAGCACAGGAAAATCTGACCCTAATGATTCAATTACTTTCCACTGGGTCTCTCCCAGGATACTTGGGGATTTGGGGAGCTACAATTCAAGATGATATTTGGATGGAGACACAGACAAACCATATCACAGTGTCTCTTACTTTTTGTCTTTTTAATAGTAGTCATTAAAACTGGGGTAAGATAATATCTCAAATGAAATGTGTTTTTCATTAGCGTTTCCCTGATGAATAGTGATATTGAGTATTTTTTTCATATATGTGTTGGCCATTTGTATGTTTTCTTTTGAAAAATGTCTATTCAGGTCATTTGTTTAATAATTCAGGGATTATTTAGTTTTTTTATTTACTATTGAGTTATTTGAGTTTCTTGTATATTCTGGATATTAGTTCCTTGTCAGATAAACAGTTTGTAAATATCTCTCCCATTAAACAGGTTGTTCCTTCACTGTTGATTGTTTCCTTTGCTGTGCAGAAGCTTGTAGTATAACAGTCCCATTTGTCTATTTTTATTTTCATTGTCTATGCTTTTCAGGTCTTAGCCGTACAATCTTTTCCTAGACCAATGTCCTGAAGTGTTTTCCCTATGTTTTCTTCTAGCGGTTTTACAGTTTGGGGCCTCACATTTAAGTGTTTAGACCATCTTGAGTTAATTTTTGTATATGGTGAGAGATAAGGGTTCAGTTTTATTGTTAATTTTCTCAGTATTATTTATTGAAGAGGGTGTCCTTTCCCCAGTGTATGTTCTTGGGGCCTTTATAGAAAATGACTTGGCTGTATATATATATGGATTTATTTCTGGATTATCTTGTCTTTCTATTGGTCTGTGTGTCTGTTTTTATACCAATACCATGATGTTTCAGTTACTATAGCCTTGCAATATATTTTTTAACATAAGGTAGTGTGATATCTCCAGGTTTGTTCTTTTGCTCGTAATTGTTTTGGCTATTTGGACTCTTTCTTGGTTCCAGACAAATTTGGGGCTTGTTTTTTTTCTAATTGTGTGAAAAATGTCATGGGTAATTTGGTACAGATTGCATTGAATATGCAGATTGCATTTTAACAGTATTAATTATTCCAGTCCATGAACATGAACTGTGCTGTGATAAACTTTAATCTTAATTACATTTCATAAAAGTTTATTTTACTTAAAATTGGTGCTAATTTCACACTCCCTACAAAGCAAATATACAGTTGGCAAATAAAGTCAACCAATTATGAATTAATACCTAAAATGTAAGGATTTTATCAAAACACTGACTGAATTAGTCAGCTCCACTTACACTAAAAAAAAAAAAAAAAAATACAGACTTTAGTGTTTAAAATCATGGGCCTTGATACTTAAAGTTTGAATTCCAATCTCAGCCTTGCCAGTTAATAATTCTGCAATGCTAGGCATTTAAATAATATTCTGTAATTTTCTTATCCAAAAGAGGAGACACAATTTTTATATCTTATCTTATTATGAGGTTTAAAGTAATGTACATAAAAGCATCATAGTGTCTGACACAAGAGATACTTCAATATAAATTACTAAAACATGCCTAGTTATGTAAAATTTATTTTACATAATTAAGTACAGATTTATTTATTAGATGTTAATGTAGTTGAAATAAAGTAGAATATTATATTGTCTATTTTAGGGGTGGACAAAATTTATTTCAAATTTTTCTCAGTTATGTTAATCACTGATGCCGAAATTCAGGGTGTATACAGTGAATATGACACAGTTTAATCAGGAGATCTGGATTTAAATTATGGTTCTTTCACTTATTTATTGTATTATTGAATGAGGTTTTAGTCCACTGGATTTTGATCATGTATGAAATAGGGAATATGATATCTGCCTCATAGATAAGGTGGAAAATATAAAATGACATTCTTTAAAGAGAGAAAGAGAGAGTGTGCAATTTTCATATTTTAAATTTTCTGTGATCTTAAGGATCTAAGTGTTCAGATTCTCTGGATTGAATTTTCATGAGATGTTTTTATTAGAATACAAATGACCAAAGCAATATAAATCTTTCATTAAATTTTACAGATAATTATTAAATATTAGAAGCTGCATTTTTATTTAAAATCTATCTCCTGATTTGGACTAGGCTTCTTTGTCAAATAACCCATCTGTCTAAGGAACAGTTTTATTATTGCTAGAATGAGATGTGTTTGTTTCAGCATCAATTTTATTACTATTTTCTTTCATACTAATAAATATAAACATTGAGAAGATTTGTTCACAAAAAAATGAAAATAAATGGTAAAGTAAGAAAAAACTTGCCTAAATCCTTAGGCAAGAGAATAGATTTTTCCACTTTTGGCACTAGACCTGCAGGCTACTGAATATATTGTGACTGGCATGTGGACATTTGTTTATTGGTGACCTGTATATGACTCAGTTCTCATTGTCTCTGTCTCTTGCCTGGAATTACATGGACAACTTTATGCCCTTCTCTGTCCTTAGTTTGTGTTACTGTTAAAGCTATGAAGGCACGTTTCTTCAACTGAATTTAAAGGTGATAGTTAAGAAATGTGAAAGATTTTATTTCTATTTTCTTCCAAATATGTCATTACTTTGGCTCAGTCATTTTGAGACCAGACAAAATCAAGTTTCCAAGAATTAGTAAAATTCTTCCCAGTATCAACATTATTCATTACTTTAACAGTGTATTGAAGCTAACATTAGATTTTGTATGGATAGGAACAAAAATACATTTGATTTATATAAAAATTAGAAGTGTAAATATTTACAATTTTGACAGAAAAATCCCATGTTAATTATTACAATATATAGTTTGTTTGCATCTATCCAATAACCTTAAATATTTAGGGTTCTTAGTTCAATAGCTTTACTGATTGTAAAATTATAAAACATTGTTCCAAAAGTTGAAAAAAATAAAGTTTATCTGCTCTTCTTGTGCTTTAATAATTATTACAAAAATAATTAGCATTCATAATTCAATATAGTGCAAAATCAATCCCAGTTTTATTTATAATTTAAATTATAATAAATGTTAAAGCTTGAGGGAACTTAGAATTTATGAGGTCCAACAATTCCAGATAAGGTAAGAAAAGTGGTTAGTTTGAATGATTTGTTCAAGATCATTGCTATGCAGTAGTAGTGGCTGAATGATTTGTTCAAGATCATTGCTATGTAGTAGTAGTAGTAATAATAGAAAAAAAAAGTTTTGGCCTGGCACGGTGGCTCACACCTGTAATCCCAGCACTTTGGGAGGGCGAGGCAGGTGGATCACTAGGTCAGGAGATCGAGACCATCCTGGCCAACATGGTGAAACCCCATCTCTACTAAAAATACAAAAATTAGCTGGGTGTGGTGGCGTACACCTGTAATTTCAGCTACTCGAGAGGCTGAGACAGGAGAATAGCTTGAACCAGGGAGTTGGAGGTTGCAGTGAGCCCAAGTTGTGCCACTGAACTCCAGCCTGGAGACAGAGCAAGACTCTGTCTCAAAAAAAGAAAAGAAAAAAAAAGTTTAAAAGGTTTTGATTTATTTAGAAAAATAATGCAAGACCATTGAAATGATCAAAGTATACAATGCATGATGAGTTTGTGACAGAAGAACTGGGCAAAGTTTAGACCATAAAGACATTTGACTAAAAGGTTGTCATTTTAATAGATAAGGACACTATTGAAATTTTGAATCAGATAATTCCTTGTGATAGTATAATACTTCTATGCATTATGAGATATTTATTACCATTCTTGGCCTCCACTCACCAAGTGCCAGTAGCATTTCCACACATACTCCATTTGTGATTATCAGTAGTGTTTCACGATGTTGTCAAATATGGTGCAGGGACAAAATCAATCCTGATAGAGAACTACTGATTTACACACAAATAATGGCCCCTAATTTTTTTTAAAAAATATTATATGCTAAGATTTTTTTATTTTTTTTCCAATTGTATTTACAAAAGCATTAAAGAAGATTCTATGTTAGAATAGTATAGTCAGGGAGACTCACTAGAAAGTGATTTTAGAACTGAAGATGAGAGTTGATGAGAGTATGGTAAATCAGCTTAGAAGGATGCTGTAAAAGAGAACTAAATAAAATTGATATAATGAATATGATGTGAAAAATCATTTGTTATATTTTCTAATTTTAATCCCAATATGGTATTATTTTTACAAGTTTAGAAATGAGAATTCTAATGAGAAAAGTTAAGAAAATTGCCCAGCATAAACCAGCAGATTATAAAGATAAAATAAAAGGTAAAACTACCCTATCTAGGTTTTATAGATTTAAAAGTCTGTTATTTTATGTTGTAACACTGCTTCTGTAAAATGTTGTGTAGATAGTTATATTTATAGATCTAGACTAGTTATTCAGATTTGGTGAGTTTTCCTACAGTCTAGCATCTGACACTTTGTTTCCCCTAACTAAAAGTTCATACCTTAACTGCCTCACATATTTTTTGTGTGTACACATAGTTTTTCCTTTTATTCATCTTTACATCTTTTTAAAACAACTTTATCATTATTTTCTTCCTTAGTTTCCAACCTCTGTCAACCAAATTGCTTAATTCAGACTATAAAAACAGCAACGGGATAAAATATATTTTAAAAATCACTCAATTTTTTTAATGCACAGGGATTAATTAGGGCAAAGTTTGTGGGTTTATGTTATCAATATGATGACCACTGCCTCATGGTCTGTCTAAAAAAACACTGTGTTGTTTGGAAATTAGTTTAAGCACATAAATGTATTTTCATAATCATGGCTTAGAAAATATATATATTGGTGAGCAACTTTTGTTATAATTAACATATTCTTGGGCTAGAATGACCTAAATAAATAAGTATATTCTCAAATCGTTGTATGTTTAAGGGCCACATTTTGATGGCAGATAATATTGCTTTAGTGGTTCAATGATGTCCATCAAATATCTCATTGATTTCCTTTACTTTTCCACCATGGCTAGATGACTGATGAAGATCCAGGTATTTCATTAACAATCACGAGAAGAAGGCAAAAGAAAGAGTATAAATTATTTCAGTTACTTTCATGAGAAAAAGCAAAATTTTCATAGAAGCCTAAACCTCATCCAAGGGAATTTGAAAATATTTTCCTTTTACAGCTTCTGAAGTGAAGACATGTTTGGAAGCATAATTAGGGAATGAGTGTCTGTTAGCCAGACTCAAAAGCTGTTGATGTAGTTGTTTAGTGAGGCTGTTTGGTTTCATGGGGGGGTATATTTAAAATGCTAAAGATCTTAATATTGTCTATCTATTTGGTGACAAAGGTGATGCTGAATAAATAATTGGCATACATATGAACAAAGAACAATTTGGCTTTAATAGAACTTCCTAATCTTAAGCAAGTTCATCAATAAATATTATGTACACCTTAGATAATTTTATAGACATTAAACCAATAAGCATCTCTTATACTCCTTGTTTTATGTAAAGCTCCTTGATAGATCCAAAGTAAGGTTTTATTTCACAAATATTATGAAGTTCAACATCTGTTTTTATGACTTTTTGTTCAGCCTAAGAGGGTTCCCAAGAAGTCACATTGTGAAGTTAAACCCTATTTTCTTTTAGAAACTTGCGAACAATAAATCAGGGCATTAAATTTGGTATCTATAAGCATATCTTGACTGATGCCTGCTAGGAGACTAGTAATTTCCCACACTTTCAAAGCGATACTCTTTAAATATTTATTTAGTAGGAACAGTACTGGCACTTTCATAGATTGCTTGCTTGTTTCGATTTAGAGGTACTGTCAAAGGTGGAAGTGAGAAAATTTGGAATTTTTTTTGTCTGTTGTGTAAGCACATAGATCCCATAGAGTTTAAATGGCATTATATTTCTGATTTATTCCAGTAAGGTGTTTAATGCCTTTTAAAAATTGGCATCATAGAAACTGCTAAACTAGATAGCTTCTTTGTCCAATTTCATCTACGAAGTATTGATGGAGGATTTCATTCCTCAGTTCAGATTGTATGACTACTTTTAGTAAGCCATCTCACAATTATAGTCTATTAGTTATAAAACTAAAGATCAGAAGGTATTTGGTTTTTTAAAATGCTGTCGAATTGTGTACTGCTTATGGTCTTTGAATTATTAACTTCATCATCATCATATTCAAAAGATCCCAAGCTTTTCCCTTTCAGCCATTAAACATCTTATCTCTGTCTTTGACAGTTGGCCCATTGCTCAGATATGCTTTAGAAGTGTTCTTACTAAGCTGCTTCAGTTTTCCACATTTGGAAAAGAAAACCAGTTTCATACCAAGGGTGCTATGGATATTTGATTAAGAGTGAGTTTTTTCTAGCAAAAATTTTCTAAAGTTTCTGAAAGCCAATTATAAGAGGAAATATAGGTAAAATTGATTTAAACATTAATATGTATGAAATATATTGGCTTATCAATCTTTCATTTTTTCTGAATGTTTGTGTATTATCTTCTTTTATTCCCTACATATTGAATGCAAACTCCATGAGAGAAGTACTTTGCCATTGTTGCCATTTTTATTCTTCTACCTTCAGCAACTATAACATTGCCTGTCACATAGTAGATGCACAGTAAAATACTTATTAAAAGAAGTATGTGGATACATAAATTAATTTTTAAAAATATACTACATCTACCTATACAAATGGACGTATTGTACATATATAAAATTATAAGCACACTTGATATAATACTAAATATATTATTTTTAAACAAAAAAGTATACTCTGATAATTTTCAGATATGAATTTATTTCATAGAGATAGTACATTTTAAGGCATAATGAAACTGAACAGATTAGAAAATTAAAGTAGTTAAAAATGTTCTAAGGCATCATGTAACATTATATATATGAGGTATAAGATATTTTTTAAAGTAACACCAGAAGAGGTTTTAATGTGTATCTCTCGTGTTCAGGTGAGAAATTGGAGTCCAGAGAGGCGAGATAGTTTGCCTAAGTTTCTACATCTAGTCAAACTTACATGAGAATTGGTAGTTATTACAAGCAGGCAGTTAGTACAAATCAGAATTTAACATACAGACTAAGAGGCAAATACAAAGAACCAAGGTTAATTTTTTCTCAGACTTGAGGCCAAACTTCCACGTGGAGATGCAGTGAATAATATTGAGGTCATTGGTTGGGAGGGAAAGATGGAAATACACAGTATGGGGCAGAAACAGCACTGAGAGCAGAAAAAGATATAAAAGAAAAAATGTGTAAACAAATAGTCATGTGAAGGGAATGGTAGATGTCCACTAGGGCAAATACCATTAGTGTGTCATTGAGGCAAAAAATACTCATCTAAGCTAAGAGTAATTTAGGAAGAAATTAGAGGCTCTATAAAGAAGAGATATGCGAGACAATTATAGGGAACACTGAACCTTGGGTTGGAAAAGAAATGGTGAAGAGAATCTAACCATTGGTGATGGCCTGTGAATGTTTGCATTATACCTGGATTGTTGCAGGTTTATGTAGGGAAAAAGATGAAGATTTATAAGAATGGATGGATGACTACAGTTAAGAATGTACCTTAGGACTCTCGCTTACAGGTAATGTAAACTCAAATTAAATAAAGAAAAAATGCAAGCAAGCAATCTCTTGCTCAAATAACAGAACATTTCATTAGTAGAGCTGTTTCCAAGCATGAATGATTTTATGTGATTGAAGATTACATCAGAAATCTATTTGTCACTCAGTTCTGGTTTCCTCTGTATTGCTTTTATGTCTCTCTGCTCCTGGCAAAGAAAGGGTGATTTGATTCTATTGGTTTGGCAAACCTACCTGAAAAAGAGTGCTTAATATCCTGTAATTTTGACCCAAGTGTCTGGATTGAGTTCATCTGGTTTGGCATCTATCTCGTAATCGACATTAAATCATTCACTGTGGCCAGGAACAGCCAGGAAGTACATTCTCCCATCCACAATTTCAAAGACTGAGATTAGGAATAATTGTTTCCCAAAAGAAAATTCAAAGGAAATAGATGATAGAATAATAGATGCATACTGCAAGGTTTACTAGTTTAAGTAAATATATCTGTAAAACGTGAAAATTTTTAAATCACCATGGGTTAGAGTCTTTAGAATTGCTAAAGTAAAATATATTTTTGGTGCACATTTGCTTCCAGGGGCACTATTAGAGTAGAAGTACATTAATACCAATTATTCAATGATACTTGTTAAAGTCTGGTGAGGAAGACTTTATTCAGGACCATCAAGATAGGTATGGAACCACTGCAATGAGATTTTGCAGTGGGAGAGGGAAATTGGGCTCAACTCTGAATACGGTGATGGCAAGTACAAATTTATGGTTGAGGAACAGGGTGGGGTTCAATGAATGAAAAATCACTAAGAGGAAACATAAGGGGTAAGTTGAATTCTGAATAAACCTACCTAACAGGATTCTTGCCGAAGACAGGACAGGCTGATCAGACATCCAGTCGAGGATGGTAGAGCATAAGGAACCTGATCAGATATTAAGGGTGGTGAGATATCAAGCATACAGGATTTTTATTATACTTACTTAGGGTTTTTGCTGAAAATGGATTTTACAAGGAAGTGCACAGATGAACGTTGGAGAAGTTTTAGAACACTAAGTCAATTTTGGTCCAGCAGAGAATCTTTGTCATTTCGAGGTCCTTAGAATTGCATAAGGAAAATATTGTTTTCATGTAAGTTGGTGTCAGTGAGAACTATTAATGTCCAAGAATACCAATAGAGCAAACAAATTCAGATAAGAAAACATAATGGACAGTACCATGAGAGAACTTGGTAAGGTACAGATACAAAGGTGTGATTTTAGAGATAGAGCTAAGTAAGTGCAGAGGAAAAAAATAAAGCTGTAGAGATAGAAATTAAGACAATGTGTTCAGACCAGGCATGGTAGCTCATGCCTATAATCCTAGTGTTTTGGGAGGCCAAGGCAGGAGGATTGCTTGAAGCCAGGAGTTTGACATCAACCTTTCCAACTAGTGAGTCAGCCCTCTCTAACAAAAATCAAAAAAGGAAAAACAAAATAATTAGTCAGGCGTGGTGGCATGTGCCTATAGTCCCAGCTACTCAGGAGAGTGAGGCAGAAGGATCTCTTGAGCCCAGGAGTCCCAGGCTTCAGTGAACTATGATCACACTTTGTACTCCACACTCCAACCTGGGCAACAGAGTAAGTCCTCATCTCTAAAACAAAACAAAACAAAAACAGAAACAAAAAACAACAAAATGTTTTCAGAGGGAATAAAAATCTTTGAGATGTCTGCCTATCACAGTGCCTACTACCAGGTAGATTGCAAATATATATTAGTTTAATTTATTCACATAAGATAGAACATTATAAAATTCAATGAGGATTTTGTTGGCAAATAGGTACTTTGGAAAGATAATGGATGGTAGTGCATTCAAACAATAGTAGATCCTACTTCCAGAATATTGGACAGATGAGGAATGGAATTCTGCCCAAGCTTATGACTGCTGCTGGAGCTGAATGAAGAAAATATATATAAGGAAGATGGGCATAAAACCTACAGCAGTGTTTGTTTCTTTCAGAATGGGTCAAAGCTAAGGTTACTTTGTAGAAATGGATTTTCTGGAAAAATGGAAATAGGCAATTTCTCTTAATACTCTTATTGAAAAAATATCCTATTTTATTAGGGTAATGATAGGTGATAAAATAGGACTTTCTTCTTCTCCCATTTATTAGTGTCTATGAATGCCAAAACCCTAGTGATAATTGACATAAAAGGCTCATAAGCATCATTAAAATCTTTCTTACCAGGCAGTCATTTTAATTTTACAAAAGCAGCATTCCTGTTAAAATGGTATTACATTAAAATGAGTTTTATTGTACTATTTGAAAAAGAAGTATAAAGACCAATTTTTAAAGAACACGATCATGACGGTACAGAATGCAGTTTAGGATTTGGTGTATACTCTGAATAAATGTAGAAAATGAGAGTAACTAAATACTTTTGGTTTGGGAAACTGGTGATAATTTTTGTTATAATTTTTAATTTCCTAGAATCTCTATTCCTGAAGCTTTTGAATAGTTAGGATCACTTGAAAAGGAAAGGGTATGACTAAAATCTAAAATGTAGGTTAGGCTCTAAAATATCACAGAAAATGCTGAATTTGGCAAATACGCGTATTTTGTTCCTGGCAATGATAACATATAGTTTTATCATTCACTGCTTGATCCTCCAGTGGATAACTTAGCAAGTGCCCTTTCCAAATAGTTTATCCTAAGTACACATAATAATATCACTAATTAAAATGTCCTATTCATGTCTTCATTTTATTTCATAGCTCAGTTATTTTTCAAGCCAGGTAGACTAATGTATGCCTATTACTAGCTTAAATTTTGAATCACATCCAAAAATAATTCATAATAATTCTATGCCATTTCCCGCTTTGAACTAACTCCATATGCTGAAGACTTTAAAATGCTCTCCTACTCTGCTTCTTTTATGTTACAAATTTTGTGACTTTGCCAAATATAGTCTCAGATGCTTAGATCTTATCTGACAGCTTTTATTTATGTGTAGTTAGATTATAAAAGATCTTCTATTCCATATTTCTTTAGTTGTATGTATTATGAGGCTAATTTATGGATATTTTATTCAATCGTTTGAATTTTATTTAAGTTAGTTTAATCTGCTAATAACTATGACTGAAAAAATATGGCAAGACTTTATGGTACTGAGATCACAGAATCTAATCTATGAGGCTGGAAGAGGAGGGAGGACATGAGTACTGTCAAGAAACAAAGAAAATCCAATATAAACCAGTCAGACTTTCTTTGCCCTCAACATGTACCTTACTGATAGATTTAAGCCTTTGATGTATGTCAATATGTTATTAATTTTATATAAATTTATATTATTCTAATAACTTGTTTAAAATTAAATTTTTAAGAACTTAAGATATTTCAGTATAACATTTTTAGAAATACTTTGCCAAGTATAGGATTCGGGAAATATTGAGTCATACTTACATGAGGGGTCTGATTTCAGTGGACTTTAGGAGCAATGATACTAAGATGAGGAAGGTGTGTGATGCTCTTTAGATTGCCAAGCTATTTTACATGACTTAATTCACTTCAGATTCACAAGACAAGTTTGCATGACCTTGGCAAAGCCACTAAACTTTCAAGGTTGTCTGTGTGTGTGTGTGTGTGTGTGTGTGTGTGTGTGTGTTTAATTAATGAGGGTTATGGAATAGAAGATATGGTACCCCTCTTTTCAATTGTAGCCCAAATACCAATGGAAGATTGAATACCCCTAACTGAAGCTGTGGACCTGATTGGTGTAATGGTAATTCTGTCTTTCTTGACATTGATTCTTGCAGGAATTTAGGCATAGTCAGTAAGTATAGGACATCCCCAGCACCATATACCAGTTCAAGGATGGGCATGAAATAGAGTTCTGCTGGTGAGCCTAGAGAAGTTTGCTAAGTGCCTCTGGATGATTTTATATACATGTATGTGTATATATATATATATTTTTTTTTTTTTTTTTTTTTTTTTTTTTTTTTGAGACAGAGTCTCGCTCTGTTGCCCAGGCTAGAGTGCAGTGGCATAATCTCAGCTCACTGCAAGCTCCGCTTCCCAGGTTCACGCCATTCTCCTGCCTCAGCCTCCCGAGTAGCGGGGACTACAGGCGCCCGCCACCAAGCCTGGCTAATTTTTTTTGTATTTTTAGTAGAGACGGGGTTTCACCATGTTAGCCAGGATAGTCTCGATCTCCTGACCTCGTGATCTGCTCGCCTTGGCCTCCCAAAGTGCTGGGATTATAGGCGTGAGCCACTGCACCCGGCCAAAAATGATATTATTTTTATACTCTTTCTCTAAACATACAATGGTTTTTAATGGGTGTTTATTTATCCCCTGGCATACTATCTTATTGTTTACTGGAAAGTAAGATTATTTTCATATAAAATGTAACATATGAAAGAATAAAAGTCTTGAACTTCAAGATTAGCCATCCAGTTATATTTTCTGTATGTATTTTAATTTCCTACTAGCTGAATAAAATGTTATCACACACTGTCCTCTTCCCCTTGAATCTGTCTTTGTGTCATCTTTAGGATTTAATCAAATAGTTCCAAAGGAAAATAAAATTTAGAGCATTTCTGAATAGTGAATAATCCACTTTTGGAGTGTTGCTGCATATTCACAATTATAAAATTGAAATGTATACCAAGTGCTCTTAATTCTACTCATGGAATGAATGCAAGCCACATGTCCCATTTAAGCAAAATTTCCTTTTTTAATAAAGAAATTGTCCTCATAAAGTTACACAAATAGCAAGAATTAAAGCTAAATGAAATTTTATTATGAACGTTTATTGCAGGTTTTTGTTTTTGTTTTCAAATTAAAATAAACTGATTAAAAAGGTTTTACCTATATAGCAACCTTATAGTTATATTCTGAGTACATTCCCAACATATTTTAAAATAAATGTAACAATATTAGCTTTCCCCAATGAAGAACAACTCAGGTATGTCTTTATATATAGGCTTACATCAAGATAAAAGTTCATAAAAATGATAACTAAAATGGGTTAAAAATAGTCTCAATAATGTACCTAATGATTTGTCCAGCTTTTCTCATCTGATATTTGGTATTGCTAACAGTATAAAACTAATTTCCTCAAATCTAAATATATTTTAATTAAAAATCATTAGGCAACATCAGATAGCATATATACCGACTTTATCTGACTCTATTTCATATCTTTTTTCATTTGTGGTATAGAGGAAATTACAGGCCTATGACAGAAACATATCAGATACAGCAGTCAAGTTTTTGAAATATCCCCAGAAATAGAAAAGTCACCATTTTCAAACACTTTTACAATTGACAACTACTCAATAAGGCTGTCTTCTTCAAAATGTACATGTCACCCCAGCAGTTGGTGGGCAATGCCATGCTTTTTAATCATTCCTGGAAGTGCCTGAACACTTATGGGAATGATAGTGCTGTGTCATTCCAAATTGATTGAATCTGTGACATGTTCCTGGAAGTCACTTTATGGTACACTATTATACAAGAGATAAAGGGAAATTACTGCAGGAGAGGAAAAAAAAATAAAAGCTCACCGTACTGGGCAACAGTGATCATTTCAAATATTATAAAGGGTGTCATTTATTTCTGCCTCAGTGTAACCTCCCTTCTTTGTATCAATGTTATTAAGGTATATCCATTTCTATGAAGTGCCTATCTTCTAAGAAATGCATCTTAGATACAATATCAAAGAAATAGGAATTGTGAGCCTGAAACCTAGAAATCATGTCTGAAGCCTTTAGTAAACATTATCACACACACCACACTTTCATATACCCAGATGTGTGTCCATACCCACATATCGACTCAAAAAAATGAATTGGTTTTTAATAGTTGGAGAAAAACTGACTGCTCCACTATATGTTCTGCTCTGAATAATGACAGTTGTCTGAATTATTTCCAGCTATCTAATATTGGTCTCTTCTAAACACTTTAGGTAATAGCACTATTTTAACATTTGTTGGCAACTTATTTTTTAAAAGGAAAGAAAATGTTAACATGAATTTGGGAAAGTCAAGTGCTGAGATGACATAATTATACTCACTACTTCAAATGTGCCATAATGATTTCATAGATGATCCCATGGCGACACACACAAAACCAGTTTTAATGGTTTGAGGATAAACTATGTATAGAACACTTGTTTAAAAATTTCTTATGCAATATTACTTTTTCACATTTTCACTTCCTGATGTTATATTTGTATTGTATTACTTCTTAGTCCTAATGCATATTTCTAAAAAGGGGAAATTTATTCATAGCAAACTGTAACCTTTCTTGGTTTGAAATATATACCATAGTAGCCATGCTATGAGTCTTTTCAGCTCTCCATTGCTTTAGTAATTTCCTGTTGCTGGAAAAGGTTTCCCAGTGTTTTTTTTTTTTTTTTCCTAATAAACAGAATTGTTTGTTTTACACTCAGTTAACTTCCCAAAAGGATTTGAAGCATGTTTCTTATCAAGTCGAAACTTTGCACTCCTTTCCCCAACATTTTTTTCAACACTATCCCAAAATTCTGAGGACAATGGTTCCAAGAAGTTTCCATTAGAACCTGTCATCTCCTTTTTTTTAGTGGTCAGCAAGACTCATTTCATCATGGCTAATATTTCTGGCATCAGCAGAAATCTAATTTGGTCCTGTCACTCCCCAACAATTGTATTCTAATCTTCACCTGATTTTGTGTATCACCAAATCTGACTCATATCACATCTCATTCCTAATCCACAAATCTTTTCATTGTGTCCTTGGAACTCATAACTGTCATCATGATATATCACACTCGACATCCTCAAACTTTTCTCAGAAAAAATATTCAGCTTCTGCCTCTCTTTTGATCTTGGCTGTCTTCTGAGGTAGCTGCTTTCATTACAGTCCTTGTAGATGGCTTCTTATTTCCATTTAGAATAGATGATTCTTTTTTACTCTTAATTGATAAATTTGGATGACCATAAATCTAACCAATAGGACAATGCCCAATAGTGTATTGTCTGTCGGCTCCACATCCACCCCTCCCCAACCAGCCCCATCAAAGTTCATGTTATCAGACTGTAACTTTACTGCCATTCCTTGTGCAGTCTTCCTAATCACTCTTTCTCATTCAGGGATGATTTTAATATCTGGCTTACTGATGTTCACTCTATGACTGTCCTGGCCATCATTCTTCAAAATTACATTATTTATTGGAGTGATCCATCCAGAATACTGGACACTCAGTTTCTTAATTTTATTGATTTTTCCTCCACCTTATACTACTAAGACAATAGCCTAAAAATTTTAATAAATGCAGCACACCCCAAATCTCAATTTCAGTTTCAAACACCTTACCCTTAGAGTACTATCTGTGGTATTTAAAACGTACTATTTCTAGATCTAAGTTAATTAATAATTTCATTCGCCTAGGTGACTATTTCACAAATTGTTTCTTAGCTCCACAAACTTCAAAAACTCAACTTCTTCTCAAGTGATAACCTTCCTATGTCAACGCCTTTTAGCCAGAAATCACTAGGGATAAGTGGTATTTTTGTGGTTTGCACGGTGATCTAAATATAGTCTGTGCTTATAGAAGATCATGATGTGATATTTTGTTTGTTTGTATGTCTTAGTCTCACTTCATCACAGTCCCAGGGTGATTTTTTTTTTTTTTTTTTTTTTTTGAGATTCTTTATGTTCAGTAAGGGAACATAAAGTCCTAGCTGTGAATGCCAGGACTGCTCCTAACAACACTGAGAACTAGCTGTTCCTCTGCTGCTTCTCAATCTCAGAGAATTATTTTGTCTTTCACACTTCTCCTTTAACTAAGAACAAAGTATTAATCAGAAGGTAACTTTTATATCTCCCCAGTACCAAATATACCTATGAAACACTGGAATCCATATACTATCAGCCAGTTTTGATACATAGATCAACTGCCACTATTTCTATATAGACAAACTCTTTTCCCTGTGTATTGGATTCCAGTCTATATCACTAAATCAAGTACTTACCTTCTGCAATTTTCTTCTCTCTCTTCTACATTACTTTTTCTGTGTACTGTTCCATCTGCATCAGCACAAAATATTCTGTATTATTTCCCATCTTAGAAAGATTAAACATTTTTCTTCAATGTTTTATCCTATTTCAGCTTCTAAAACCTCCTCTCATTTCCAACAAAATTACTTTATACAGTATATATTCAGTCATCATTTAATATTCTTCTGTTACTCCTGAATCTCCTCTAATTGTCCCCAGAATTCCACTGAAGCAGCTACCACTAAGATCACTAATGACCTCCAACTTCTCAAAGGAATTGGTTAGTTCTCAGCCCTCATTTTATTTGACTGATCAGTGCCATTTGACAAAATTGTTTTCTTATTTTTGAAACACTGCTTTCATTAAATTTTGCAATAGCAAGAACTCCTTGTCATTTTCTTAGTCCCTCTTAACCTCCTTTCATGATCTTTCTCTTCTTGCTGATGAACAAATTATAAAGAGTATTTCAGGATTTTATCCTAGCACAAATTTTCTTCTCTATGTTTAGTCATTATCCAGGAGACCATGTACAGATTATATACCACCTAACTCTAGGATTTTATCTCCATCCTACATCTTCCACTGAATTCAGACATTTATCTTGATATCAACTCAAGGTCTCCACTTGGATCTCCAATGTAGCATGCCTTAAGCTGTTCCATTGACTGTCCTCCTTTGTGGGAGTGTCTGATAATCAGTTAGCATTGTAGGAATCCATTCCTACAATCCAAAATAGAAATCAAACTTGTCCCTTTCTGGCCTGGAGTGATATAAAATACATTTCCTAGACTCTCTTTTCAGATAGCTTCCTGTCAGTTTCTGCTGATGTGAGATACTGGCAGGAGATTGGAAGGTGGTAGGAGTTATAAAATATTTTTATGGCTTCTGAGAATGTCTCTGGCAATGGTTACCCAAGCAGTGCCAGTAGAAAAGGCAGTATTTAGAAAACTTAGAGAGCAGGAGTAACAGTGGAAAGAGCACCGTGACAGGAGCAGCATCAGTTATGGTGGTAGGAGCAGCAGCACAAAGAGTGAGTAGTGTAGAGTAGAGATGAGACTCTGGCTTTCTGCTCGGCCAGTACAAGCACAGCAGTAGACGCCTCAGGTGACAAAGCAACCTCGGACTTGGAGTAACACTATTTCTCATCCTCCTCCAGCCCTAAAAGTAATAGTGAATTCCTACATGTATTCAGCATTTGGGAATCTCACCCATCCCTTTATGTTTCCACATTCCTTCAATTGCACTTTTGAAAAAAAAAGAATCCTAAACTACCTCCATTCAAATTCCTAGTCTGTTTACATGATTAAACACTGACTGATAAAGTAACAACCCAGAAGGAATCCAAGGAAACATATCTTTTGGAGTTAGTTATCTGAGATAATTGGGCTTGAAGAAAGCAATGACGTTTTATCAATAGAAAATAAACTAGAAGAGATATTGATGTCATGAGGAGATAAAAGCAGTGACTGATGACTTTGGTCTCCCTTTTTCATAAAAGCAAGCAAGTTTTCCTTTGGACAAGGGATAGTTTCAGTCTATTGGGAAGAAACATGGCTATTCTCTTTTGCTAAGTAGTCAAAGTAGTAGCCAGTGCCAAGTAGTGTATTATCTGTCAGCTCCACATCCACCCCTCTCTTCCTCCTTTCTAACTTCAAGATAGAAGACTAACAGATTATATTTATTGATCTTTTTGCCAGATGGCTTGCCGATTGCATTATTTCAATGGAAGAGATAGGCAAAAGATTTGAATGCAGGAATTTTTAAAGAGCTATTTCTTGAACTTGTTGAAGTAATTAACCTTAGAGTAGTTATAACTTATTAGGCAAGAAGGAATAGTTGAAACTGCAGTAACAAATAACTCCAAAATCTCACTGGCATGTTTATTACTAAGACTACATGTTAACCACTGGTAATCTGGGGATTCTCTTCTATGTCAACCTAACTCAGAGGTGCAAAATTATGGAGCATCAATCATGTAGAAGATTACTAGCTGTCTTAGTAGAGCAAAGATTGAAGGTGATGTACTGGCTCCTAGAGCTTATTTTACATCTCATTGGCCCAAGGAAGTCAGTTGGCCATATCTTTCTCCACGGTGTAATTATCTTCCGCCATAAGAACTTCTTGTGCTTCTAAAACTGTTGTAAACAATTACCAGCATTCAAATCCCTCTGCTAAAAAATTGGAAAAAAAGAGAAAAAATCCCCACAAATCCTAGAATATTTTCAGCTTTTGTGACTGACCTTTAATGAAAACACCATCTTAAACTAGTTTCTTCTCTAGTTTTCCTCATTGCAATAAATTGATATTCCATGAACTCAGTTTTTTAAGCAAAAAAATTCTTGCTGCCTCTCTTTGTCTTACATTACACATCCAATGTGACAGAAAATCTGTTCACTTAAAAACTTCCCGCACTTTCACAGCTACCACATTGGCTTAAGCCACTGTCATTTCTCCTCACAGGTATTATGAAAGCTTGGTTATTGATCTTTCTGCTTCTGTTTTTTTTTTAAAATATATAACAGTCCTAAATAAACTCTTTGAGAGCTAAGCCATAGTTTATTGCTCACTTCACCAAATTCTTCCAATTGCTCCTCATCTCTTTTGAAGTATAATTTCAGGGCCATGATCTACCACAGATACAAGATGACTCGCCTCCTCCTTTAATTCAACTCTGTCTGCTTGATATGGTTTGGATATTTGTCCTGTCCAAATCTCTTGTTGAAAGGTGATTCCCAGTGTTGGAGATGGGACCTAGTGGGAGGTGTTTGGGCCATGGAGAGTGGATCCCTCATGAATGGTTTCGTGCCCTGCCTGCAGTAAAGAGTGAGTTCTCAATCTATTAGTTAATTTGAGGGCTGGTTGTTAAAAGAGCCTAGCACGTCTTACTCTCGCTTGCTCTCTCTAGCACCATCCAAGAGAAGGATCATGCCTGATCCTCCTTCAATTTCTGCCATGATTGTAAGCTTCTTGAGGCCCTCATCAGAAGCAGATGCTGGCACTATGCTTCTTGTACAGCCTGCAGAAATGTGAGCCAGTCTCAGGTATTCCTTTACAGCAATGCAGAATGATCTAACATGCTGCTCAAATATCACGTCTTTCTTTAATTTATCTGAAATATAGCATTCACATTATACAAGCGTTATTTATACAAGCCTTGACTTATTTGGCTTCATGGCCCTTTCTACTTTTAAAAAGGTTTACATATTTTTTATTTGTCTATTATCTTCATAAATAACAAAGATGTAGATTGCACAAAGGCTTTAAATTTTCCTACTTTTTGTGGGTGGTGTGCTGGAAAATTATATAAACTAAAACATAATTAAGTGAATGATTGAATGCAATGTGTAGGTAAATTATGCAATATTTCGTGGACTTGTTGGTACCTCTGATCCCATTTGTTACACAAAGTATTTAGTGCACAATAGCATTCATGCTAATGAATTAAAGGCTTTTTACCTTTGCTAGTGTCTCTGGATGCTACAGTGATAAACATGAATATCGAATGGTAACTGTATTAGTGATGGATTCATTTTGCACCAGTGTAGGTAGGTAGATAGATCAATAGATAGATATAAACAGATAGATATGAAGACGTGTATAAAATGGAAAAATAACATTACCAAAAATGCATGGAATAGGCAAAAGCAGTGTCTGTTTAGATACTTTTTATGATGATTCAAAGAAAGTTTATGGCATTTTAAAATAAATGTGATGGCACTTTAACATTTGTTTTACTGCTTCTATTTGTTCTTACAATTCCAGGAAGAAGTAAAAAACAATTTTTACCACTCTTTTTGAGGTTTGCACTTGTGAGTAAGTGATGGTGAGATTAAGTGAGATGTTATAGAAGCAAACTGAGGTTTTAGCACATAAAAAGATAATGGATTTGACTAAGAGCTCTGAATTAAACATTCTAATACAAATGTTGAACAAAAATTCACATCTATAATACATTAATTTTATAAACAGCTGTTAAACGTCCTCTTTATTTGATGAATGTGCTATTTAATAGTAGTTAAGATCTTTGAACTCAAATTAATTGTTTGCAGTATTTTTCTTAGAAGTTGTTAAAGTTTTATAATTTCTATTTAGAGTAATATTTTTAAAATGCTACCATTATTCTAAAAATCAATAGAACTATTTATGAAATTGTGTCATTACAGGAATTATTATAGACAATGATAATATTTATTGTGCCTGTATAAGTTTCTTTCATGTACTCAATCTTCAGAATTTTACAAGTTATTTAATTCTAAAACAAAACAAAAAAGAAAAAGCTGTGAAGCCTACCAGAAATAACAACACACAGGAAAAAAAAAGAGAAAGGAAATTCAGAAATATTTGAAATAATATGTAACATTATTTTTGCTCAATCAGGCTTATATACCAAGAATTGTATCAGCATCAGGGATGTGAGGGAAAAATAGAAAAACCCTTTGTTTGGGAAAATCAGTGATAAATGATAACTAATGAGAATATCAGGGAAGGATCTGGAGAATATGAGAAGAAAAAGTACATACCCCACCAGTGATCAACACAGAGAAATATGAAGTAAACTGAATTCTATAAGTCTCTCTTGATAACTTCAGTATGTGAAGGCTATTTAAAAGTACAAATCTCAGGCCCCATCCCAGATCTAATACAAAGAATCTGCATTTTGAAAAGTCATTTGTAGCTCATTAAACTTAGAGAAGCACTGGTCAAATAAGCTATTGAAAACTAGTTGAATTGAATGGAGTATCTACTTACAGGAGATCCTGGACTTGGATCCTACCTGTTAGGGTCTCACATTGTCCATTTGTAACTCCAGTTATTCCATTGAACACAACATGTAAACAATTACAGAGCAACTGGATTTTTTTTTTTTTTCCATGGTAGTAGAGAAAGCCAACAAAAAAGAAGTTAACTTAAGGCCTATTCCCAAAATATTACATGCTTTGACAAACAAATCAAAATGTATTTGGTCTTATATGCTAAAAGGAATATCAAAATAATATATGCAATATAATTTATCAGTGATAGACTTTCCAGTGTTACCAGATAGTCTGCTGGTATTTTAAGGGAACGATAAAAATAATTTTGCCCATATACTTTTGAAATTTGAAATGAAAGATTATTTTGGTAAAAAATGTATGCTTATTAATTAATAAGTTCTGAAACATTTCCTGAGATATAATGAGTACTTGGGTCTTTTTTTCTTTTTCATTATAAGCGGTTTATTTTATTTAACATAGTTTGTGTCTACAGAAAAGTTATTTGTTAAATTTTGTGTTGTTTCACACGTTTCATGTGTTATCTAATTGGCAAAATCGGTCAATAGCTAAACAGATAAGAAGTGTTTATTGGTATAGATGAATAGTTGTTACACAACAATTTAAATATTACAATAAAATTAGTTTATCAAATGACACTCTTAAATTCTACATAACAGTAAGTATAAAATATGGACTTGGTAAACACTATCATACCTACCTTGCTTGCTTGGCTGGCTTTCTGCTTTCTTTCTTTCTTTCTTTCTTTCTTTTTCTTTCTCTCAATATTTCTTTCTTTCTTTTTTTTTTTTTTTTTTTTTTTTTTTTTTGAGACGGAGTCTCGCTGTGTCTCCCAGGTTGGAGTGCGGTGGCGCAATCTCGGCTCACTGCAAGCTCCGCCTCCCGGGTTCACGCCATTCTCCTGCCTCAGCCTCCCAAGTAGCTGGGACTACAGGCGCCCGCCAACACGCCCGGCTAATTTTTTGTATTTTTAGTAGAAACGGGGTTTCACCGTGTTAGCCAAGATGGTCTCGATCTCCTGACCTCGTGATCCGCCCGTCTCGGCCTCCCAAAGTGCTGGGATTACAGGCGTGAGCCACCGCGCCCGGCCTTCTTTCTTTCTTTCAATCTCTTTCTATCTCTTTCTCTTTCTTTCAGTCTCTCTTTTTCTTTCTTTATTTCTCTTTCTCTTGCTTTTCTTTCTCTTTCTTTCCTCTGTCTCTCTTTCTTTCTCTTTCTTCCTTTCTTTTGTTCTCTTTCTTTCCCTCCATTCCTCCCTCCCTCCCTCCTTTCCCCTCTCCCTTCCTTCCTTCCTTCCTTCCCTCCTTCCTCCCTTCCTTCCATCCTCTGTTTCTCTCTTTCTTTTTTTCTCTTGATAGGGTCACACTCTGTCTCCCAGGGTGGAGTACAGTGACGTGATTGTAGCTCACTCACTATAGCCTCAACCTCCTAGTCTCAAGCAATCCTCTTTCCTTGGCTCCCACAGGTACTTGGATTGCAGGCATGAGCCACCACGTTTTGCCATGACATTTTCCTTTTTAACAGGATGAAGACATTCTTTTGAAAAAATATTAATACATTTTTGGCATAGATAAGCTTCATTCATATGTGAAAAAAAACTGATCAATGACTTTTTTGTTGAGATCATTGCTCAAAACTACACGAAATAGTTGTTTCCTTGATTAATGATTATTATTAATGATTAAGATGATTTATCTGTTAATAATGATAAAAACTAGTATAGGATTAGAAATTATGAAAAACAACTAAGGAGTTGTCATATGATTTTGAATTTTTATACACTCCATCCAAGAGAAACTGCTGGCTTTAAAAAACACCTTCTGATTTGAGGATTCTAGGGTAAGAAATACTGAAAGATGTGACCAACCATGAACAAATCACAAAATCAATCTCCAGTTTTCAGTGTGCAGTGCTAGAGTAAGTGTAATAAATGCAAGACTTCTTTATACCAATGTGTACTAGCTGTAAAAGAAAAAAGATGCTCACATTTTTGAAATTGGAGGAAATTCTGAAAAGTAAGCATTGTTTTCTAAGATTTCAAGGGACTTGCTCAAGTGATGTATTTTGTATATTGTATAGCATGAACTTATCATTGCTGCAGAATCTTCACAATATTTAATGCCAGGATATGATCTTAGCATTTTAAAGAACAAACTGTGTGCGAAATGATTCCACTATTTAGAGCCTGACATTTTACCATACCTTTTTCTTCATTATAGAAAATAACTAATGGTCACACTTTAAAACCACATTCAACTACAAACACTGACTCTGAGGAAAGAGTTTCCATACCAGAACCTGATCAAAGAGCAGATTTAAAATTGATTTGCCTCTATTTTAAGCTGAAACACTCAATCTTCCATCTTTTGAATGTTATGTCCTGTCAGCTTTGTATCTGACAGTGAGCTTAAAGTAGTTTTTAGTAAGAAAGCTTGCCTTCGTTTCTAAGTGTTTGTTCTGTGCACATATACTGAGATATTTGACATAGCCATCAAATGCCATCAACTATTCTTGATGACATCAGTATTGAGTTATACATATGGAGTATATATAAAAATAAGAAAATAAACTTGCTAAGTAGCCAAAACACAAATTCTAGCACATGCTTCAATCTATACATTATCAAGATGCAAGTGTCTTAAAGACAAAACATTACTTTCCCTCTAACTTACATAAACTGTTACTTTTATTATCAATTAAATATTTACATTAGTTAAAAAATATATGTAACTTTTAAGTCATTTAGAATTGGTGGCCTGTGTGGTTCCATAAATGTCAAATATTTGAGATAAACAGTCCTGGGGATTGTAAATGTAAACATTTTTCACACAGGTAGAAATCCATTTACTTTTTATCCCCCCATATGCAACTATAATCTTTCTAAGCAGTCATCTCAAAGAGGTAAAGATAAAGATTTAAACAAACTGTTAAAAGTTAATTTTAATTAATATAAATCACGTTTTTCTTATTCCCTCAGGCCAACTGATTGAAAGCCATGCTCATTTTCCTTTCTCATTAGGACTTCACTTCCTCATTTTGTATTTTCTATCAATGGTCATCAGATTTCATAATTTAATTCTTTAATTTTATTTACTACCTTGAACTACATATCCATGCACTAATTTCTTATATTTATTAAATTTATTTCCCTCCTATATTAGTCTGATTTCACATTGCTGATAAAGACATACCTGAGACTGGGTAATTTATCAAGGAAAAAAGGAGTTTTAATAGACACAGTTCCCTGTGGCTGGGGAGGCCTCACAATCATGGCGGGAGGTGAAAGGCATGTCTTACGTGGCAGCAGATGAGAGAATGAGAGCCAAGAGAAAGGGATTTGGTTTCCTCTTATAAAACCAGCAGATCCCGTGAGACTTACTCACTACCATGAGAAAAGTATGGCAGAAACCCCCCCATGATTCAATTATCTCCCACTGGGTACCTCCCGCAACACATGGGAATTATGGGAACCACAGTTCAAGATGAGATTTGGGTGGGGACTCAGCCAAACCATTTCACCTCCACTCAGACATTTAATATTCATACCTAGCTTAAACATTAAATAAAAACTCCTATTATTGTGAAGTGCTCTAACTCTTTTTTAAGCTGTGTTTGATTTTTCCATATGATAATCAGTCTTGTTTTTAAGCTTCATATGTACATGTCCAGGGTTGTTATATAGGTAAGTTTTTAAGCTATGTCAATATTTAATATATGTGTTTGGACATGCTCTTATTAGGTATACACAGAGGATTTTTATCTTTTCCTGATTAACTCGCCATATTATCATAGGAAATGCTTTTCTACTTCCCCAGAAATCATGTTTCTTGAATTGAATCAGACAAACTTTACTTTTCTGTGATGATAACTATGTCAGCTTCTTCTCATTAGTGCTTATAAAATTATTGTTTCTTTCTTTTTATTTCAACTACAATGATTCTTTATACTTAAAGCAGGTTTCTTATAAACACCATGTAGTTTTGTTTTAATTTTTTTCCATCTAGCTAACAGTCTCTGACTTTCAAATGATTTGTTTAGTTCACTTAGAGTTTCTGTAGTTTTTAATGAAGTTGGGGTTTAGTCTTCTATTTGCTATTTCTTTTACTATTTCTGTCATTTGTTCTTTTAAAATATGTTTATATTTTTATGTCTTATTTTTGATTATAAGTATTTTTAAATTTTATTTTGTCTTATGTATTTAATATATATCTAGCATTTTTGATGGCCACTAAAATATGCCTTTTAATTTTTTTTACTATCTTCCATCAAATAAATATATTTTATGGTATAAAAACTTTACCAGCATATAATTCCATCTCTTCCAACTTCTGCATTTGTGATTTATTTGTCTTAAATTTTTCTTCTACAAACTGAAGATAAATGTTTATTATTTATTTTTTAAAGAGGCTTAAAACATTTTGTAACATTTACACAAATATTTCACCTTTCTGATGCTTTTTATTCTTTTTTGCAATTTTGTGGCTCATGTGCTGTCATTTTAAAAGTAGTGTGAGTGATTTCTTTTAGCTTCTCTTTTGATTCAGTGTTCCTGATGACACATTATCTCAATTTGTCTGAAATTTCCTTTATTTCACTTTGTTAAAAAAATTGTTGGATATAGAACTTGAAATTGCAGTTTTCTTCTTCCAGAATGTTAAAAACATTATTATACTGTTTTTTATCTTCTATTTCTGATTACAAATTGGCCTAGCCAAGCTCAGTGGTACATGCGTACAAACCCAGCTACACAGGAGGCTGAGGCAGGAGGATAATTTGAACACAGGAATTTGTTTGCTTTTTCCATATGATAATCATTCTGTTTTTTTTAAGCTTCATGTGTACCTGTGCAGGTTTGTTATATAGGTAAATTGCATTTTATGAGGGTTTGGTGTACAGACTCTTTCGCCACCCAGGTAATAGGAATAGTATATGATAGGTAGTTTTTCTGTCCTCTTTCTCCTCCCACCCTTGGCCCTCAAGTACACATGTATACTCAATGTTTAACTCCCACTTATAAATGAGAACATGCAGTATTTTGTTTTCTGTTTCTATATTACTTAGCTTAGGATAATGGCTTTCAGCGCCATCCATGTTGCTGCAAAAATATGATTTTATTCTTTTATATGGCTGTGTAGTATTCCATGGTATATACATACTACATTATCTAGTCTACCATTGATAGGCAAATTATGTTGATTTCATGTCTTTGATATTGTGAATAGTGCTGCAGTGAACATATGCATGCATATCTTTGTGGTACAACTTATATTCCTTTGGGTATATACTATTTTGGTTACTGTAGGAATCTAGGACTTTGAATCTAGCCTGAGCAACATAGACCCACATCTCTAAAAAAAGTAGAAATGAAAAGAAAAATAAATAAAAATTGCTCTTTATGTTTCACTGTTCATTTTATATAGTATGTTAGTTTTTTCTCCTTATGCACTTGATATTTTGATGTTATTAGCAATTCATCTATAACATACTTAGATGTGATCTTTTACTTTTTTATGTTGGACACATAATAATTGTACATGTTTATGGGAGTATACTTTGATGTTTTAATATATGTATCTATTGCATAATGATCAACCAGGGTAATTAGCACCTCTTTGTGGTGATAAGGAAGATGATAAAGAGGATTCCAGGTTTTCTTTTCTAACTATATTGAAATGCACAATACATGTTATTAGATATGGTCACCCTACTACATAATAAAACACCAGAAAATATTCTTCTTTACTAACTGTAACTTTGTACTCATTGACAAACCTGTCCCATCCCCTTTACCCCCAACCTCTGCATGTTCTTGGCAAGTGCCAAAATTCAGTTGGCTGTAAATTGATTTCTAGGTTCTCTATTTTCTTCCATTGACCTATGTGTTAGTTTTTATGCCAGTGTCATGCTATTTGGATTACTATAGCACTGTAGTGTATTTTGAAGTCAGATTGTGTGATGCCTCCAGGTTTGTTCTTTTTGCTCAAGATCCCTTTGGCTCTCTGGGATCTTTTGCACTTACATGTGAATTTTAAGGTTTTTTATTTTTTTTCCCTCTATTTCTGTGAAGAAAGCCATGGGTATTTTGATGGAGATTGCATTGTATCTACAGATCACTTTGGGTCATATGAACATTTTAATGATATGAATTCTTCTAATTCATGAATATAGGATATCTTTCTCTTTATTGGTGTCTTCTTCATTTTCTTTCATTAATGTTTTATAGTTTTTTACTGTAGAGACCTTTAATCACCCTGGTTAAATTTATTCCTATGTATTTGAATTTTTTGGTAGCTATTATAAATGGAATTGCTGCCTTGATTTGTTTTTCATGTGGTTTCCTATTGGTGTATAGAAATGCTACTGATTTTTTGCATGTTGATTTGATGTACAGCCACTTTACCAGATTCATTTATTAGTTCTAATAGTTTTTGGAAGAGTCTTTAAGATTTTCTATACATTATTATATTCTCTGCCAACATGGACAAATTGACAACTTGACTTTCTCCTTTCCAATTTGTATATCCTTTATTTATTTCTCTTACCTAATTGCTCAGGCTAAGACTTTCAGTACTATATTGAATAAAAGTTATAAAAGTGGGTATTCTTGTATTGTTAAAGATTTTAGAAAAAAACTTTCAATTTTTCCCCATTCAGTGTGAAGTTAGCTGTGGATTTGTCATATATGCCTTATATTGTCTTGAGGATAGTCCTTATGTACATAATTTTTGGGAAGTTTTATTATGAATGACTGTTGAATTTTATTGAATTTTTTTATTGCTTTATTGAAATATTTTTTTAACCTTGATTCTCTTAAAGTGATGTATCTCTTATTTATTTGCATATGTCATACCATCTTTGCATTTCCTAGGATAAATGCCATTTGATCATGGTGAATGATATTTTTAAAGTACTGTTAAATTCAGTTCACTAGTATTTTGTTGAGGATATGTCATCTGTGTTTGTCAGGGATATTATCCTGTAGTTTTTGATGATACTATTATTGTGTCATTGTTTTTAGTATCAGGGTAATGCTGGACTCATAGGACAAGTTTTGAATCATTTCCTCCTCTTGAATTTTTTGGAAGAGTTTGAGAATTAATATTAGTTCTTCTTCAGATGTTTGGTAGAATTCAGTAGTGAAGCCATCAGATGTGAGGGCTTTTCTGTTATGGAGAGTCTTTATTACTGCCTCAATTTCATTATTCATTATTGGTATGTTCACATTTTCTACTTCTTTAGGATTTAATCTCGGTAGCTTGTATGTGTCCAGGAATTTATCAATTTCTTCTGAGTTTTTCAATTTATTAGTTTTTCATAAGAGTCTGTTATGATCCTTTATATTTATGTAATGTCACTTATAATATCTTTTATTCGTTTCTGATTTGATTTATTTGAGTCTTTTTTTTTCCTTATTTCATCTAGCTAAAGGATTGCCAATTTTGTTCATCTTTTTAAAACACCTACCCTTTGGTGGATCTTTAAACATTTTTTAATCTCTATTTCTTTTATTTCTGCTCTGATCTTTATATTTCTTCTCTTCTACTTATTTTGGATCTACTTTGTGTATGTTTTTCTAGTTCCTTATGGTGCATTGTAGATTGTTTATTTGAAGTCTTTTTACTGTTTTGGTGTAGGCACTTATTGGTATACATTTTAGGGCTGTATCCCAAAAGTTTTGGTATGTGGTGTTTCCATTTTCATTTGTCTCAAGGCATTTCTAAATTTCCTGTTTAATTTCTTCATTGACCCATTCATTGTTGGGAGCATGTTGATTTCCACAGTAGAGTTTGCAACATTCTTTCTATTATTGATTTCTAGCTTTATTCTATTGTGATTTAAAAAAGTGATATGATTTTGATCTTTTGTAAATTTGTTAATGCTCATTTTGTGACCTATCATATGGAATGTTCCACATACTGTTGAGTAGAATGTGTATTCATAAGATAGAGGTAATTTTTTAAAATGATAATTATGCTTGTATTGCATTTGATGTCTTGAATCTTGTGTGTCTGTATCTATCATTAAATTTGGGAAGTTTGTGGTCAGTAATCTTCAAATGTGTTTCCTAATTCATTCTCCCTTATTTTTCTTAAACTTAAATTGCTCATCCTTTAGATCAGTTAATATTTTCACCTTTCTTGGACACACTGCTTTTATTTTTTCTCTGTTATAAAATTGTTTCCTTTTAAAAATATTTACATAATTTTTATACATGCATATTCCAATTTGTTCTTTACTTTGCTGTGTCCAATCTGCTCTTGAGCCCGTTAGATAAATTCTTCCTTTCTGCTATTGTATTTTTAATGTCTAACATTTTCATTTGGACCTTTATAGTTCTACCTCTCTGATGAAATTTCCCAATTCTTTAGCATTTTTATTATAGTTATTTTAAAATGCTATCTGACAAATGTCTGTTACATCTCTGGGTTTATTTGTACTGACTATTCTCTTTCCTGGTAATGAGACACATTTAATTGCTTCTTCCTGAAAATATATTCAAGTTATTTTATGCAAGTTTAATTAATTTTATGCAATTTATTTTATATAAAAGACTACTAGAGACCAGAATAAATAATATATACCCTTAGAAAATAGCATATTACCTTTTCTATTAGGATGCTGCAGTGAGGGACTGAATCAATCTGATTATCAGTTGAGCTTGCCTGGGCTTTGTTAAGAGTTTTAGCTTGATTCAGTTTACCAGTGGTTAGAAATGTCTGGGTGATGGTTTTGGACATTTTCCTTAACAGGACTTGTCTTTGAACTGTCATGGTATGAGGGATTTCATTATCCTTTACAAACAAGCCGTCAACTTTCCGTACTGGAAGAGATCTCTGTCTACTTTAGTTCCTAGCTACCAATTTTGTGGGTTGTTGGTAGGTTCACTCTGCTTTCTGCTACCATGTTTCTCTGTTTCTAGAGCAATTTCTCCTTGCTTGGTTCTCTGCCTACTGCCTGACACTTTGTAAGAGCCCAGAATGGCTTAAAGGATTTTGTCTCAGCTCTCCTGCCGCACTCCTGGGTTATGGTAGCTGAAAGCCTAAAATGCCTCAGAGGAGTTTCTCTCTGATATCTTGACTTGGCTCAAATGGCTCAAATCTCCTTTAGGCTGAAGCTAAGAGTATTAAGATAAATATATTTCAGTTCCCCTTCCTGCCCCATCTTTCAGTAGCTGACAATTACTAAAATTATTGAAAACTATTTAAGTATTCTGCTGCTTGTGTCTCGCTCCATAGTTTCCTCTTCATCTGGTCCCTCTGCCAGCTAATGAGAGGAGTTGTTCTTCTTCTAATCTCTTCTGTGAATGTCTTGCTCTTCTCTGAATTTAGTTATTTATGTTTTCTGTGGCCATAGCTCTATGTTGGGTTGAAAAAACTACAATATTCTGATTTTTAGTTTTACCATCTTGATGAGTTTGTTAGAGTGAGAATGATAGTTTCTTTTTACTTTCTACACACTAATCAGAAAAGGAAGCCATGTGGGCCTTTATAGTTTCCAAATATGCTTCAAATATTTGCACACATCTTTTTTCATGAAAATGACTGATCAGTATAGCTTTAATTTCCCAACTAAAATCTACAGTTTACACTTTCCCTGAAGCATAAATTTTCTTTTCCTCAATTCTCTATTGGACAAATCTATCTAATATGTATGTATGATGCATGTATGTATGTATGTATCATCTATCTATCTATCTATCTATCTATCTATCTATCTATCTATCTATATCTAGTCTATCTACCTACCTACCTATTTACCTATCTACCTGATATGGTTTGGCTCCGTGTCCCCACCCAAATCTCATCTGGAATTGTATTCCCCATACTTATTGCATGTCAAGGGAGGGACTAGATGGGAGCTGACTGGATCATGCAGGTGTTTTCCCCCATGCTGTTCTTGTGATAGTGAGTGAGTTCTCATGAGATCTGATGGTTTTATAAAACATTTTTCCCTACTTGCTCTTTCTCACCTGCCACCAGGTAAGATGTGCCTGCTTCACCTACTGGCGTGAATGTAAACTTTCTGAGACCTTCCCAGCCATGTGGAACTGTGAGTAAACTAAGCCTCTTTCTTTCATAAATTACCTGGTCTTGGGTATTTCTTTATAGCAGTTTGAAAATGAACTAGTACACTACCTATCTGTCTGTCTGGGACTCGTATATATAGTTTCAAACCTGAATCAGAAATCCTCTATTCTTGTTAACAAGGTTTAACCTTCTCAAAGTATCATTTGCCTACCCAGTTTGCTTAATTCAGAACTTCATTCACCATTCTTCCCTTTTCCATTTCCCTCAACTGACACATACAAACAAGTTCTGCGATTTAACTTTTCTTGATTCTACTCAATGATTCCCTTTTTCTCCAATCCCACTGCCACCACTCTAGACCTGGCCATTATAATCTTTTCTCTGAATAACTAAAACAAACATTAACTGAGTATCCCTGACCCCTGCCTTATTCTTTTAAAAATTTCCTTAAATGCATACCAATATTTGGTGTTTATCATCCTAAAAATCTTTAATCATTTTCTATTATTTGTGCTAAATTAAAAAAATTCCTCCATGTCTTTCTTCACAATCTGATCCTTCAGCATCCACTCCCCTGTTTACTTTTCCCTTTCCATGTAAATAACTCTAAATAGTTGGATTATAGTTAATCTCTTCAAGCATGCCCTGTTTTTTCTTGCTTCAAGGAATCCATAGATGCTATTGTTTCTGCCTTTTTTACTCTTTTTATGCTACACCCTTCCAGTTGTTCTTTGCAAATGTAAAAACAAAACAAAACAAAAACTTAACAAATGCTTCTTATCAATACAAAATATTAGCAAATGTTACTGATCATTCCGGATTCAAGTTAAATACTTACGCTTTGTCTTTGTAAACCATCTTCCATTTGTTCTAATATATCGACATATACGTTCTTTTTTAGCTTTCCCTAACCAGAGTATGATGGGGAGGCCTTAATTATTTAATCCTGTGTCTCGTATCTGGTACATGGTAGGAATTATAAATGTTTGTTAAACAAATTAAATGAAAGAAAAATCTTCCGTGGGAAAAATAAGCCAATGCAAAGACAAGGATTTGTAGGCTCTCACTTTAACCTTTAATTTTTTTCCTCTACTTTTTCTAAATTAATGGTGAAGGGAGAGGAATAATCTTAGGGCTTTTGATATGATATGAGACATGATATGATATGTTACGATATGATAGAAATGATACGATATGATATGATATGATATATGTGATATGATACCATATGAGATATTTTACGATATGATATGTATGAGATTTGGTTTGATACGATATGAGAAAAGGGGAAAAAAGGCCAGACATTTGCTTAAACTATTATTTGAGTAAACACACACTTTTCTTGAGTATTCAGATAAGAAACATCCAATGTTTTGGAAACTATTTGAAATTACAAATTATAAATCACACATAATATAGTCATACTTGGCTCTACACCAAAATATTATATTTTGGAAACAAAGCATTAATCCATTCTTTAATTATATTTTTGAACATCATTTCAGTTTTGATCAGTGTCACATGTAAACTCATAAATATTGAACTAACATATTAATTTTATGGAACTACCATGCTTTACACTTTTAAAAGCTTCTATTTTTAAATATAGAGTTTTCAATTAAATAAATATATATTAATGCTACTTTAAACAAGATTTTAAAATTCAATTTTGAGTTCATTGGAGGCAAAAATATGGATCAGTATGTACCTATTTTTACATGGAGACTAGAGAAGCTGAATGTCCTGTTAAAACCCTACCTACACCACTTAAATGATGATGGCCTTGGGCAAGTATTTATTTTTCATCAATTTTTTATCTGTAAAATAAAAATTATAGTATCAGCATTTTCATCATAAGTTTGAGAATTAAATGTAATAATATATGCAAATCTTGCAGTACAATATCTGAAACATAGAAAGGGTTTTTATATCTATACATTTCATATTATGATATTTATTAGACAAATAAGTCTCTTATGATGTTTAGCTACAGAAATCTATATCTTCAGTTGAGTAATATTAATAACAGATCTTTATTATTACAGACATGATCTGACATATTAAACTGAGGCATAAAAGACAGGTGATTGTCCACAGTTGCAGAGTTGCCAAGGTTCAGAATTGAGACCTTAACCTTTGCCTTCAAATCTCAGGATCAGTGTTGTTGTTTTTACCATGGTATGCTGCTTCAAAAAAATTTAATAAAAGCGTTCTTGATATTATCGTAGAGGGAAATTCTTGTCCTTTTAAGTATTCTCCATCATTATAACCTATATATATTTGAAAAGAAAAACAATTCCTATGGTTCTTTAAAAAAGATTATAAATGTTATATGACCTTTTTTATAATTCAAGGTGGCATAGTTCAATGAGAATTACACTTTAGAGAAAGCATGGTGAAACTATGCCTATAAATTTTAATTTGATGTATCTGCAGGAAAATAGCTATAATTTAAAAACAGGATTTGAGTTATATGAATTAGTTTATCAACTCTTTCTTACTTTGCTGGAGTTATACAATTTTTTATTGTAGTAAACTTTAGTTGCATAGATTCAAAATTACTGCCAACTTCAACAAATGTTTCTTATATGACTTCTAGGTTCCATGCTTGGGCATTAAAAATTATTATATGCTATTGAAGTTGATAGCTAAAGCTAAAATAGAAAAGTTCACAGAACTATTGCCCCTCTCTCTGTTAAAAATCTTTTCATTGTTTTCTATGTGTAACATATTCTGTTTTCTAGATAAAGTTAAAACTTTTTCAACAGGGACAGACTTACCACTAAATCAACGAAACTTGAGCCATTAAGGTGCCCAACTCCACTTTCAAAAACTGAGACTCTATGAATATGTTTACTTGCCCATAGTATTTTCATAAAAATTGCATAAGTAAGCAATTAACATTTAATTTAAATGTAATTAGATAAACTCATTTACATTTTACCTTATTCTCTCTCATAGGTCACATTTCATTTCATTTTTAGTGACTCTGCAATGACCATGGACATTATTTTTTAATTGTTAAGGTAAACATGATTTGAAATATATTTAGGTTGAGTTTATTGAGATTAAGGATAGCTCTAGATACGGGGGGAGAGGTGTAGCTTCCATTTGAAGGGATAACAGTGTGGAAAACAGTAGAATAGTTTGATGTGAAATTCCCTGGGCCTCTTCCACAGCCTTATACAAGGTAGGGGTTTTGAAAATTAAAGATTCATTAGCTTCATGGTAAATTCACTGTTCTTTGAGATTCAAGTATGTAGTTTGCAGTCACCTTGTTTTAGTTGTTTAATTAGGTCAAAACTGACAGATAATTAATAGGATTTTTAAAAGAACATTTGTCTTGGATTCTTCCCTTAGCTTTTAAAATCGTGGATTAGTAATTCCATAGGCCTTCGATTAAGTCTCTGGACTTCCTGTTACCTTTTGAATTTTCTTCATGTTTCTCTTGGGTTCGTTTCCTGTTTTCTGAAACATTTATATTCTGCTTTCATTACTTATTCCCTCATTTTGTAAAATATGTAACCTTTAAAGAATCCTTTTTTAGTTGTATTTTGAGTTTAAAGGTAATTTTTCTTCTAATGGATTTAATTGTTAGCTGTGTGCAAGAATAAGTGCTGGTAATAAAAAGTGGGCATTATTCTAAGGCCCAATCTACCCAAAACACATTTAATAATCACAAAAGAAAACAGAAGATTATTTTATTATTACTTTAATTTTACATATGAGGAAATTCAAGTATGGCGAGGTTAAATAACATATTTAAGATTATACATTTAGGAAGAGACCAAGATAAATGTCATATCTCAGCTATCAGGCTCCATAGCTTATCCTCCAAACAATCATACTATCGTGTTTTTCAAAACAAGCATTTTAAGTCTTTTTTTTGCACACTATTTTGTATTCTTACACTTTATGCTTACTGTTTGTTTTTCATTTATTTTTATTTAACTGTGCTTCTTTTAGTACTTTATTAAATTAGAAGACATACAGACTATTTTTCATTATGATAGTAGCTATTTTTCTAATTATCAAAGTAAAAATCATATAGCATCAGTCGACTCTTCCAATGTAAGAAGAAAAAATCAGCATGTGTCCGCTGTCTATCTGCACCCAATCTAATATTGTTAGTTTTAAAAAAGATCACTTTTTTCTCAAGAGAAATGTTGACTTTTTAAAAAAGTTTGCTTTCAAAAATAAATTTTTAAACATAAAGCTTCACTGTTCATTAATTATTCTTTTTTAAATTTGACAAGTTTTCTCTTAAAAATTTTTTTTATATGAAATAGGGAATTTCCCCCCTTGGATCCTCATTTTAACTCCCAGTACATAATGCATAAAATGAAAACCCTCCATTACAGAAACTGTGCTTAGAAAAATGTCTATTTTGGGTAATTATTTGTACCACATTCAATTCTCAGCTGATGTGAACAGAAGGCTTAGAAAATCCCAGCTGTATAGTGAGATCAATTTTTATTTTTCTGGGTTTTCTACTATATAGTAGATATTTACTCCAATGCAATAAAAAGCAGACAGTCCAAAATATTGATATATATTCTCTAAAAATCAATATGGTCTTTACTATTTTGTGAATTTTATTTGCACTAAATAGGTGCACGTATTAAAAATTCAATAATAAAAATAACAATATTACATTTCCACTTAAATATCAGACTCACAGGTAAAGATGTAGCAAATATGAACTTCATCTCAAAAAGTCCTTGGCAAGATTTGCACAATGTTAGCCAAATATATTGGAGACAAACCTTCTATCTTCAGCTTCAGTGAATCGTTGTATAGCAAAATCTGCTGTAGATTGTTTCTAAGAAAATAGATGTGAGAAATAAATTATATTTTTACAGATCTCCAAGGAACCTGTCTTCTTTCAGTTGCAAATAATTTGTATAAGTTTGCCTCAGACTATTTAAAAATCAATCCCAGGAAATGTTTTGAAATATTTCCACTTAAATGAAAGATTAATGCTTGTATTAACTTAGAAATTATATTAATGCAGTGTTGCCAGTGGGCAAAATATGAATAAGAGAAGGAAAATGATACCAGTTGTGTTCTAATATACAGACAGCTATGTGTTATCCATTTGATTCTTAATAATACCACTTTTAGGTTAGTATTTATATCACTGTTTCACAAATGAAGCAATGCAGACTCAGGGTCGTTTTAAAAGTTGACTAAATTGATATAGATAGCTATAATTAAATTCGATATGTGTACCCTGGTATTTTAGTAATCTATCAGACAGTAGAGAAGATGTGCATGTAAAGGGAGTTGTGTTGATTATAGGTACGAGTTTATACATATCTGTTGGAGGATTCTAGCTATCAAAGTTAATCATTAGCAAAATTTAAAAAATAAAGTTTAAAACAATTTGGGTGCCTAATAATTCATTAATTATATTATTTTTAAAGTTTACTTTAAAATTGTTAACTTCATCAGTGTTTTTAAATCAGACGGCAATTCTCTTTGGCTCACAGCATACTTGATTGGAAGAGTGAAATGCATGCTTGAATTACCTATATACTGAGACATTCTTTTCATCTCTTCTTCACCATGTTTATTTTTGTGTCTCATTTTGTCTCTCCCTTACTTAATTGATTTCTCTGTTCTTCCACTTCCCCCTTACTCATTTTTTAGCAAGTATTTCTTAATTTCAAAGATAAATAAGATTAAGTAATACAATAGCAAGATTTTCAAAGCACTCAAGCATAAGTATACATATATAAATATAAGGTATAAATATTTGTATATATATAATGTAATCTCTCTCTCATATTTTATCTCTTTCTTTCTCTGACATCTTCATTATTCCTTTTTATGAGGACTTGATTTTTCTGATTGGCAGGTATATCTTTCAAATATGGTTCTCCTGACTCCCAATGTACTATAATCAACCAATGAAAGCTTCATTTACAGAATGCAATTTTGGAGTCTCACTTCCAAATTCTCTGGGTAACCTGATTGCTCCATTTTTTACTTTCATCAGTTTCATTCTTTATACAATCACATGTGGCCTTTGAAGGAAGAGATTGGTAGAGTGTCACTGTTTACTTCTGCCTGCCTACCCAATTTTATTTATTGTAATACTTTCACCTCTATTGCCAAATACCTGACTATAGGGAGTCACCTTAACAAGTGACTTTCCAAGTCTCAGCTAATCTTAATCTTGGTTTTCACTGCTGTTCTCCACTTGTTTTCACTGCTTGTTCTCCACCACTCTTAGTGTATGTGTGTTATGTGGGCAATTGAGTGGAATAGAGCAGGGCTGTGGGTTTCTACTTAATAGTATATGATGCATATTAAGCCTAAAGTATATGTTTTTGGATGAATAACCAAAGTAAGCATTATTTGACATATATAGTAGGCATAAAATGTACTTTAGTAAGCAAAACAAGAACTTCAAAGAAATAGTTTTCCATTGTTTAGTAGCTGAAGGAAAAAAATTGATCGTAAAATGTTTATATTAGCAATTTGAAAAGCTATATTTCCTCAAAGATAAAAAGTTTAAGTTAGAAATGATGACTCAAAGAATGTCTCTATTTCATAATATTTTAATAATTAGCGTAGAATTACTACATTTAATACACATATAGTTTTGTTTTCTATTGACATTAAACAATAAAATCTTAATTTATTTTAGTAACAATAGTTGTAAGAAACTATTAGATAACAGTTTGAATACTGGACTTTAAAAAATTGTTCAAAAAATTGTAACAGGTATTAGAAGAAGACATTAAAAATGGCATACTTAATCATGATATTAAGTAAATCCCTATCCATTAAAATATGTATTAAAATTTTTATAAAAAGCTCTGAAAGAATAAGCATATCCTTGAAAAGAGAGCTGTGTTCACTCTCATTTTTCAGTCTTTCATGAAGCAATGAATATAGCACACACTGCCCCCACATAACCCTGTCATGATTAAGCATCCAAATTCTAAATTACAGTAAGACCTTTTTTACTGTAGGGGATCTCCCTGTTATGGAGAAGATCTTTTCATTAACAGTCATTCTATCATCACTAAACACTTTGAAACTTAGTGTGAAAATCATATGGTTTCTTTTCCTTTTTATAATGTTGCAGACTGCAAACACAATTGATATTTATTGATAATTAGGTACTCTATTACATATAAGTTTATATGAATAATATTGTTTATCATAAGCATATACTAACATTAACATATAAGGATTTTCATTAAATTTTTATCAGCATTCAGTTATTAACATTTTAGCCTAAGTATATGCTTTTATTAGATATGAAAAAGCAACATTTTAAGATTTATTGTAGTTCTTTCATGCCCCAGGATCAACTGACTATTTACTGTAAGAAACAGCATTTCCTGTCTTCCTATCAATATTTTAAAAATATGAGTTACTTTATCTTACCAACCTAAACAAATGACCCCATCACTTAATATTTTATTTCTAAGTGTCCAATAAATATTTAAGCTTACTTACATGGTTGCACGTTTTTCTTTGGTGCTTCAGTTCACAAGTTTAAATCCCAGCTTAAGATGTGACTCAGACACATGCTGACACAGCGATAAAAATGACTGGTTTTCTAGGAAATGTGCTCACATTTTGAAAGTAGAAACACGGTCTTATTTTGAGGTTCTTGGATAATACCTATAAAAAATCTCATTGGTATTTTTCAAAAACAATCAAATAACTTGATCTTATATGAGCCATGGTATTTTTCCTTAGTCTAATAGTTAAAAAATCTAATGACTTGTAGCCATATATGTCTTTGTATTAGCTATACCATTAATTCAATAAACTTGTCAGCTGTGAACTATTCAATGCTGTGTTTATAAACAGCCTCAATACTCTTGCAATATACATTTAACATTTTATTTTTTTTTCAATTCTTGTTGTTGAAAAGCTTTCCAAAATGTGCTAGTTTACTTTTCTGCCTTGGATGGAAGTACAGAATATCAAATTAATATAGTGTTGTCTGAATATTTATGGTCTCTGGTTTGACTGATACCATAATCAGGGTTACAAACCTTTGTGTAATACCTAGATGATGTAAGGAATTGATTTATTTGTATATAATAGAAGTTTCATTTTTAACAAAGTGGTCAGTAATGTGTGTGTATAATGTCTGTGGGTGTGTATGTGTGATTTGTTACTTCTTTATGAATGCAGACTTTAGCTAATTTTACAATTCAATAGGCTTCAGTCAATTGATGATTTACTCTATTGAGAAACAAGATACACTTTAGTACTATAATAAAAAAGTAATTAATGAAATAAATTCTGCCTGAAGAAAATCAAAATGTTCCTAGCCTTTCCCACCCTCCAAGAATACTGAAAAAGATCCATTTCAAGATACAAAATGCGTCCATGTTTTATCTCAGTTTCTTAAAAGAAATTTCCAGGGTAGTTAACATTGCCATAGGAAACTGATAGACATTAGTATAAAAGAGCAGGAACACTAACACCTGATGATAGCTCTGGATTTGAGTTCTGGTTGCACAGAAGACAAGCACCTTGGCTCAGGCAGCTGTACTTAATTTCCAAAAGTAGGTTACCTCATGTGTTGAATAGAGATTATAGAATTTTCTCTAGGATTGTTGCAAAGATTAAATAAGATAAACTTCTTAAATTACTAAGAAAGTTCTTAGGAAACAGTATGTACTAAATAAATATAAGTTCCCTAATATTACCCATACATAATAATCAATATGTATTTCTCCACAACTGGATCCAAATGGCTATGAATGTTCAGATAAACCTAATATGTGTAATAGCAAAGAAAAATAATGCCATATCTGTGTACAAACAATTTCTCATTAAAAGAGATATTAAACATAAGTATATATACTGTAAAGTAATATACATTCTCATATCTCAATCCTAGAGATTGTGGTAGTTTGGTATGAGGGCCCAAGAATGAACATTTTTAATCCTACTTAATTCTAATACTGGTTTCCTGGGAAATCAGGTTGAAAATCAATGCTAACAATTGACCTACTCAAAGTAAAAAATACTTACATATTTATGACTGCAAAATGAAGTCACATAAAAAGTTAAAGAATTTTCCATTACTAATTTGTAGAAATATTATGCGATTTTTACTAAATAATATTATGGTATTTAATGCCAATCAATGAACAATATATTGAACAATATATTCAATAAATTTTGCATATGAAAGTTTTGAGTGAAGCTAGTCAGGTGAGCAACATAAAACTCATGTTCAAATCCAGGGAAGAAGAGCATGAATTATTTCCCAGTGGAGCCAAGGACAATTATTAGTGATACGACATTATAGAAGAGTTCATATTATGAGAAATTTTCATTTGCATTAACCTATAAAAGGGCCTTCAATTTTAAGATGCTGGATCTCCTCTCTACCTGAGTAAATGACACAATTGAGAATGGAACAATAATACATTTTATTATTAAGAAAGTATGCAACTTGCAAACTATTATACTCTGAGAGTTTTTTTTTTAAACTTGATTTACTTTACATTGAGCTGTTGTTATCTTTAAAATTGTAGTGTTAAACACTTTTTATGTTGAAACATAATACATATTTTGATGATTAGGGCATTAGTTGAAAAGAATACATATAATTTATAAGACTATCCACTCTGAAATCCTGTTAATCTTCAATTGACTGAATTCTTGAGTTTTCAGAGGGAATAAAAATATAAGAGGATTTTTGTATTGTTTTGTATTGTATTGTGAATTCTTGAGTTTTCAGAGGGAATAACAATACAAGAGGATTTTTTGTATTGTTTTGTATTGTATTGTTTTTAAATGATTAAGAGTGATTTTAAATAATTTTAAATGATTATTTAAAAATTATGGAAACTAGTTTTATTTTTAACATTCTTATAAAAATATTTAAAGTAGCACAGTCTTTTTACAATTATAGTAAAATATGGCATTTTGGAGATTCTACGGATTTTAAAATGAACACTATAAGGAATGATGATAATGACAATAATGGCAGTAATATTAAAATTCACAATAATTATAGCATTATTTTATTAAATGTTAACTAGATGACAAGCTATGTATTCAGTGTTTTATTGATATATATCACTTATTTCTCATAACATGTTATATTTATAAACCATTTTATAGTCATGAGAACTGAGGCTCAAAGCAGTTGATTAATTTGTTTAAATTTACCCATTTAGGTGAGTATCTTGATCCAGATATGCTCACTTCAAATTTTTTAAATCATCACACTCAACTGGTTTCCACCTACTGATATTTTCCTAAATAAAGTTAGGTATACTGTTTAAAAAACTTAGTTTTTTTCAGTTGACTAGGAAGACTGCTAGTAAATTTACCAATTGCAGCTTCTCATCTAAAAATGCTACCTTTCTTTTTCTTTCTTTCTTTCTTTTTGTAGTGCATGAGTCTCGCTATATTGCCCAAGCTGGTCTTGAACTCATGGCCTCAAGTGATCCTCCCTCTTTGGTCTCCCAAAGTACTGGGATTACAGATATGAGTTACTGTGCCCTGTCTGAAAATGCTACATTTTAAAAAAAGCACAAAATGCCTTGGTGCTTTCTGATTCTAACATCTGAATGATTTGGCTTTCTACCGTTATTTGCAGTATAGTCTTGTAGGTTACACTCAAATGGAATCCCAGTACTAGGATAGGAAATGTCCTTCAGTGAACACATTATTATAGGTTTATGTCATAAGTGTAAATCGGACCATGAAGGAATTTCTCCCCAGGTGCATTGATCCAGGCCTAATCTTTAGTAGCTACTTTTAGGTAGTTGCTTAGAAAATCAAATCAAATTCACAGTAATGAAACATAGTCTCCTGTGACAAGTTTTATTTGGCATTATCCAGCTCGTTGCTTCCATTGTAGATAGTAATTTTTCAATGCATCATTATTTTTTAGCGGTTCTTTTCAGGTATAATTGACATACAGTAAACTGCATATATTTAAAGTGTACAATTTTATAAGTTTTTGCATATGTGCACATCTGAGACCATCTTCACAATCAAGATAATGAATATATTTATAATCACCAAAAGTTTTCTCATGCCGTTGATAATACCTCCTTCCTCCCACTGCCTGCTCCTCCAACTCCAGCCCTACATGTTCCCAGGGAACTGCTGATTTCCTTTCTATCCTATAGATTAGTTTGTATTTTGTACCATTTTGTATAAATAGAACGATGCAATATACCGTAAAAGAGAGTCATACTTTGAAGGAGGTGGGAGGTTTGGTTTTCTTCACCTAGTGGGATCATCCATGTTGTTATGTGTATTATTATTATTATTACCTAGTAGTTTTCTACCATATGAAAATACCACAATTTGCTTATTTTTTCACTTGTTAATATTTGAATTGTTTCCAGTTTAAGGTTACGATCAATAAAACTATTATACATAGTTTGGTGTGTGTTTTTTGATGTGTGCTTTCCTTTCCTCTGGTAAATACCTAAAAGTGGAATGGCTGATCATATAGTGAGTGTATGTTTAAGTTTTTGAGACACAGACATTTTCCAACTTTCCCACTTGTACTATTTACATTCCCAGTAGCAGGGATATGTTCAGATTTTTAATTTTAGCCATTCTTATTATTATGTAATGGTGTCTCATCGTGGTTTTAATTTACATATCCCTAAATACTTATGAAGTTGAGCATTTTTTTCCTATGCTTATAAGCTATCCATATATCTATTTTGGCAAAGTGTTCATTCAAACCCTTGCCCATTTTAATTAGGTTGTTTGTTTTCTTATTATTCAATTTTTATTTTTCAGTCCAAGCAGTAAAGTGAGATCTTATTATTGAACTTTGAGCATTTATATATTCTAGATATAATTTCTTTATGAGATATATGCATTGTACATATTTTCTCCTGCTATATGATACGTCTTTTCATTCTCTGTGTTCCAAATAGCAGAAGTTTTTAATTTTTGTGAATTTAAATTCATATTTTTAAAAAATGGATTGTGCTTTTGGTGTCATACCTAAAGATTTTCCCTAATCCAGGGTTATAAATATATTCCCTGTGTTTTTTTCTCAACATTTCATACTTTAGTTTTAGAGCTACGGCACACTTTGAGTTAACTTTCATATAGTATGCGAGATATGTATCAAAGTTTATTTTTATATGGATATTCAAATGTCTAGCACCATTTGTTAAAGAGACTATCTTTTCTCCATAGATTTGCCTTTGCATCTTTGTCAAAAATCAATTGTCCAGATATATGTGAGCCTAGTTCTTGATTTTATTGTGTTCCATTGATCTCTTTGCCTGTCATATCTATCTTGATGCACATAACACTATCTTGAGTAATGTTTTATAATATAATTTTTAGTCAGGTAATGTTAGCTCTTCAACTTTGTTCTTCACCAAAGTTGTTATAGATATTCTGTTTTCTTTGCATTTCTATGTTAATTGTAGGGTCAGCTTGGCAATTTCTCTAAAAACAGTTGGCTAGATTTTCATTGGTTTTGTAATAAATGTATAAATCAGTTACCCTCTTAATATTAATGAGCCTTCCAATCTCTTAACAATATATGACTTACATAAAGAAGATCTAAAACCTAGATTTATTTATATCACTTTTAATTTATCTCAGCAGCATTGTGTGGTTTTCAGTATATCATTCTTGCATATCTTTTGACAATGTGTTCCTAATTGTTTCATGCTTTGAAAGTTATGTTTTATTTTTTATTTCAATTTTCAATTGTCCATTGCTACTATCTAGAATCACAATTGATAATACAGTATCTTGCAAATGTGTTAAACACATTTATTGGTAGTAGCTTTATTGTAGATTCCATTGGATATTCTACAAACATGTCATTGCATATGTGAATAAAATCAGTTTTAATTTTTTTCTTTCCAATGTGATATCTTTATTATTTATTTACTTAGAAAACTCACTGCACTTGCTGAAACCTCCCATACAATGCTTAATAGAAGTGGTGAGTGTATATATCCATTTTGTTTTGATGGTATTGTTCCTGATCTTAGGACTAAAGCATTCAGTCTTTCTCCTTAAGTAGAACATCAGCTGTAGTTTTTTTAAATGTACATTTTTCTGGTTAAGGAATTTCCCTTCTATTCCTAGTTTATGAGAGGTTTTTGTTTTTGTTGTTGTTGTATTTCATTTTTGTTTTTGTTTAAAATGGATATTGGGTTTTCTCAATTGTCATTTCCATGTCTTTATTGAGATAACCATATGGCTTTCATATTTTAGTGTTTCATATGATGAATTATTTTTAACCCAAACTGAAAGTATTCAACTTTTGATTGAATTGTTTGGCCCATTTACAAGTCATGTGATCATTGATATGATCAGGCTTAAGCTGAGAATCTTACATTTAAAAAAAAAAAAAATTTTCTGGCCGGGCATGGTGGCTCATACCTGTAATCTTAGCACTTTGGGAGGCCGTGACAGGCAGATCACCTGAGGTCAGGAGTTCGAGAGCAGCCTGGCCAACATAGTGAAAACCCATCTCTCCTAAAAATATAAAAATTAGCTGGGTGTGGTGGCGGGTGCCTATATTCCCAGCTACTCACTGAGGCAGGAGAATCACTTGAACCTGGGAGGCGGAGGTTGCAGTGAGCAGAGATCACGCCACTGCACTCCAGCCTGGGGTGACAGAGTGAGACTCAGTCTAAAAAAAAAAAAAAAAAAAATCCATGTGTTCTTTGCCATTTTTTTCTGCTATCTTTTGTGGTTATGGAGTTCAATTGTATTTACCTTTTTTGACTTATTACATATAACCTTTTGTTTTGTTATATTAGAGGCTAATCTAGGTAGGGTTTACAGTATACCTCTTTAACTTTTCACAGTCTATTTTCAACTTGCATTATCCCATTTCACCTATAGTATATGCATTTTACAATATGCTAATTTCTAGTGTCCAATATTTATAATAACGTTTTCATAGATTTTACTTATTCATATGTTATAAACTCCACAATAATTATTCTTTTACAGAAAGCTACTTTTTAAAGATATTTAAATAATTTAAAAATTCCATATTTACCCACTCATTTACTGTTTCTGGTCCCCTTTGGTTTTTATGTTGCTCCATATTTTCATCTGCCATCATTTTCTTTCTGGCAAAAGATTTTCTTTAATACTTTTTGAAGTATGGGTCTGGTAGTAATAACCATTTTAGCTTTGTATGTCTGAAAAAGTTTTTATTTTGTCTTTATTTTTGAAAGATTTCATTGAACATAGAATTCAAGCTCAATTTTTCTTTTCTGCTTTTTGTTGTTGTTGTTGTTGTTTGGTTCGTTAAAGATGTTGCACTACTGTCTTCTTGCCTGCATTGTTTCAGGAAGGATCCAGCTGATATCCATCCCTTTGAACTTCTGGGTACACCATGTCTTTATTTTCTGGATGCTTTTATAGTACTATCCTATTTTTGAGTGATTTGATTATAATTTACACTGATATCATTCTATTTATATTGCTTGTACTTGAACATTGCTAAGTTTCTTGAATCTATGGGTTTATAGTTTTCATCAAAATGGAAACAATTTTGGCCCATTTATTTTTCAAATATTTTTTCCTGTAATTCTCTCTCTCTCTTTTGGGATCTCCAATTAAACATATATTAAGCATCTATGCTGCTCAATGTTTTCCCACAATCCATTAATAGTATTTTGAAATTATTTTTTTCTTCTCAGTCTTAGTTTTCAAAATTTCTGGTGTTATACATCCAAGCTCACTAATCTTGTCTTTTAGAATATCTAATCTGCCATTAGTAACATCTAGTATATTTTTTATTAAAGATATTCTGGTTTTAACCTGTACATGTTTAACTTGGATCTTTTAAAATATTTTTCCACATCTTCATATATTTTTTAATATATGAAATACACTGTCAATAACTATATTAGTGTCCTTTTCTGCTCATTTAACATCTGGTTTTGTTCTTGGCAAGTTTTTCTTGGTGAAATTTCTTACTCATTATGGGTTATATTTTTCTACCTCTTTGCTTTACTTGTAATCTTTTATTGAATGTCATACTTTGTAAAATTTATCTTTTATAAAATTTTATGAATTTTTTTCATTTCTACAGATCTTCATGGGCTTTGTTTTAGGATGCAGTTAAATTACCTGAAATTATTTCATATTTTTTATTCTTTCTTTTAATATTTGTTGGGAAATAGCAGAGCTGTAGTTAACTTACTGCTAATAGTTCTTCATCATTGAGACAAGATTCTTTTCTGTACTCCATCCAATGCCCCACGAATTATGAGGTTTTCTCATCTTTCTAAAGGGAACAGGCCAAATTCTCAGCTCTGTCTAAGTAAGCACTAGACACTTTTATATCTAATCTGAGACATTTATTTACCCGGCCTTGAGTGTTTACTTCTCATGTATGCAACAGTAGTATTCTGCCAAATACTCCAGGGATACCCTTCAGCTTTGTCTGGAGTTCTGTACCTATTGCGAATGTAAAAGATACCAGGATGAAATCACTTTTTGTCAGATCCAAACAGACTAGAGCTAAGAGAACATGAAGGGGAAAGGCTTATGCTTGCCTGTCTGAGATAAAGACTATCTTGATAACTTTCTAAAATAATCTCACAAAAAAAAATGCTTTCTTAGGACTACAATCATTCAGATAAGGTGCTGTCAAGAGAATGTTTGCCCAGTAACCATCTCCAGCAGTGAACTGACGCCAACTGTGGCTTTGTGTCTCTGAAACCAGTGAAATCTATTTCCAAGCAGCTTATGTAAACTTCTCCTTTTGCCAATAGAAGCTTCCTTTTACCATCTCCTCTTCAGTTGCACATGTGTTTTGGCAGAGCTGTGCATCTCAGGTTATAATCCTCATTTCTCATTCCTGAATACATTCAACATATTTAGTTTTTTTTTTCTGTGATTTTTGTTGTTGTTGTTGACACTGTATGCTCTTTAATCTCCTGTACTTTGTTCTGTGAACCCTCATTGCCTTGACTCCACAGAATCTCAGCCCCATCTCTTCATCTCAGGGAGTCTTTCAAGCTTCACTTCAGTTTCCTGTTCCTGACACTGGACATTTTCTCAAGGCACTAAACTAGGGTAATCGCAGTACTCACTTAATTTTTCTCCCACCTCTCAGTGATCACTTTCCCTTTTGGTCTTCAATTTTTGGTTGTTTCCAATAAGGAAATGAATCTTACACCACTTACTTTATTGTCTGGAAGGATAAATCTTTAATGCTTTACTGATAACCTAATTGTATTATGAAAGTAATAATAATTACAGCTATTTAAGCAAGAATATATATTCCTCTTTGGTAAAATATAATGAACTCTGTACACATTGATATTGTAGAATGTTTCAAAAATCCCCCAAAAGCTTGTGTTCTGGTCCTTAATGTGTATTTCCTTACAACCCGTTTTATACAGCGTGGCTAGCATTCTGATTTGCTTCTCACAACAACTTTGTAGTGTTCATGAGAAGAAAACCATTGACTGATAAATTCCTATTAGATGAACTATTTTGGTAGCAAGTCCAGTGTCAATCACATATCAGAAAAGAACCCCAGAACACTTGCATAATGAAGAAGCAAAGTTTATATTTTGGCCCAGACCCTTTAAAAATTACATGACTTCCATGACATTGTATTTTCATAGATAGAATAGGTATAAAACATAAAATGCTATAGTTATTAGTATAGACTCTTGTTCAAAATGGAATTTTGCGAAGATGTTTTTACATAAGCTACTAAATAAATTGAATTATGAAAGAAATTTTGGGAACAAAATTGAAGTGTCCTTGACAGAGAACTATGATAGAGATTAGTACAGTTGGAAAGCAGTAACTTCATTATTGAGATAGACAAAGAAGGAAAAGACTAGAATAGTAGAATATTTAAGAATAAAGAATATAGGTGGACTCATATTAAAAACAAGAATTTACTTCAAAATCCACTTATTTTCAATACATGAAAAGTGTCTCACTCTTAAAACACATAGAAAATAATTCAGAACTTATATAAACAACAATAATTTAAAAATTTTTGAAAAGTTAGAGTTGTAATATAAAACCTTTGTTTTAAATTTAATTGTTACCTTTAAGGGATAAACACATTATATAATGATACGCTTTAAAAAATATTTCATATGATACAGGTGTGTTTATATATGATCTAGGTTCCTCTTTCAGTACTATATTTAATTTTGGCTTTCTTGATATGTGTGGCAAAGAGGGAAATCTCTTAGTTCATATTTACTTTATTTAAATAAAATTTAATTTAAGAGTTTTTTTCTGGCACTAAATGTTTAAATCAACTTATTTACATGAAAATACACATACATACATATACACAGTATACATTATATGCAATAACTTATAAAATGTACATATTCACATAAATGTTGTAACTTATCAGGAACAGAATCAACTTCGTAAATTTAACAAGAAGAATAACCTTACCTCATGTCTCATCAAGAAAATAGGTATAATATTCCTTGGCTTTTCTCCTTTATTTTTTCAAAGGCTTTAAAACTATAAAAGAAGATTTTATATCATTTAAATAAAAAACTATAATGTCTAATCACAGTATCTCTTGTTGGTTAGAGTACTATAAAAATAAGTAAGGATAAATTCATAAAATATATTTCAAAGATTCTCCACTTTTTGTATTTTTATAAACTTGACCATCTAAAAATCCTTCCAGAATTTCAAGTCCTCCTTCTTAAATATGATTTATGGAAAAATTAGGAGATGAAAATTTGTTCTAGCATAATTTCATTATTTCACTTTGCTCTTTGGGCCTGAACATCTAAACCTCCTAAAAAGACATAATGGAGTTTAGGTTGCAACAACTGGGGAAGCCAACTGGTAAAATTGGTCTTTATCGGAAGGATATAGGGGCCTCAGGGCCAAATTCTAATGATATCTCTTTGCTTCCCTTTCCCTACAGTTCAAAAACCATTTTTTAAAATTCTACAAGTGTATATATTTTGAGGTCTATTTTATTTGCATTTATCACAATTTTATATTAACCTCAATATTAAACATTTTAGAATGCATTTTGTTGTTTTGACATTGAGACATCTAAGTCGTATAACCTACATATATTTTTCTTTAAATGTTCATGTGGTACAGATGAGTGTACACAAATATAAATTGAGGGTTAAACTTGAGTTTAATTTTAAGTATGGAATTGATAGCAAGTGAGTTTTTTTTTAAATTAAACTACACTTTCTAATTCTTTGATTTGATCTTAATGATTTGTTATTCAACCTAAAACTCTGTCATTAAATAAAACATCCTGTTAAAATCTAATTAATCCTGAAAAAAGGTTCAGGATGGGGCAAAGGTTGTCCAAAGCAATACACTAAAGTTGTTAGAAAATTACTTTTCCTTCTTCTGAAAGTGAAGAGTGAAGTCAATATGGAAATTATAATTTATCTTGCTGCTCCAGTTATTTTAATACATTATTTGGTTGAAAAGCAATAAACGTTTGGTTTTGTCTAAATTTCGATGTCCAGATTGGTAAACAAATTACTGATGAAAAAATTCTGACTACCCTGGACTCAAAACACCATTTCTGTAAAAACGGTGCCTTTGTAGCTGATTAGGTCTATATAAGGAATACTGACATTTTAAGGAAGAAAACATCAATGAATGGGTCGAGAAATATTAGAGACTCTTAGAGGTGTGAGGTTGGATTTGATCTAAAGTTGAAAACAGTCCAATTCTTTTTCTCTTATCTTTAAAAAATACCAAACTACACAGAGCAAAGAGTAAAGGTAATTTGTGCAGATCTTGATTCTGAGATACTTACTAAATAGCAATGCTGTAACAGAAAAATACAGCTTCAGTATCTCTTTCTCCAGGATGCTTAGAGTCTCTAGAGAAGGAAAAGGTCACCACTAAGTTGTTATCTGAATTTATTTTCTCTCTCCAATTCCTTAGCACATTTTACTATTTGAATTTAAATCTAGGAAATTCTATTGTCCTTGAAAGACAAACAAGTACAGAATTTTATTTTCACATGCACAAAAAGGGCATTATGTGCAGTATTTATTGGTTAAATAAATAGTTGGTATTTGAAATTCATGTGGGGCCATCTTCTCTGAAGTTTGTTTAATAACTCAAAGTAAACCAGTGATAAAGAGAGCAATGCACTGGGTGAATTGTTTATTAATTGTGTTAATAGAATTTAATGAAGGGATTTGGTTGTATAATATATAGCATGTTTTATAATGAAAGTGGTTTTATCTGAGTAATTAAAGTTTAAGTTATCTATCACAATATGATGGATTATTTATCTTAAGATTGTCTACCAATTTATAAATGCTGTTCCTATGCTTTAAGCAGCTATATTAGTAATATGGTACGTCTCTGGAAAAAATAATCAGAAATTGACACAAATAGAAAATAATTTTTATGAGCACAGTCCTCAATTACCCTTGTATTTTTATTAACACCATACCAAAAAATAAGTCAGTAATATTAATATACCCATCATGTCTACAGCTACTGGTTAAGTTGGGTTCATTGTTATTAGAAAGACTTCATAGTAATATTTTTCACTTATTTTTTATATTTTGACAATTAGGAACAATTTTTTTCTTGGACAAATATTTTCCCCAAATACTACATAAAATAAATTTCTCATTTCATTTGTTGGAACATTCTCTAAAATCAGTATCTAAATGCTTTACTACAGAAAATGTCAATTCTTAGAATTAGTAGTATCTATTTCCAGTTAGAACACACAACCATTAATTGTACTAGACATTTTCAGTGTTATTTCTTTCCATAGTAAGTAAAATAATTGATTCAGATTAGTGATAGGCGATTTATTCATGAAAATATTCAACAATGAAACAATACACATCATACCTGTACTAGAGAGGAGTCATCTCTTTGATCTGATCGTTGTTTCACCCATTATGTCATTCAGCCCGACCCTTGTTTTTCTAGACTAAAAAATGTCCCAGTGCTTTCTTGTAAAATGTATCTAAGCTTACCTCTAGGGAACATTTGATGCCTTGATTCAAGGTAGCCTCAAACTATGCTGCAGGAAAGAGCTTCTCAATCCATTGGGATCTGATATTTTAATATATACAATAAAAATGAATTACTAGAAAAGAAAAAAAGATAAAAACATTCACAAAAAATCCATTTTAAAATTTTAGATTCAAAATTACATTAAAAATGATGAAAATCAGAATATAACATATATAAAGAATTATAAAAACTACTGATGTTATTCAATCAAAGTATGTGAAAAAGTGATTAATAGATAAAAGATGAAAAATGATTACTTACTAAACACCTATGCACATGTTGAATGAATGATGTGTATATGAAGGTTTAAAATTTTCTAGGTTGTTAATGTTTAATTTAGGCTGGATTGAAAAAATCTGCTACTCTCAGGGGAAATGTATATCTGATTTGTTTCTGTTTTATTGTACTAATATTTATAGTAGAAAAACTATTCTTTCAGAGGCACATTGATGAAAATTAAAAGGAAATTTTTAAAGCAACTTAAGAACCTTCAGAATAGTCACTTTATTGAATTTCTCTTTTAATTCGATAAGAATTCAGTGATGTTACACGTTCATTTTCAGTCTTTCCTCAGTCACTAAAATTATAGTTCAGTTTAAATATCTTTCAACCAAATAATTTTGTCATTGTATCTATTTTGTACTTATTTTTGCATTTAGCAAAGTAACTTTAAAGCATTACACATTGTAAATTGATTCTGGTACATAGCTCCCACCACTTTTGACTTTGACAGCATCCTGACTGGTCTATATTTCATTCATTGAGACAAGCCCACTGATACCATTCTGGCCTATTGCACCGATGTCAAGTTGCTATAAACGTTTCCAAACTCCTACTTTCAATTTCTGCTCTTAAGTCATCATGGAAAATGAATAAACAGTTAGTAGTCACCAGAGAGGATCCACAAATGACATTTTGTGTAGCACTGTTCTAGGAAGTAACACCTGTTAAAAGATTTATATAAACTTTAGTGGAATCACAAATTTTAAAGTACTACTCCTCTGATGATTACGGAAAGATTCTTAGGATCTTGCAATGCCTCAACAAAATTAATGGAGGTTTTTACCTCTGTGTGTGTGGATATTTAAAGTTTTTAACATGTTTATTTATCAAATCTAGGTTGAATTGATAACAGTATTTCTCTCAAGTGATGCTACTATCTCTCTAGATATGTCTAAGTTTTCCTGAGTTTATTAATGCCTTTTGCTCTGTAAAAATTGAAAAGAAACAAAAAATACTGTCCCTCACATAACTCCCCCCCAAAAAGTTGTGACATTAATCTTATCAGCCCTCTTCAGCAAGGAGGAAAGAGGAGAATTAAGAAAGTCATCTACTAAAATTACTAATAACTTGTGCCAATATTTTTTAAAAATCAAAAGAATGGGCATCAAAAGTATGGACTCTAACTTTATCAAGTTCAGGTTCCCTTTCATATAAGCATGACAACAAGCAGGATATGGTAAGAATGAAATGAGGACTCATGGGCACATATTTTGTGAATGCTGGTTGCAGGGACCTCAAAGAGGTTGAGAGACACGTGAAGCACAAATAAACGCTGTTTATTATGCAAGATAATCACACTTCTTTTATTTACAATTCCCATTCCAAGGGAATCTTATTTCTTAATCTCTAACCAAATTCTCATAAAACTTTGCCCCAATCCCTTTGGAAAGTGAAGCACTTTTTGCCGAATTACCTCCTTGCAGGTGGTTTTGTTTAAATACATTCCATTAGCAAGAGGAGGAGGTTAGTAACGGTATTAGTCTCCAAAAATGGCCCGGCCATACATATTGCATTCTGGGGTTGCAAATTTTTAAGGCTTCAAATTTTTTCTTAAGTCACCAGTGTCTGCATTATCAAACAAAGCCTGCTTCTAATAGCTACTTGGTATATTTCACTTTTATTAATAGAGCACTTATGTATCCATAATATAAAATATAAGTGTAGATATTATAAATACATAAATGTATATACTTATGTATATCTGAATGTAATATAGACAAAGGCAAAGATTTATATATAGATATAGAGGGATGGATAGATACATGTATAGATAAATATGAATAAGTATAGATATTTAGCCTGATATAGTTCTCTAGTATAAGATACCATTCAGATTAGCAATGCATATCAAGATCAATTGGGAGGTAAAAGTACACTTCTTTTGTTTAGAAATCATGTACGATGGATGATAAAACACAAAGAATTAAATTTTCAAATCAAACTCACACAAATCAGTGCTGTCATTATGCCTCACTGATAGAAGTAATTACAAGGCACTAGAGAAGCAGAAAGAAAGGAACAACCACTAACATAGCTCCACAGGTCCTTCTTTACTGTATCCAAATATACTCTGCCCAAATAAATGTGTTAATTCCCAAATATATATATGCGTCTACATTTCAAAACAGAAAATAAGCATTTTGGTCATGAAACACTTGTGTTTTATAAACATATAGTTACATAGCATTTATGACATTTTCCTGAGTGTATAAATGTATACATTCCAGGTTACCATAAGCAACATTAGACTAGGTCCAAAGTATTAAAAGCATTCCATAGAAATCTCCTACTAGGAAATACCACTAGTGCATTTTCCAGTAGATCTGTCATCTGGTACAGATATGTAAACATGCTATGTGATTTTTTTAAAAAAAATTTATTTATTTATTTTTAATTATTTATTATACTTTAAGTTTTAGGGTACATGTGCACAACGTGCAGGTTTGTTACATATATATACATGTACCATGTCGATGTGCTGCACCCATTAACTCGTCATTTAACTTTAGGTATATCTCCTAATGCTATGCCTCCCCCCTCCCCCCACCCCACAACAGGCCCCAGTGTGTGATGTTCCCCTTCCTGTGTCCATGAGTTCTCATTGTTCAATTCCCACCTATGAGTGAGAACATGCGGTGTTTGGTTTTTTGTCCTTGTGATAGTTTGCTGAGAATGATGGTTTCCAGCTTCATCCATGTCCCTACAAAGGACATGAACTCATCATTTTTTATGGCTGCATAGTATCCCATGGTGTAGATGTACCACATTTTCTTAATCCAGTCTATCATTGATAGGACATTTGGGTTGGTTCCAAGTCTTTGCTATTGTGAATAGTGCCACAATAAACATACGTGTACATGTGTCTTTATAGCAGCATGGTTTATAATCCTTTGGGTACATACCCAGTAATGGGATGGCTGGGTCAAATGGTATTTCTAGTTCTAGATCCCTGAGGAATCGCCACACTGACTTCCACAACGGTTGAACTAGTTTACGGTCCCACCAACAGTGTAAAAGTGTTCCTATTTCTTCACATCCTCTCCAGCACCTGTTGTTTCCTGACTTTTTAATGATTGCCATTCTAACTGGTATGAGATGATATCTCATTGTGGTTTTGATTTGCATTTCTCTGATGGCCAGTGATGATGAGCATTTTTTCATGTGTCTTTTGGCTGCATAAATGTCTTCTTTTGAGAAGTGTCTGTTCATATCCTTTGCCCAATTTTTGATGGGATTGTTTGTTTTTTTCTCGTAAATTTGTTTGAGTTCATTGTAGATTCTGGATATTAGTCCTTTGTCAGATGAGTAGGTTGCAAAAATTTTCTCCCATTTTGTAGGTTACCTGTTCACTCTGATGGTAATTTCCTTTGCTGTGCAGAAGCACTTTAGTTTAATTAGATCCCATTTGTCAATTTTGTCTTTTGTTGCCATTGCTTTTGGTGTTTTAGACATGAAGTCCTTGCCCATGCCTATATCCTGAATGGTATTGCCTAGGTTTTCTTCTGGGGTTTTTATGGTTTTAGGTCTAACATTTAAATCTTTAATCCATCTTGAATTAATCTTAGTATAAGGTGTAAGGAAGGCATCCAGCTTCAGCTTTCTCCATATAGCTAGCCAGTTTTCCCAGAACCATTTATTAAATAGGGAATCCTTTCCCCATTGCTTGTTTTTGTCAGGTTTGTCAAAGATCGGATGGTTGTAGATGTGTGGTATTATTTCTGAGGGCTCTGTTCTGTTCTATTGGTCTATATCTCTGTTTTGGTACCAGTGCCATGCTGTTTTGGTTACTGTAGCCTTGTAGTATAGTTTGAAGTCAGGTAGCGTGATGCCTCCAGCTTTATTCTTTTGGCTTAGGATTGACTTGGCAATGCGGTCTCTTTTTTGGTTCCATATGAACTTTAAAGTAGCTTTTTCCAATTCCAATTCTGTGAAAAAGTCATTGGTAGCTTGATGGGGACGACATTGAATCTATAAATTACCTTGGGCAGTATGGCCATTTTCACGATATTGATTCTTCCTACCCATGAGCATGGAATGTTCTTCCATTTGTTTGTATCCTCTTTAATTTCATTGAGCAGTGGTTTGTAGTTCTCCTTGAAGAGGTCCTTCACATCCCTTGTAAGTTGGATTCCTAGGTATTTTATTCTCTTTGAAGCAATTGTGAATGGGAGTTCACTCATGATTTGGCTGTTTTTTTGTTATTGGTGTATAAGAATGCTTGTGATTTTTGCACATTGATTTTGTATCCTGAGACTTTGCTGAAGTTGCTTATCAGCTTAAGGAGATTTTGGGCTGAGACGATGGGGTTTTCTAAATATACAATCATGTCATCTGCAAACAGGGACAATTTGACTTCCTCTTTTCCTAATTGAATACCCTTTATTTCTTTGTCCTGCCTGATTGCCCTGGCCAGAGCTCCCGAATAGGAGTGGTGAGAGAGGCCATCCCTGTCTTGTGCCATGCTATGTGATCTTTTTTTTTTTTCCTAGAGGGCAACTCTCTGGTAATAGAAAAGAATGGTTTGCAAACCTCTTGCTTAAATATTTCTTTCTCACTGAGAAATAAGTAAAGTGTAAGCAGGAAATATGAATCTTTGAAGAGGTTCAATAATGTCAGCTAAGTCTACTTGAAAGAGATATGGAAAAAATTAAATTGAAAAACTGAAACTGATTTTTATTGTTCAAATGATGACTTTATTCTTATATGTACACATGCAAATATATACAGACAGGCATACTCACAGACACACATCACTATACCATTTTCAAATTACCTAAGGTGAACACATGACAATCTCAAAGAATACAAAATTAATCTGAAGACATTTGTCCAAGATGTATATAAAGAAATTAAAAAGTGAATTAATATAAACAAAAATATCTTGATTTTGACTGAAGAAAGGTAAAATTTTAAATTGCAACTATGTTTCATGCTAAATAATCTTAAAAACACAAAATCTTAGTAGAGAATAAGGCATATGTACATATGGCTTCTTAATTTGAAAGTAATTTAAAAATAATTTTTATTAAAGTATTATTGGTAGTTTTGAAAAGTATAAATACTAAAGAGAATATTAAGAAACTATTTGTCATAAGATTATGACATTACAGCTATGCTGTTCTTTATACTTTATCTCAATTCTATAGAGAGCTCATGAACTATATCTTTCCCCAAATTATTTCCTATAGAACTGTTTTTTTCATCGTCTGTTTGGAAGATCACCTGCTTCGGAATCACCTAGGGTCAAGCAAAAAGCATATATCTAAATTCCAGATATTGAATTAAATCACTTTTGTGAGGTTCAGAAACCCTGTGCTTCAAAAATAATGAAACATGATTTTTTTGCAATCTGAAATATAAGAATCACTAGCATACACTCTAATCATAAATGAGAATACTATCACAATGCTATAAGCTAGTAATATAATGATTTGATTCCGTGATCCAAGGAAGGTGAGGTATGTAAATGGCTTACCACAGCACTCAAAAGTATGGATGCTGAAAAATATGTTCATATTTTTCTCAACAGTATTAAAATTTTCCTGAAATAACTTAAAGATAAAACAAGTACTTTCATTGATGAGTCAAATGTAAGCAGTACATTTTGTCAAGGTCAAATTAATAAAATGATATTATTATTTACCTTGATTCTAGAGATGAGAAAGTTTACATGGCAAACTCATTTTAAAAATGCCTCAAAATGTAGAACTGCAAGCTTGAGTATTACAGAGGGTACTAACAGGAAATATAATTTTAAAAAGTGAAAATAAACGTTATCTGACCCTTGTCCAAGAGATTTATTAGACTGGAACTTTCACTACAGTATTTTAAGGAAGAAGAAACACAGCTGGAGAAGTTACACAAAAGAAGTAAAAGTGATAAATATATACCTGTGGTTACAGTTTCAAAAGACAGAGTCTCGGAAGATTAAGACCATTCAGTAAGAAAAGATTAAAAACTAAGCGAGTATATAGATTAAGGTGTACTGATAAGGCAAAGAGTCATTAATCAAGAATTAACTGAATCCCAGAGAAAATGTGAATGTATTAAAGCAGAAGCACTATTTCAGAATCAATAAAATAAGCTTAATAGAAAATAAATATATAGAACATGTATTCTCAGTATTCAAATGTCAAATTTGAATTTTATGTGAATAAAAATTAAATTGGAGGTCTGCAAAATGTTCAAAGAAATACAAAACCACTATATACCTTAAATTCTTAATAGGTCAGCATAACGTAGGATACTTAATAAATAAATCATAAATTGCTTAAAATATCACAAATACATTTCCAGGAGGGAAATGTCAGTAGACTGGCTAAAGCATAAGTTTGAAACTTAATTTAATAGGCATTTTTGTAGCTTGTTAAGCAAATACAATTTTTCGAGTTAATTATCAGTTTATTTCCCAATGGTTAGTGATCAAGACAGTCATAGTGTTCTCTTCAGCTGAACTAAACTTCAGTCAGGATTCTTCCTTAGTATTAGCCCCTGATTTCTCTTTTCTTAGTACTTTTACTTCATAAAGCTTGAAATTGTGAAGTCTTTCTCTGCCGCTTCGGGATAGAAGCCTCCTCCCAGCCCTTTGGCAGTTTTAAAATTTAAATAATGTTTCTTCCAAAGACCTGGCACCCATCCCTTTGAAAGGATACCATCAAGAAACCTAAGAGCTCTATCTACTCTTCTGTGCTCAGATTCAGAGAAAAACAAAACAAAACAAACATAAGGGCTCTATCTCCCAGACTCTGTGAGACTGGAAGACCCTAATTCACTAAGTGCCAATTAGCAAACCTGATTGCTTTAGCACATTGACGAACCTCTCCCAAAGTCTTTTCATTAGCTCACCCCAGAACTCAGTGTTGTTGAGTTCAATTCCTCTCACCAATTGCATTGGACAAATATATTGACACCGATATTAGCATAATAATTAGGTATGCTAGCATTTACTTATTTGTTATCAAGTATATCAAGTGCAAGTTAACAAATTATCCAGTTGCTCTAAAGAATACCTATAATAATAAATTATGCTTTAAAGTATATTAAAAAGGAATGTAGCCAATGTAATTTTTTTTTTTTCTTCTTGAGACACAGTCTTGCTCTGTTGCCCAGGCTGGAGTGCAGTGGCACGGTCTCGGCTCACTGCAAGCTACACCTCTAGGGTTCAAGTGATTCTCCTGCATCAGCCTCCAAGTAGCTGGGACTACAGGCACACATCACCACGCCCAGTTAATTTTTGTATTCTGGGAAGAGACGAGGTTTAACTATGTTGCCAGGCTGGTCTCAAACTCCTGGCCTCAAGTGATCTGCCTGTCTTAGCCTCCCAAAGTGCTGGGATTACAGGCGTGAGCCACCATGCCTGGCCCGATGTAATTTAAATATTTCCTATGCTCCAAGAGCTTTGTATTAAAACATGTAATGTCAGATAGGTGCAATTATCTTTTTTAATTTAAACACCACTTAAAACATATAGTTAAGAGTTGTTAATATTATATGTCATTAGAAATAATCCAATATTGTGATTAGGAATATTATAGTACATCAGTAGGAATAATCAATTACAATTTTTGTCATCTATACTAAAGGTATGTAATCTCATGTTCTGTGTAATCAGTATCAAAGGATCCCCAAATTGTTTCTGTTTATGGAGGTAAGAAAAAAAAGCAACATTTGCAGATCTGCACCCAATTTCTTACATTAAGAAAATTTTGGAATGTTCTAAAAGCTGTGCTGTAGCATATATCATTCCCCAATACCAGGAGGCATTAGATAAAATGATTAAATCCCCATCAATCACTCCATGTGGCAGCAATAACAATGCCAGTGGAACAGAGCATTGTCACAAGATTAGTGCCTCCTGCTTTGAGAGTAAACATCGTGGCTTTACTTCATTTATTTTTCATAACTTCCCTGCCTTTGACTCAGCATTTAAGAAGCAGTAGGAGACTATTTTCTAATGATGTTCAATGTCATTTAAGTATTATATTTAGAGATCAAAAAAGTGCATAATAATTCTGAAGCATTGCTAAGATTCTAAAATACTAAAGTATCTGAAGAGCTTAATAAATTAGAAACAGTTTGGGAAATTATGAAACTGACTTTGATTAACCAATTATTTATGCATTTGAAGATTACTCTTAAATCCACAGAAATTCCTCTTAATCATCAAATACGTTCAGATTTAGTTTCCTGCCTGGCGTTAGCCCCTGGGGAATATCCAATTAATCTCCTTGTTATCTTATCTATTTGAACATAAAGCATGCAGCTTTGGACAATATACAAGGCAGTAAACAAAGACACAAAAAGTACTTAAGGTTTTCTAAAGGTGAATCTGCTGGCAAATATTATTGAACACTCCATCAGTCAGGACTGCAGAAAACGGAAACTGGCCAAAACACTTCTAACAAAAAAATGATTGAACTCAGGGACTCAGAAGGGACAGAGGAGTGCAAATTAGGACACTGCCACTAGACCTTTGGCTTTTAGGCCTCACCACCACCACTGCTACTACCCAAGGTCAATAAAATGTCCAGGTTGCATATGCCACAGTCATGACACTGGTGACTGGGCAGTACTCACTTCTTCCACAGATTATCTGTCTTCCTGCAGCATCTGAAAGACGCTATCAGCCATTCTATTGTCTAATTTTCACACAAGTGTGTCTAATTAGCAAATTCTAATTTACATTTTGTATCATAGCTACAAATTAATCTGGGGTTTTTATTTCTAACTCTATTGTCTTTGAATAGAATGAGAGTGGAATGAAGGTGAGAGAAATAATCCAAATATCTTTCACCATGACCTACTAACTGTATGCAGAAAGCTTTACTGTCTGCAATATAGAGGAAGACTTGGAGACAAGTGATCATTTCATTGTAGTGTTTTCTGACCTCAAGGTGACTCCCCAAGAACGTACCTGAATGACTGGGGCTGTTTGTTCCATTTCCAATTCTTCAAAAATTTTTATCCATAGTTAAATTCAGAAGCTCAGCAAATTAAGGCAGTAATATCAAAACTAATAACTTTATGAAATCTTGATGAAAAACAGAATTCAAAACTAGAAGACTCATGTTTCATCTTGCCTTTGCATTAACTTACTGTTTGATCTAGGCTGGTAAGGCAATCTTTTTAGGCCTAAATTATCTCAGGATTCAACTTACATTGCTATAACCTACTAGATTCTACCAGTAGCTGGAGGAATGTTGGAGAGATTAAAGTATTGTACAAGATTCTTCCCTCAAGAAATTACTATCTAGGAGAAAACATAGAGTATGTGATTAATGATTATATAAATGGAAGTACAAGGTGATTAGGATGATAAATTTATTCTGAGATTTTGGGAAGGTAACATGAGGGTTACATTCTGAAATGGGTCACAAAGACATTTAAATAAGAAGTAAGTACATAGACAAGTGGGAAGGCCAGTAAAATCACAGCACAAAATTTACTCTCTCGTATTGTTTCCTCCTATTCCCTAAGCACTAAACATGACCAAATTTTACTCATTCTTTAAGACACAAGATAAGAAAATTTCTACAGTGAGGCTTTCCTCAGTGTCTAATTTATATCCCCATGTGAAAATTTTTGAAAGCATCTTTTCCTTGCTCTTTTAAACACTCATCATATTTTCATCTTTAGGGTCTGACTTAGTCATTAGACCTTAAGCTCTTTCAGGGCAGGAAGGGTGTTTACATTTACTGGATCCCCAGCCCCCAGATATGATGCCATGCTTCTTACTCTGAGCTTCAAAAAACGTTTGTTAATTAAATATATGAGTGGGTGATTTTTTTTTCTGAAGATTAAGAGAATAAGGAACAGAATGATAATATGGTAGCAGGAGATATAAATGGAAAGGTCTGTTGCAGGAATGTTATAAGTGCGTTGTAAAACAAGGACTTTCGATTATATTCAGTAGGCAAAGGAGGGCTTACAAGATTGGTAAGCAGGAGAAAGTGATTCTATATGATATATGTATAACTGGGTGGCTGGTGAGAAATATATTGATTTATTAACTTCTTTGTATGTCCAAATTGAGGAAATTGGCATTTGTGAATTGTGGAGGATGTCAGCAACTGGAGGAAGACAATAAATTACTTGTGGAAGAGAATTCCTGGGTTTGGGAAAAAATGACTATGGTGGGTATTTTGTTTAAGACTAATTTAAAGTCAGTGCTTGCTCATCATTCCTGGAGAAAAGTGAGATGTCGCTATAAATCTGGATTCAGAGGCTAAAGACTGAGAGATATTGATGTGTTTTGTTGAGAAGCTTATATTAAGTTTGTGTTTAGCCATTCTGTGCCCTTGAAGAATTAGAGAAATGCTTTTTATAACTATGCATTAGGTCAGATATCATTTAAGATGTAATTGATTTAAATAATAGTATTTAAGAAGTAAAAATCTAGACTTCGAGAAATGCACTATCAATGACTCTAATATTTTATTCTGGTTTCTCAAAGTCAGCCATTTGATGGGTATAGGTTATTTCCTCTGGGGATCATGAATTTCCTTACTTGAAGTACTTTTGCAGTAGAACGTGGGCATCATATCTAGAAATTCAGGGAAGGATTCTTCTTTGAGAAAGAGCCATAATAATAAGTTTGGATTGTTACATTAAGGATGATGAGAGTCTCAAATGATTTTGAGCAGAAGTATGAAGTGATGCATATTACAAGTCTATTCAGGCTGTTGGGTGATGAGTAAATAGAATTTAGGAGGATATGTGGAAATTCAGATTCACTGTGGGAGACAATGACAGCAGCTTAGTTCAGCATTGCATGTGATTACTGTAAGATGGTAACCATAATGGTGGTAAAGAATGTCAGAATTTGCAAACTACTTTGAAGTTAGATTCTACATTAATATACATACACATTTTGAGCTGAAGTTGTTTGAATGTATACATTTCCTTTTTAGCTGTTTTGTTTAGCAATCAATTAACTCATGAATATTTATTACTAAAATAATTTTAGGAAGTACCCTTTTTAGCTTGCAGTATGTTTTCCCCTTTATTACTTCTTTCCAACCTATTATTCTTTATTCATTAAATGCCTGGGTTTCTAAGGGTTTGCTTTTCAGCCCACATCCTTTACTAGCTGGAAATAATATTCTCTGGAAACCTCATATTGATCAATAAAGTCAACAACCACCCAAGTGCCTACAGAATCTAAAATCTCTGTTCTGTTCGGTTTTCTGTTCTGCATTCCATATGCTTATGTACAAATGCCCATTAGTGCTTTGCATTTTGTGCTGGCAGTTCTCTGTTTGAACATATTCTGTGAGTTGAGAGACTGAATTCTATGGACTCAGTAACTTCGGGCTCCCTTGCTCCCAGACTACCGATGACCAATGGAAGCATTGTGAGAGACTGAGGAATATAGGAGAGAGAGATCATCATATCTATGTCTGCAGAGATGTCAGAATGTTTATTCTTACCTGCTGTGAAAAGGTTTGCCAGTAGCTGAGTTGATTAAGTTTATAGTTCCTTTGAGGCACCCTCACTCCTGGGACTGCTGCAAGTCCAACTGTGTGCTGACAGTGTCTTCCTCCCTGACCTGTAGATCCATGAGATGATAATGACTTCTTTTGTTTCCTAATGACTGAGTGCTTTATCTTCCCTAGTTCCATTCATCTTGACCCTAACTTTGTTAATAATCCTTTAATTTAATATTGTCAATTACTCGGTAGAGCACATTTTAGTGAACTTTTCCTGTAAAAGGCAGATAGTAAATATTTTAAACTTTGCAAGCCAAGAGTAAAAATTAAGCATATTATAAAAATTATTGTATATAAATAAAATCTTCCATTTTGGGACAGTAATACAATATAATATCAATGTGGTATGTTTTTATCATGAAGTTCTATTAACAATAGAGTGGGATTAGTTTTTATTAGTGGAGATAACATTGCCCAATTGGATTTTATATTTGGTATTTTGTGTTATTGAATCGAATAGAAATGTTTATCTATAAGATGTTCATCTGGAAAAACCACTGTTATTCATTGTTCCATTAAAAAAAAAAAACATGTGGAATGGCCTGATTTGGCCTGCAGGCCATAGTTTGCTAAAACTAATATGGCAAAACAAATTACATAATTAATTATATATAATATAACTAATCAAATCATATAATAAATTAATAAATGTGTACATATGTAACCAATAAATATTAAGTTGGTAGTAAATATATTAATACAGAAGTATAAAATGTTAATTATATAATTAATTTAATTATGGTGGTTTGCTATCAACTGAAATATTTATTGATCACCTAATATGTGCAAGGTTTTGACAATATAGCACTGAAAGTAACACAGTTCCTGCTCTTGTTCATTAGTAATTGCTGTATTTTACAAATGGTTCGAAAGTAGGGTAAAAACAAGGTAGTAACTGGGGGCCTAAACAGGTCTGGCAGTAAGAGGAGACTTCCTGCATAAAGTGAACCTCACTCAACATCCAAGTAGAATTCTACTTTTGCTATCTAATTTTGACTATTAAAAAAAATTCCTCAATAGACTTTTGTAAATGTACAGCCTTTTCACATACCATGCTGTTGCCTGACATATTTGCTGGCCTCTGAACTCACATTCACTCTTCAAGATTCATTTCAAAATTCTACCACACTTTGAAAATGTTCTTTTTATGACCTCTTTTATCTAAGTAAATTATAGCTTTCACCATGTTGTACTTTTATTTATTTATTTAGACTTTTCTTCTAACACATTGAGGTGAATTATATGTTATTTCTATGTCTACAGAGCTTAGCAAAGTTCCTCTCAGTCAGTAGGTCCTTGGTAATGTCAACACCAGCAATTCTAATACAACAATTATAAATAAAAATAAATATACTTTGGGATTAAGTTGTGCCAGTAAGTATGCTGTGTCTTATCCTGTTAAGTAGGTTCTAATTTTATTTTCATTTCATAGATAAGATATATGAGACAGACAGGTCAGATGGAGACCATTTGCAAAAAACCTAGTCAGAACTAATACTCAGGTGAAGTAAGGAGTCTGATATTTAACTTACTTTTGAAGCAAAATCCTAAAGAATTATTACAATGTGTAAATTGAAATGAAAAGAAAGATTCAATAATTACTTTAAGGCAGTATTTGAAATGAAAAACTACAAGGGTCTAGGCAGTAATGTGTCTTGCAGCCAGACAATAAATTGTTTTGGTTTCTGTCAGTCTGAAAATGACCATGGGTGAATATTTGCCAGGTAGGTATTCTGGATGTGAAACAAGTAGTCAAGTGTGGGTGTCACCTGCTTAGTAGGATAAATTATATTAGAATTCATTATGTTTCCCAGAAAGAGTATCAATGAGAATTTAAAAATAAATTGGATTCTCTGGAAATCGTAATATGTGTGAAGAATGAGTAGAAGAAAAAATGTGGGGGAGGGGTTAAATTTGCTGAAAATCTTCTATATTACAGTGATACTGATAGGTTATATCATCCAACTTTAACAACACTCTAAATATTATTTTAAAAATGAAGAAATTGAAACGTAGGCAAGTTAAATAATTTACCTTAAGAAAATGGCTGATCCCTGAATCAAAGCAAAGAGTGTGAGATCCGAAACTACATACTTCAGTAAGCCATGCGGCCCGTGATGTGTGTTTTTTCTACTGTAAGACAAAGAGGTTGTATCAGATACTCTCCAAGGACACTTTATAGCATTCTATAATACAGATCATAAGAGCTCACTTACACAGTTCTTACTATATGTCAGGTAATACGCTCAAAGTTTTAGAGATATTAATCCTTATTTAATCTTTATTTAACCTCATAATAATTGATATTACTGTTCTCATTTAAAATTTGCCAAACCTGATACATAAAGGTATTTGGTGACTTGACCAAATCTACATAGGTAGGACCAAGCATAATGGGTATTGATACCTAAGTAGTCCAAAGTTAGAGCCTGTGTTCTTGCTTGTGAAGCTATACCACTCTTCTTTGTAAACAGTTACTGGAGAATTGTTCTAATTCTTCATTTTGCAAATAGATGAATACAGTAAGGAGTACATTTTGGAAGAAAACATTTGTAGGACTTTGGAAGAAAGAAAACAAGAGAGAGAAAGTGTAGAATGTGGAAGACTGTAAAAGGCAATTTGTCCTGTAGAAATATCTAAATTTGGGGAAATTAAAATGGAGCCTATAGACTCCTATGTTCTCAGACTATATTTATTATTATATATATTGGCAATTCAAAAGCTTTATTTTCTGATATTTCATCCTGTAAGTTTATGTTCTTTATAAATATTTTGAAATCGTTTAATATTATTTTAATCTTGGACAATAATTCAGAAATATGTAGAGAATCATTAAAGTTCTGACTGTTGTTAATAACATAGGTACTTTTATGAAGCTAGAAGAGGAATGAGCAATGTGGTCTTTAAAGTTGATAACCATAAATTCATTATATCCATTACATTGTGTAACAGGTAAAAAGATTTTCATTTTGAGTAATTACTGTCAGTCTTCTCAGAAATCTGATGGAGATGTTCAAAAAGATTAATGTTTTCATGGCTGCTAATACAATATCTATTCTGCAACCTTGGGATCAAGGAGTAATTTTGACTTTCCATCTTTATGGGCTCCATTTTTATTATTGAAGAAATACATTTGGAAGGCTATTGCTGCCATAGATAATAATTCCTCTAATGGATCTGACCAAATAAATGGAAAACCTTTTGGAAAGAATTCGGCATTCTAGATGCCACTAAGAGTATTCGTGATACATGAATGGAGGTCAAAATACCAACATTAACAGAAGTTTATGAGAGTTAGGGTTAGTTGATTTCAACCCTCACAGAGGATTTTGAAGAGTTCAAGACTACACTGGAGAAAGTAACTGCAGATGTGGTGGAAATAGCAAGAGAACTAGAATTAGAAGTGGAGCCTGAAAATGTGACTGAATTTCTTCAGTCTTATGATAAAACTTGAATGGATGAAGAGTTGCTTCTTATGGATGTGCAAAGAAAGTGGCTTCTTGAGATGGAATCTACTGCTGGTGAAGATGCTGTGAACATTCTTGAAATGACAACAAAGGATTGAGAATATTACATCAACTCAGTTCATAAAGCAGCAGCAGGGTTTGAGGGGATTGACTTTAATTTTGAAAGAAGTTCACTGTAGGCAAAATGCTATCAAATAGAGAAATCTTTCCCTAATGGAAGAGTCAATCAATGCCACAAACTTCATTGTTGTCTTATTTTATTGTTTTTTTAGCAATAAAGTATTTTTCAATTAAGTTAGTATATTTTTTAGATATGATGCTATTGCATATTTAACAGACTACAATATGATATAAACGTAACATTATATGCACTGAGAAACCTAAAACTTTGTGTGACCCACTTCCATATTTGCTTTATTTTGGTGATCTGGAACTGAACTCTCAATATTTCTGAGGTACTCCTGTACGTTAAGAGTACATACGTATATGAGATACTCCTGTACGTTAAGGGTATATATATATATTATATATATATATAATATATATATATGATGTGTGTGTGTGTGTATATATATGTGTGTGCGTGTGTGTGTGTGTATATATATATATGCATTGTGAAGTAACATTTATGAAATAGGTATTTATGATTCACATGTTTCCTTTATTGTCAGCAGGGGATTGGTTTTAGGATGACCAGAGGCAGATAACAAAATCTGTGGCTGCTCACGTCCTTTATATAAAATGGCATAATATTTTCATGTAACATACAACCCCCCATATACTTTAAATTATCTCTAGATTACTTATCATACCTAATAAAATGTCAGTGCTGTATAAATAATTGCTATATACTGTATTGTTTTTTAATTGGTTGTATTTTTTATTGTTGTATTGTTACTTTTGAGTTTTTTAAATCTATGTTTGGTTCAATCCCACATGTGGATCCTGTACAAAATTGGGTTTATTAGATGGAAGAAGCCTATTTGGCCATATTTGAACTCTACCCATTTGGCCATTTGGGACTATCCTGAAGGTTTTTCTTTTAGAGGCAATGTTGAATATGGAAGAAGTTAATAGAAATAAATTCAGGGCAAGGCATGGTGGCTCACACCTGTAATCCCAGCACTTTGGAGGCGGAGGCAGGTGTATCACTTGAGGTCAGGAGTTCAAGACCAGCCTCGCCAACATGGTGAAGCCCTGTCTCTACTAATGATAAAAACAAAAAACAAACAAACAAAAAAACACAGCTGAAGCATGGTGGCATGTGGCATGTGTCTGTAATCCTAGCTACCTGGGAGGCTGAGGCAGGAGAATTGCTTGAACCTGGGAGACGGAGACTGCAGTGAGCCAAGATCACGCCACGCACTCCAGCTTGGGCGACAAAGTTAAACAGCCAAGGAAGGAAGGAAGGAAGGAAGGGAGGGAGGGAGGAGAGAGGAGAGTGGAGGGGAGGGGAGAGGAGATTTGTTAAAATATGTACTTTTAGGTAATGTCTCCTACATGGAATATAAATAAAGGTTTATCTCCTATACTTTAAGACTTTCAAGTGAGAAAGAAATGCATGAAAGAGTAAATAAAATGAGGGATACATTGAGTGAAGCACACTCAAATTCCATTGAAAGGAAGGTTTGAAGAGCTTAATTGTTTTTGGAAGCAGCAGTATTGTTTTTCTACTGCTACATAATGACTTGTCACAAATTTAGCAGCTTGAAATAATATCCATTTATTATGTCATGATTCTGTAAGACTGAAGTCTGGGTGAAATTTGGTAGGATTCTCTGCTTAGGGTCACCAAAGGTCAAAATCAAAATGCTGGCTTAAAGGGGCTCTTATTTGAAGCCCTTGGGATGAATTTACTTCCAAGCTCATTCAGATTGTTGATATAATGTTTTCTTTGCAGTTGTAGAAGTGGGGTCCTCAGTTCCCTGCTGGCTTTTAGCTGGGGCCTCTCTCAGCTCCTACCTGGCATTCCCAATGTGTGGCCACATTCAGTGGCATGTGGCTTGCTCCATCTGAAACTTAGAAACTAGATGTAATCTTTCTTTTGCTTTAAATACTTCTGATTTCCTCTTCACTGCATTAACTGGAGAAAATGTACAGCTTTTTAAGGAGCTAATGGGATTAGATCAGTCCCACTAGAATAAACTCCCTTTCTTAAAGTCAACTGTGCCATAAAATATAATGTTATCAGAGAGTGCTATCTCATCATATAGATTTCTTGGATTCGGGTGTTGAATTGGGGACTTTTTTTTTTTTTTTTTTTTTGCGCAGAATTCTGCCAACCACAGGCTTGTGGAAATAATCTTCAAATTATGTAATATATTAGCTGACCAAAGAAGAAAGGCAGATCTTCAATAGGTCAATGCTGTGTAAAAAGGCATTTTAAGCTGAGGTAAAAGCTCACAGAAATGCCTAGATTAGAGAATGTGTAAGATGTGTTTGGAAAGTGCTAAATATCGCAACGTGACATGGAATATATGTCTTCTGGCACAAGACAGAATTATGGGATGAAATGCTGCAGGTGGTCAGGTTTTTTAATGCTTTTGTGAGCTACCAAAAGATCATTCACTATTTAGCGTGAAAGAAGAATAAATATATCAATATTTGTAGATAGTCATTTTCACCTGGAGTGATTAAGTGAAAGAATACATTTCCTTCAGTAGACTGCATTAATATTTATCCTTTTTCTTGAATTAAACCCTGCCTATGTTTAGATGTTGGCAAATAAAGACAAAATGCCACACACACTTATTAAAAACCAGAAGGAAAACAGACTTAACTGTTTTGCTTGTGACTTCTGGATTCATAGACATCAGTAACTTTAGTCCAGACGATTCATTTGTAATGAAAAAAGAGATGCCACTTCAAAAACTTACATCTCAAAACAATGTAATCAAGCATAACATTATTTTCTTTATTTCAAATTTATTGAATAGTTCATTTTATGTGTAGCCTAGTTGCATTTGGTATAGCTGCATATGTGCAAACTTAAAGTAATTATTATGGAATAGCATTTTTATACATTATTTTCAAAAGCCAGCAAAACATGCTCCTATATATCTGTATGTGTCAATACCACACTTTTCTATATACCATTAGCCAAGTTTTGGTGACTTGTTATTTAAGAAAGCCATTTCTAAGCAGTGATGTGACATGCAAGTTCTTCTGTTTTAGGAACAGAGAGTAAGGCTGTGCCCTAAGAGACTGGTCAAAATGGCCAGGTAATAGGAGAAACCATCAAGCTAATTAACACAAGAGCACAGAGGTAACTCTTAAATCTCATTAACGTCAACTTAAGCAGTCTTTGGCAAATGCACAAGTAGCTCATATATAACCTGTATAAATGAATAGTTAGCTGTACACTATTTCTTTCACTCATCCTTTGAGATATTCAAAAAATTTAAACTGATCAATTTTTGCAGATTTATAAATTAAAAAAATTATTTCCTATCCCAATATTTTACTTGCCTAATTTGCTACAGTAAGTGCTAGAATGGAAATAAAATGGCTAAGAACAATCTAGGTTGAAAAGGAGAAAGACAAACAGCAAGACTGGATCATATGGTAGTTTTAGTTTTAAAAATTAAGAAAGAAAAATACACAACAACAACAACAACAACAACAGAAACAAAAACTAGCAACAAGGCTGCAATATCTACAATTGGGATAATGAGTCCTCTGCCCTGGCTTCTGTCTCAGCCTCCCTTCCCATCTCTAACCATCTGTTTGTCTCTCTATCTTCCTGTCTTTTTCTCAGCATATAAACAAACATGCACACTAACACCCAGGATGGATATATCTAAGTTTGCTCATCAGACCGAAAGTTTTCCAATCTGGCATGCTCCAGACTGCCAAGTGACAAATAACAAAAGAAGCTATGAGACCTGGGAAGAAGCCTGTGCAAATGAGGAATCTTGGAGCTAAATCTCTACTAGCTTAGTGGAAGTCCCTTCTGCTTACAAATGGAGTGCGTATTTTTTCCTTTTGCTTTGTTTTTACACTCTTCCCATCATTTCTTGATGGAATTGTATTATTCATCATACAATTTCTTCTATATCTAACATTAAAGTATCACTTTACTTCTTTGATGTTTCCATCACCTGAAAACCTTTTATATTCCATTTTGCTTTGTTGGGAATCATAATATAATTTCATTAAGAGAGAATTGTTCATTTTGTGTTCTAATTTGTTTTTTTCATTTTCTTTGTTGAAATAGTATCTACCCTTGTTTTTGAGGCTTAGATATTTGTTTTCAGACATTCCGATTAAGATAATTACTGATGCCGCTATTTGAGAAAAATAAACGGCCTTTTTTTGTATTTCTGTATATTTGAGACTAATAGACAAATGTGTCATCTAATCCTCTTGCAACAGGACAACTTTAAAACTCGTAATTATTTTTGTGGGAAGAATTCAAACCAGTTTGTAAGAAAGGCATGAGTTTGCTTAATATTTTCTTAGAAACTATGTAAAATTATTCAAATTGTCTGCTTCAGTTGTTTGAATGCACTGGCTAATTATTCAGCTAATTTCTTCGTCTTTAGATTTAAAAAATCCTCTTAATAATACAAATAATTTGAAAATAAGTATCTCAGCTACTAAGCCTTTATACTGAAAAAGTCTATGAAATATAAGCACATGAATTCTATAACAGCTGTATGTTGTATATTTCAAAACAAGTATTTGTAATCGCTCTTTTAGCTTCGGCATAATTATAAGGGGAGGAATTTCCAGACATTATGTGAACATTTGATGCAGTATATTTGTTCTAGTTTTGAATCCTCACCTGATTAATAACAGCCTTTTAATAACTTTGGCTGTTGAACCTGGATACTGGAAAGATTTTGCCTTTTCTCGAAAGATATTTTAAACTACACAATTCAATTTATTTTGTAATTGATTTATTACAAACTAATCTAAACCATATTTATGTTTGAGTCATGTTTCACATAAATTACACACTTTGCAATATGCAAATTAGGTTTAAAACTTTGTGTTGGATCAATCACAGCCAAATTAATTTTTGAAGTTTGCTTTTATTAATACCTCTACCACAGCCTCATATGCCCACTTTATTATTGTTAATTGTATATTTTATTTTCTCCCATAAATGCATTTTACATGTTATGTCATCTCTTTTTAAGCGCCATTTTAGCTTGCTAATAAATGTGTATAATCCATTTTATCACTCCTCCTTAGCAGTACAAAATCAGAATCTATTGGAACTGTCACAAAGGAACACATTTTATATGTTTTTAAACTTTAATGAGCAGTAAAAAAAGACTTGATTCTACTCTGAGATGAGGTTAATAATCCAATAATTGCTAAGCAATACATAAATGAATTATTTATTGATTTTTCTACTCCTACCCCCACAAAACCCACAGCACAAATCTATGTTTTTGCATACCAAAAGAGAAAATGCTGAAAGATTTTACTTTTTCCTTAGAAAATTGTAGTAATAGGTTAAATCATTTTAGTTATTTACATTTTGTATTTTCATTAAACTATCTGCATTGATGGCACCTAAACTTAATGCTTGTCACCAGTTCCTTGACTGTTTACTCTCCACATATCATGCTGTTCTATTCTTCCATGATACAAGATGGAATAGAAAGTGCAGGGTGGCCCTCCTGGAACACAACATCATGCTGTGTCCAGCACTGCCCAGAACATTTTATTCCTCTCAATAGGTTGATGAAAGAATGGAGTATCAGATCCTTTCTTTTGCTGACTTTTGACATGTTGGTTTCCTTAATAAAAACTGCATCTCACACTCATACTGCATGATGTGGTATTTTCTTCCCCAAACATCACATGCATTATTAAGTGCTCTGCACACTGTTTAGCATTACATATAAGTTATCTTATTCCATATCAAATCTTTTGAGTGAGGTACTCTTATTTCTCTATTTTAAAGCATAGTTAACAAAAGTTTGCAGAATCAGGTAAATGTTTAAGTTTACATAGTTAATAAATAACAAACTATTAATATAGCCATGTATGGCTGACTAGGAAAATCAATGTTTTCATAATAGAGTTGTTTGAAATAGCAATTACTGTAATTTTAAGTCTTCCCTTAGAGGGAGTTTGTACCCATTAATAGCACCAGTTTGTGCTGGTTATGAGCACCAGTTTTTGAAGCTAGGCTGCCTGGGATCTGATTCCTAGAGCCATCACCTTCAAGCTATGGTGTATTGGGTAAGTTACCTAATTATATTTGCCTCATTCTCATCATATTCAAAAGGTGATAACATCTACATGTTAATAATTTTGTAAAAATTAAATGATGTAATACACACAAACAAGTACACACACACACATAGACACACACACACACACGTATGCTAAAAATTTCCTGACACTTACACACTCAATAAATGCAGGTGGTTTCAGTTATTTTAATGTGCATTTGCTGTTAGTTACTTACTTTGTTTATTTATATCTCTTTACTGAAACCTTTTACATTTATGTCAATGCTTTCTCTTATTTGTGTTTGATTTTAATAATTAACTAGTTATTCGATTAACTGTAACAAATATATTAAATTTTCTCTCTTTTTTTACATTCTCCTAATTTGTAAAATTTGCTCAGTTTTTTATATTATGGAATATTACTGAGGAGAAGTTTTATAAGCTAGTGTTTTCCCTTTGTTCTTAATTTTATTTCTATATGATTGTGCGATGATAAAGAATTTTATCTTTAAAATGAGGTAATTCCACAAAACCATGTTTTGGTATTGATTGCATTTCTATTTCTAGAATTATGTTTGATTCAACAGATGAGATAAATTTTATTTTCTTTTAATAAATTTACTTTATTTATATATGTTAGTTTCTTAATAATCCAAATATTTGGCTGTATTTTCAAACAAAACACAAGTTATGCATATTTTGGCTCTACCGTGCCATCATAATCCCTGAAATGTAACAGATAGCTTTAAAAGAACTCTAAACATGGGAGCACCTTAACATATAATAATCCAACAATTGCTAAGTAATACATCAATGAAATATTTATTGATTTTTCTACTCCTACCCCGAAAAAACCCACAGCACTGAATCATATATTACATGATAAAAATCTGTAAATATTTAAATAGTCTCATGAGTAGTAACAGCTTATTATTATTATTATTATTATTATTATACTTTAAGTTCTAGGGTACATGTGCACAACGTGCAGCTTTGTAACATATGTATAAATGTGCCATGTTGGTGTGCTGCACCCGTTAACTGGTCATATACATTAGGTATATCTCCTAATGCTATCCCTCCCCCTCCCCCAACCCACGACAGGCCCCAGTGTGTGATGTTCCCCTTCCTGTGTCCAAGTGTTCTCATTGTTCAATTCCCACCTATGAGTGAGAACATGCAGTGTTTGATTTTCTGTCCTTGCGATAGTTTGATCAGAATGATGGTTTCCAGCTTCATCTATGTCGCTACAAAGGACATGAACTCATCCTTTTTTATGGCTGCATAATATTCCATGGTGTATGTGTGCCACATTTTCTTAATCCAGTCTATCATTGATAGGACATTTGGGTTGGTTCCAAGTCTTTGCTATTGTGAATAGTGCTGCAATAGACATACATGTGCATGTGTCTTTACAGCATGATTTATAATCCTTTGGGTATATACCCAGTAAAGGGATGGCTGGGTCAAATGATATTTCTAGTTCTAGATCTTTGAGGAATCACCACACTGTCTTCCACAATGGTTGAACCAGTTTACAGAACCACCAACAGTGTAAAAGTGTTCCTGTTTCTCCACATCCTCTCCAGCACCTCGTTTCCTGACTTTTTAATGATCGCCATTCTAACTGGTGTGAGATGGTATCTCATTGTGGTTTTGATTTGTATTTCTCTGATGGCCAGTGATGATGAGCGTTTTTTCATGTGTCTGTTGGCTGCATAAATGTCTTCTTTTGAGAAGTATCTGTTCATATCCTTTGCCCATTTTTTGCTGGGGTTGTTTGATTTTTTCTTGTAAATTTATTTGAGTTCTTTGTAGATTCTGGATATTAGTCCTTTTTTAGATGGGTAGATTGTAAAAATTTTCTCCCATTCTGTAGATTGCCTGTTCACTCTGATGGTAGTTTCTTTTGCTGTGCAGAAGCTCTTTAGTTTAATTAGATCCCATTTGTCTATTTTGGCTTTTGTTGCCATTGCTTTTGGTATTTTAGTCATGAAGTCCTTGCGCCTGCTGATATCCTAAATGGTATTACCTAGGTTTTCTTCTGGGGTTTTTATGGTTTTAGGTCTAACATATAAGTCTTTAATCCATCTTGAATTAATTTTTGTATAAGGTGTAAGGAAGGGATCCAGTTTCAGCTTTCTACATATGGCCAGCCAGTTTTCCCAGCACCATTTGTTAAATAGGGAATTGTTTCCCCATTTCTTGTTTTTGTCAGGGTTGTCAAAGATCAGATAGTTGTAGATGTGTGGCATTATTTCTGACGGCTCTATTCTGTTCCATTGGCCTATCTCTGTTTTGGTACCAGTACCATGCTATTTTGGTTACTGTAGCCTTGTAGTATAGTTTGAAGTCAGGTAGCCTGATGCCTCCAGCTTTGTTCCTTTGGCTTAGGATTGACTTGGCAATGCAGGCTCTTTTTTGATTCAATATGAACTTTAAGTTAGTTTTTTCCAATTCTGTGAAGAAAGTTATTGGTAGCTTGATGGGGATGGCATTGAATCTATAAATTACCTTCGGCACTATGGCCATTTTCACAATATTGATGATTCCTGTCCATGAGCATGGAATGTTCTTCCATTTGTTTGTGTCCTCTTTTATTTCATTGAGCAGTGGTTTGTAGTTCTCCTTGAAGAGATCCTTCACATCCTTTGTAAGTTGGATTCCTAGGTATTTTATTCTCTGTGAAGCAATTGCGAATGGGAGTTCACTCATGATTTGGCTCTCTGTTTGTCTGTTATTGGTGTGTAGGAATGCTTGTGATTTTTACACGTTGATTTTGTATCCTGAGACTTTGCTGATGTTGCTTATCAGCTTAAGGAGAATTTGGGCTGAGATGATGGGGTTTTCTAAATATACAATCATGTCATCTGTAAACAGGGACAATTTGACTTCCTCTTTTCCTAATTGAATACTCTTTATTTCTTTCTCTTGCCTTTTTGCCCTGGCCAGAACTTCCAACACTATGTTGAATAGGAGTGGTGAGAGAGGGCATCTCTGTCTTGTGCCAGTTTTCAAAGGGAATGCTTCCAGTTTTTGCCCATTCAGTATGATATTGGCTGTGGGTGTCTCAAAAATAGCTCTTATTATTTTGAGATACACCCCATCAATACCCAGTTTATTGAGAGTTTTCAGCATGAAGGGCTGTGGAATTTTGTCAAAGGCCTTTTCTGCATCTGTTGGGATAATCGTGGTTTTTGTTTTTAGTTCTGTTTATATGATGGATTACATTTATTGATTTGTGTATATTGAACTAGGTTTGCATCCCAGGGATGAAACCCACTTGATCATGGTGGATAAGCTTTTTGATGCGCTCCTAAATTCAGTTTGCCAGTGTTTTATTGAGAATTTTTGTATCGATGTTCATCAGGGATATTGGTCTAAAATTCTCTTTTTTTGTGTGTGTCTCTTCCAGGCTTTGGTATCAGGATGATGTTGGCCTCATAAAATGAATTAGGGAGGATTCCCTCTTTTTCTATTGATTGGAATAGTTTCAGAAGGAATGGTACCAGTTCCTTCTTGTACCTCTGGTAGAATTCTGCTGAGAATCCGTCTGGTCCTGGACTTTTTTTTGGTTGTTAGGCCATTAATTATTGCCTCAATTTCAGAACCTATTATTGGTCTATTCAGAGATTCAACTTCTTCCTGGTTTAGTCTTGGGAGGGTGTACATGTCCAGGAATTTATGCATTTCTTCTAGATTTTCTAGTTTATTTGTGTAGTGGTGTTTATAGTATCCTCTGATGGTAGTTTGTATTTCTGTGGGATCTGTGGTGATATCCCCCTTATCATTTTTTATTGCATCTATTTGATTCTTCTCTCTTTTCTTCTTTATTAGTCTTGCTAGCAGTCTATGGATTTTGTTGATCTTTTCAAAAAACCAGCTCCTGGATTCATTGATTTTTTGAAGGGTTTTTCGTGTCTCTATCTCCTTCAGTTCTGCTCTGATCTTAGTTATTTCTTGCCTTCCAGCTTTAGAATGTGTTTGCTCTTGCTTCTCTAGTTCTTTTAATTGTGATGTTAGGGTGGCAATTTTAGATCTTTCCTGCTTTCTCTTATGGGCATTTAGTGCTATAAATTTCCCTCTACACACTGCTTTGAATGTGTCCCAGACATTCTGCTGTGTTGTGTTTTTGCTCTCATTGGTTTCAAAGAACGTCTTTATTTCTGCCTTCATTTTATTATGTACCCAGTAGTCATTCAGGAGCAGGTTGTTCAGTTTCAATGTAGTTGAGCAGTTTTGAGTGAGTTTCTTAATTCTGAGTTCTAGTTTGATTGCACTGTGGTCTGAGAGACAGTTTGTTATAATTTCTGTTCTTTTACATTTGCTGAGGAGTGCTTTACTCCCAACTATGTGGTCAATTTTGGAATAAGTGTGATGTGGTGCTGAGAAAAATGTATATTCTGTTGATTTGGGGTGGAGAGTTCTGTAGATGTCTATTAGGTCCGCTTGGTGCAGAGCTGAGTTCAGTTTCCTGGAAATCCTTGTTATCTTTCTGTCTCATTGATCTGTCTAATGTTGACAGTGGGGTGTTCAAGTCTCCCATTATTAATGTGTGGGAGTCTAAGTCTCTTTGTAGGTCTCTAAGGACTTGTTTTATGAATCTGGGTGCTCCTGTATTGGGTGCATATATATTTAGGATAGTTAGCTCTTCTTGTTGAATTGATCCCTTTACCATTATGTGATGGGTTTCTTTGTCTCTTTTGATCTTTGTTGGTTTAAAGTCTGTTTTATCAGAGACTAGGATTGCAACCCCTGCTTTTTTTGTTTGTTTGTTTTCCATTTGCTTGGTAGGTCTTCCTCCATCCCTTTATTTTGAGCCTATGTGTGTCTCTGCACGTGAGATGGGTCTCCTGAATACAGCACATTGATGGGTCTTGACTCTTTATCCAATTTGCCAGTCTGTGTCTTTTAATTGGAGCATTTAGCCCATTTACATTTAAGATTAATATGTGTGAATTTTGTCTTGTCATTATAATGTTAGCTGGTTATTTTGCTAGTTAGTTGATGCAGTTTCTTCCTAGCATTGATGGTATTTACAATTTGGCATGTTTTTGCAGTGGCTGGTCCTGGTTGTTCCTTTCCATGTTTAGTGCTTCCTTCTGGACCTCTTGTAAGGCAGGCCTGGTGGTGACAAATATCTCTCAGCATTTGTTTTTCTGTAAAGGATTGTATTTCTCCTTCACTTATGAAGCTTAGTTTGGCTGGATATGAAATTCTGGGTTGAAAATTCTTTTCTTTAAGAATGTTGAATATTGGCCCCCACTCTCTTCTGGCTTGTAGAGTTTCTGCCAGGAGATCTGCTGTTAGTCTGATGGGCTTCCCTTTGTGGGTAACCTGACCTTTCTCTCTGGCTGCCCTTAACATTTTTTTCCTTCATTTCAGCTTTGGTGAATCTGACTGTTACGTGTCTTGGAGTTCCTCTTCTCGAGGAAGTTCTCCTGGATAATATCCTGAAGAGTGTTTTCCAAGTTGGTTCCATTCTCCCCATCACTTTCAGGTACACCAATCAGATGTAAATTTGGTCTTTTCACATAGTCCCATATTTGTTGGAGGCTTTGTTCGTTTCTTTTTACTCTTTTTTCTTAAAACTTCTCTTCTTGCTTCATTTCATTCATTTGATCTTCAATCACTGATACCCTTTCTTCCACTTGATCAAATTGGCTACTGAAGCTTGTGCATGCATCACATAGTTCTCATGCGATGGTTTTCAGCTCCATCAGGTTTAAGAACTTCTATACACGGTTTATTCTAGTTAGCCATTCGTCTAATCTTTTTTCAAGGTTTTTAGCTTCTTTGCAATGGGTTTGAACATCCTCCTTTAGCTCGGAGAAATTTGTTGTTACTGATCATCTGAAGTCTTCTTCTCTCAACTTGTCAAAGTCATTCTCCATTCAGCTTTGTTCCATTGCTGGCGAGGAGCTGCGTTCCTTTGGAGGAGAAAAGGCACTCTGATTTTTAGAATTTTCAGCTTTTCTGCTCTGGTTTCTCCCCATCTTTGTAGTTTTATCTACTTTTGGTCTTTGGTGACGGTGACGTACAGATGGGTTTTGGTGTGGGTGTCCTTTCTGTTTGTTAGTTTTCTTTCTAACAGTCAGGACCCTCAGCTGCAGGTCTGTTGGAGTTTCCTGGAGGTCCACTCCAGACCCTGTTTGTGTAGGTATCACCAGTGCAGGCTGCAGAACAGCAAATATTGCAAAACGGCAGATGTTGCTGCCTGATCTTTACTCTGGAAGCTTTGTCTCAGAGGGGCACCCGGCTGTATGAGGTGTCATTCGGCCCCTAATGGGAGGTGTCTCCCAGTTAGGCTACTTGGAGGTCAGGGACCCACTTGAGGAGGCAGTCTGTCCATTCTCAGAGCTCAAACACTGTGCTGGGAGAACCACTACTTCTTCGAGCTTTTCAAGTGTTTAAACAAAAGGAAAAAAGAAAACACAAAGGAAATCATCAGGAGAATAAATTCAAAAATTAAAAACTCTTTTTGTCAAGTACCATAAATAAAAAGATAAATCGTAGTAATTTTAAAAAGTCGAATTATATTTTGAAAAGTTATAATTCATGGAGAGTTTTTATAAGTTTAAAAGGTAAATTATTCTAATTTTAGTGATTTATTTTGAGTAATAATCAGAACGTAAAGCAATTAAAAAGTATATATAGTTGTCAGTTTTTAAACTGCATATTCACAGCTATAGCCAAACATATTATGATGCATGTATTAGATGGCATATTGTGCTATGTTTAAAATCACTTTTCAAGTAATAATCAATGATGTGATAAAAATCATGGTATTATGCCTAAATGACAAATTCATGATATGAAACTATATGTATAATTCCAGTTTGGAAGTAAAATATATATAGCTGATATGTGCCCATTTTATGCACATGTATTGCAAGATATTACACTGAAGGCTTCACAATGGTTAATTTGCAATTCCATGTGGTATACATTTTTTATACGTATCTTTTTTCTGCATGTCCTAAATTTGCAACAATAAATATTACACACACACACACACACACACACACACACAAACTACTGTAACTAAGGCAGCTTTAAATGAGATGACATATTAAGCTTTCAGCATAGTGTTGAAAACTTGTGATATGTTCAATAAAAGTGCTTTGCTCTATTGACCTTTATCTTTTTCTTAACAAAATCTTCAGTCAGCAAATTCATATAACATGAGCTGGTAATTTGCTTTCACAGCGGTTTTAGGCTTTTTGTTTCCTGATCTTGAATATCGGTATGTTTGCTGCTAATTCAGTGACGATTAGATCAGTTACACAGTAAAATGTTGTTAAAATACCTTAAGGCTTTCATAATTAAACTATTAAATAAGAAAAATGTATTAGTTTGATATTGTTTTTCAAATTTTTTTTAAAAGTTTCTCTTCTTTGTTGTTTAGATATTATTTTTACCTATTACTTGATGGAGGAAATATTTACATTTGGGCATCCTTTGATGATTCTACTTGTATTTTCAGTATTCTATATATTTCTTTTTGCTCTTTCATGAATAGCTAATGACTGGTTTTCTACCTTAAGTTCCCTAGCTGGACAGTGTAAACTGTGTTAGGGTTACCAAAGGTAACACTAAGTTAATTTATTCTTTGAGAGTTTTAGAGACTACCATAACTAACTACATAATTTATGGGGCCTAGTACAAAAAATGGGGCCTCAGTGCTAAAAAAAAAAAAAACAGAAAAACAGCACCATTAAATGTACTAATACAGAATATTTTTATATTTTTCCCCAGTCTCTCTCTAGATATGTCCTTTGGGTCTTAATGCTAGTTCATGTGATTCTAAGTGGATAAAAATTAAAATTTTAAATTATTAACATAAATTTAGCTATTTATCTTTATGTATTTATTGCCAATTTTAAATGCAGATGTAAGTATTTAAAGCTCCTATGTAGAATCACCAGTGTTATGCAGTTCATGTTTGGTAACTTATAACATACATATGCATTTTGATCTCACCAGAAAAGTGAAAATCCTGGGGGTGTGTGTGGGGGGAGGGGGGAACTCAGTTGTCTTTATTTTACTGTGTGATATACACATATTCTACTGAATCTCATTATGTTTACTTTATGGATGAGTGTGGAAAGACTGATGTAAAAGAAACTATGGAAAGCTCTATTCTTTCTTTTCCATCCATGTTTTCATCCTCAGTGTAAGTGGTTGGTTAATAAAGGAAAGTTATTCCAGTTATAAAAGACATTATAGGGTTCTATAATTCTCTTTCTTAGACCGTCATTGACTTCTTTCTGTATTCATAGCAAGTTCTGATGTGAATGAAAAACCTAGCCTCTTAGGGATGTCAGCACCCCTGCTTATCCAGTTATACATGTGACACATTTATCTTGTACTTGTGTCAAGTACATCTCTTGTGGTTTAACTTTATAGTTATTCTAAATGTTGTCATTTTTTCATAAAAATTAGCATGGTAATTATTTTAATATAATCTATTCTTATACTCAAATATATAGTAAATTAAATAAAGACTAATCAATTAAAACCTTTATAGCACAATATATTGAGGGAGGAAAATGGCAGAATCATAATTAAATTTGAGTAAGAGTGTTTTGTTTTGATTTTAAATAATCATTTTCATTAGCTTTTCACTAAAGTGGTTGTTTTAAATATTTATTTTAAAAATCTCATTTTAGATAATTTTAAACACTGTTTTTTTCATTAAGCTTTTTAAATACTATTTGATGATTAAAGAATTCTCAGAGATGCATTTGTAAACTTGATTGGATTACTGCACAGATTGTATTTAAGGGACTCAACATAGATCTCAACATGTGAAAATTGAAATTACTTTGAATGTTCTGTTGTAATTCTAAAAATTAAATTAGTCTGGAATTTAAAAATTTGTGAGGAACAAACTGTCAGTGTATTTTAACCTCAAATGCAATTAAAAGTGATGACTAAACAAATAGTTTATTTTTAAATTCTATTAGTTTGGAACAATAAAGAAGTTTCATGATTTACAGTGAATGAAATTAATCTATTTACAAAGCAATTTATTCAGTAGCAATTAAATACAGTATAAGACACATAAAATTTAGCAGATCCAAAAGGTAAACATTCTATATAGATTTTGTAGAAAAAATGATAACTAAATGAATATTTTGTATTTATTTTTTACCAAACACATTAACTGCTTTTCAGTAGGAAGTATAAGAGTAAATGAGATATTATTACTGTCCCCTAATATTTAAATTCTAATGACACAAACGCTTAACCAGAGAATTATCAAAAATTTAAAACAAATATTATATATGGTACACAGATATATGTTGTGTAGCATATACAGAATATTTTCTATAATGTGTAGAATAATATACATATGTTGTGTAACATTTAAACCACACATTACATAATGTACATGGTCAAATTTATATTGTATATTTAAAGCAGATATTATAAATATGATATTATACAAAATACAATTTTTATAACATACAGCATGTTTTGTATAACATATGTTGTATAACATGTATACCACATGTTCTACAACACATAAATGTAGAAAATGAGTGGTATGACATTTATATGTGTTATGCAAAATATATAATGTCACATACATGATATTGTTGAAATTTTAATAATTTTACAGTTGTATTTTTTGTTTTATTACATTTTAATTGTTGATAGATAGAAATTATGACTATTCATTGACTTCACATAGAAAAGTTGTAAAGGTGTTTTTGAAAATATATATGAAATTGGGAAAGCTGGCTAGCCATATGGAGAAAGCTGAAACTGGATCCCTTCCTTACACCTTATACAAAAATTAATTCAAGATGGATTAAAGACTTAAATGTTAGACCTAAAACCATAAAAACCCTAGAAGAAAACCTAGGCAATACCATTCAGGACATAGGCATGGACAAGGACTTCATGTCTAAAACACCAAGAGCAATGGCAACAAAAGCCAAAATTGACAAATGGGATCTAATTAAAGAGCTTCTGCACAGCAAAAGAAACTACCATCAGAGTGAACAGGCAACCTACAGAATGGGAGAACATTTTTGCAATCTACTCATCTGACAAATGGCTAATATCCAGAATCTACAAAGAACTCAAACAAATGTACAAGAAAAAAACAACCCCATCAAAAAGTGTGTGAAGCATATGAACAGACACTTCTCAAAAGAAGACATTTATGCAGCCAACAGACACGTGAAAAAATGCTCATCTTCCCTGGCCATCAGAGAAATGCAAATCAAAACCACAATGAGATACCGTCTCACACCAGTTAGAATGGTGATTGTTAAAAAGTCAGGAAACAAGAGGTGTTGGAGAGGGTGTCCACATCCTTTAAAAACAGGAAAGGTTTTACACTGTTGGTGGGACTGTAAACTGGTTCAACCGTTGTGGAAGACAGTGTGGTGACTCCTCAAGGATCTAGAACTAGAAATACCATTTGACACAGCCATCCCATTACTGGTTATATACCCAAAGGATTATAAATCATGCTGCTATAAAGACACATGCACACATATGTTTATTGCAGCACTATTCACAGTAGCAAAGACTTGGAACCAACCCAAATATCCATCAGTGATAGACTGGATTAAGAAAATGTGGAACATATACACCATGGAATACTATGCAGCCGTAAAAAAGGATGATTCATGTCCTTTGTAGGGACATAGATGAAGCTGGAAACCATCATTCTGAGTAAACTGTCGCAGGAACAAAAAACCAAATACCTCATGTTCTCACTCATAGGTGGGGATTGAACAATGAGGACACTTGGAAACAGGGTGGGGAACATCACACACTGGGGCCTGTTGTGGGGTGGGGGGAGGGGGGAGGGATAGCATTAGGAGATATACCTAATGTAAGTGATGAGTTAATGGGTGCAGCACACCAACATGGCACATGTATACATATGTAACAAACCTGCACGTTGTGCACATGTACCCTAGAACTTAAAGTATAATAAAAAAAGAAAATACATATAAAATATTTATTGAGTTTTTATTCATATATGTATATGTATTCATGTATTCATATACATACATGCATGTATATATATACACACACACACCAAAATATCTAAAAATAGACTTATAATACCAATAATTAGCAAGATATAAAACAATTTTTACACTTATACGTTGCTGGTTAAGTAGAAAGTTGTCATGACTACTTTAGAAAACTGGCAATATCTAACAAAGTTGAAGTTAAGTATAACATACAGCCCCCAAATTTTAATTTTACTCCTATTTATAACCCAATGCAAATGTGTGTGTATATATATATATATATATATATGTGTGTGTGTGTGTGTGTGAACATATAGATGCATAACAAAAGTATACAAAATTGTTTATAGCACTACTATTGTAATACCAACATTTGCAAATGACTGAATTTTTGTCAGCAACAGAATGGATAAAGATGGGTAAAATTTTAATAGGATTGAATGTTACAGAGAATACTATAGATGGAATACTATGGAATAATGGAAACGAACCAAGTATTGCCATATACTACAACATAGATAAAACTAACAAAGATAATACTGACACACACACAAAAAAACAAACACAAAAGAGTACATAATGTATATTTTCATTTATATACAGGGAAAAATCTAGAAAAACCAATCTATGTTGATAGAAATCAGTAGAGTGATTGCCTCTTGGGATTAGTAACTGGAAATGAGTAAGTGGGAAACTTCAGATATGGTGATAATATTCAATATACTAAATTTAGTGGGTGCAGCGCACCAGCATGGCACATGTATACATATGTAACTAACCTGCACATTGTGCACATGTACCCTAAAACTTAAAGTATAATAATAAATAAATAAACAAATAAATAAATTAAAAAATATATATACTAAATTTCTTGATCTGTGTACCGGGTAGATGAATATGTTCAGTTGGCAAAAATTTATTAAGTTATGAATTCATAATTTGTGTACTTTTATGTTGTATATTTTATTTCAAAAATGATTTACTTGTAATACATATACATATTTATATCATTGAAAGAGATTCAAGTGTAGAAGCTCAAATACAATGAGTTTTTAACAGTTTCAGATATTAGCTAGACAAGGTAGATAAATGGCCTTAATTATGTAATTTATTGCCCATTGCAGTAGTCTACAGTATTTGTGGTCAAAGACAGACGGGAAGCATGTGTATTTAAATATATAAAGAGGTAAGAGATTTATTTTATTTTCATCTGAAAACCATAATTTCTCATGTGGTACTTTTAATTTTTAAACATTTGGATAGGTGCTGTACTTAAAAAGGTCTAGCTTTTTCTTCATAGTTCAAATGATTTAATTGTATGCTTTCTAAGTGTGTAATCGTTATGTACCTAAGTTTACATTCCCATAATATTTTGTCATGGATCATTCAGAAATAAAATTCCAACATAATCTAAACATAGACATTTTCTTCATTAAGCGGAGTGATCATTTGCTACTCTACATCTGAATGAGCAAGGCTTTACTCAAACCATTATAAAGGAAAATCACAGTACAATATGTGGATTACCTCTTCCAGATCCTTTTCTTTACTTCTCATGTTATGCCACCTAATCTATCCTTTGAGGCTATATGAATTCCAACAATGATAGAAGTCTGTTCTGCTCTATACATGTTTTCCCCGAGGTCTTTAAGCTGTGAAATACTCCCTTGGCATGTATGAATCAGCAAGTATCAGATACATAAATAAAAAATAGGTCATTTAGAAATTCAAAGAAGTAATATTTCAGTATAGAGTTATTCTCTAGGGATGGAATTGGACCTTTTATGATAGAATTTTGGTAGGCAGACAAAAATAGAGTTTGCACAAATATAGCTTTCAAGGAAACTATAAACTGAAGCAGAAGCTGAAAAGATCAAAGGAGTGATCACTAGCATGCTGAACTTCACAAAATCGAAGGGCCATCTTGGTCATCTCCCAAATCTGAGATTTACTATAAGCAATATTAATTTTCTCTTTTATAATTTTTCCTCAGGCAGATGACATGAAGGACCAGATTCATAGGTTATAGAAAACAATACTTTAAAATCTCTAAGCAGCTTTTAAGTTAATTTTTAAATCATATTTTGAAAATGCTTTCTAAAATTATGCTGCCAGCAATTTAGAAATGCGATGATTTTTTTTTAACTTGAACATTCTTTTAGTGATATTAGGAGACATATACTTTGAGGAAAGTCATATTATTTGCATAGCTTCTATCAGAAATAATGAAACTCCGTTTGAACTATATGTTACAGTGAAAAAGTATGTGTTTTAGAAATTCATTATTTATGTTTACCTATACTACAGTATCTACTTATACAACATACATTTTCATTAAATGAGTAAATTGGATGAATCATTGTAATTTCTTATAAATTCCCACAATTACTTATAAAGTAAAATTCATAGTCTTCATTGGAGCATTTAGAATCCATTTTAACTTGATGGCAGTCTATACCATTCCATGTATCATGGTATAAAAGCTCAAACGTGTATTTTGAAAAAGAGCAGGGAGGCATTGATTGAAAGCTGCTAGTAGCTATTTTTTTAAATGTGTAAAGTAAAATTAGGCAGATACTTAGGCTAGAAACTTTACATTTAATAGCAGAAATGACTTTGTTGCTTTAGCATTGCTTCAACTATTACACATGGAATTTAATAAAGGGAGTGTCTTAATTAGTCAAAAATATAGACATAAATAAAACCTCAAGACTTTTTCCATTAGTTTGTTTGAAGAGCTAATCTACTTGGAGAAGCAGCAATTAAAAAGCTTTCACTTTAAGTGTATATTAAATAAATCAAATATGATGATGTTGTAAACATTCATTATAGATTTATTTTTATATTTGTTCTGCATAAATTACATATATATGCATAATCTTATCTTTAAAGTTCTAATAACATCTGATAATTAGGGCACACAACCATGTACTACTTACAAGTGATGATGCTCAGCTAATAAAATGACTGTTTCATTGCTTAATTTAAAAATAAACAAAAGAGACCCATTAGTAAAACCATTCTTTAATTTCTTTTGTCCATAAACATCTTATTTATGTTTAGCCTTATCATATATATAATTTATATTAATAAATTTTTATTTCCTTTAGTGTCATAATTTTTCATTAGTAAGACCATGTTCAAAATATTTTAGATTGAAAGAGAAACAAATTTTATTTTTCTCAACTAGACCATTTTTATTCTAGTTGTCAAAGACATACCCTTTGTGTATTCCAAATCAAAACTAGTAGTTACTTGAAAAGTCAATTTTCGTATGTGATTTAGTTTAAAAGTGAAAGGTATATGGAATCTATCTTATTAGTATTTTTCTCACTAATAGGGTAGTCAGGAAAGCTTGTTGAGGTGGTGCATGGTAAAGATAATGCCTCACAGTAAGAAAGATTTTAGATTCTGCCTCTTCTCTACTGCTTCATGTGCCAGATAATATAAGGATGTGATATTTAGGCCCAAATTGACTATGTTGTAACCACTAGGCAGAAATAAGTGATTAAAAGAAAATCCCGTAGATGTAGTTACATCCCATAGATGTAGTGATATGATATTATGGACTTATTGAAACAACCCTGTAACTGCCTACCTCTAGGCTTTTGTTATAGCAAATACATAATCTCTTTATTGTTTAAACCAGTACTAGTGAGAGGATTATATTACTTGCAGGTGCATGCATCTTAAGTGATGTATACTTGTTAATAATCTCTGCATAGTTAAACACTTCTGTTTTTTTCTTCATAAATAGCTACTTGAAGTTTTTAAATAACATTTATAATTAATTAAAAGTTTTATTGTACATGAAAGCACCAACAGGCACACCACCAGATCTTTCAAATGCCATGATACTTCTCTCTACCTTCAACAGGTAGCAGCAATCCTAGTCTCATAATAACCAAGGTCAATAACATTTGTAAGCATAATAACTTCTTTCTTCTACTCCTGATCTACTGTTATAAGAAGCTCAATATGACTGGGAGATCACTTTCAACATAAGTTTAGTGGAACCCCTACCATGTCTTCTGATAGAAGAATTATCCCTCTCTGAGAACCAGGAGAGGTTCATTGGTTTCAAAAATTAGGAGAAAGGGAAGCTTATATTTCTCAGGTAAATCACAAGGAAGAATGATGAGCAAGGACTCTTTTCCTTTCAACTCTGGGTTGAAGACACAAGCATTACACTGATCAGGGACGTACCACCCTATAATTAGTTCAAAGAATATACAACATCTCTGGAAACAGCTGTTCTATCCTATAGTTAATCCAATGGAGCCAACATGCTGGGGCATCTCCTCAAAGGAAAGAACAAGCAGTTGCATCTTCCAGTTCCTACCATCAATAAAGAGGCACATGACTTGGTAGGCCTGTTTGGGTTTTATAGACAGTGTACATCACAAAAAGAAACATTACAAAATTGCTTCAACTTATTTGCTGAGTAACTTGAAAGGCTACCAGACTTAAGTGGCATCCAGTTTATAACATAGTGCTACAACAAGCTCAAGCTCTAATATAAGTAACCTGCCAATAAGACCATATTGCCTCAAACAATTCCATGGTATTAGAGGACTCAGTGGTAGAAAACATACTGTGCAAAGTTTCTGCCAAGTTCTTTACACTAATAATATCCTCCTTATCTTTCATAGTTAATTGTAGTTAATAGGTATCTGCTATTCCAGAACCCTGTATTTACCATTGACACTATTAAATCAAGTTTTTCCTCTCACTGGCACATTCTTTATTACTTCAGTGCAATGAGGTTCTTGAGGTTCTTCTAGAAACATAGTATATTGAGTTAGTCTTATGTAATAAATCTGTTCTAACATACCTTTTATCTCTGAACCTATCACTCACTATTATGTCAAAGCAATGGCAGAATCTCTATTTTACCATGGGCCATTATTGTCTCAGATATCCCTGCCAGGATGCTTAATACTGGGAATGGAAAGAAGTCCACTATCACACCGTTCTTTTGGTCTGCCATATCGAAAATTATTTTCCACGCATGTTACCCTAGTATCATTCACTCCTTACTAGCCAGTTATTGCAGTTTTTTAAAAAATAGTCTCTTACCTCCTGGATCAAGAACAATGCTTCTGAAGTTATTCTGTATTAAAATTTAGCCCTTGGTGTTTATCTAGTATATCATTGCTCTGACTTTATCATAAGAGATATAATGGTGCTCTACATTAAGCCTTATTTGTAGCATTTCTATTCTTATACTCAGGACTTGAGCATTTTAGCAGACTTACCTTTAGATGCAGAAGGTCAGGGTCTCCTTATAGGGTGATAAAGGCTATTTGACTTCCACACCATGTTTGAGTTGATAGCTGGCTGGCCTGAGCTTATTATTTTCTTTCATCAGGGCTTCAATCGTACTCAATAACAAATGACCAACTACATATTTCTTAGAATTGTCATTGTTCCCATATGTCACAATTACTAGAGATATTCCATAAACAATCCTCTCACTCTCACATGTGATAATATTCTGGGATATAACATCTGTGGAATCTGATATAACATGTGTTATATCCCAGTTTATCATCACATGTTAAAGTGAAGTAATTGTGTTACTACACCCCATCAAGTGTAATTCGGGGCTAATATATTTCTCGAACTTGAAGCTTACTATGTGTATAGGCTAGGAAACCTTCAGAAACTTAAAAAGAAAAGCTTTCAGCAACAGCAACAGGGATGTTGGTAGTTGAAAGTAAAGAACAAAGGGAATGGAGAAGGTACCAGCAGCATCTGTAACAATTAGATTCTATCTGAATACTTTTAGGTATTCCTTTATTTCTTTGTGGTTTTGTTTTTCTGACTACATTCTATGAGCTTTTCTCTTATGTTTTTGTAATTTAATCGTTATTTCAGAAGTAATTTTACCTTCAATTTACTTTCTAAATTCTTCCAATTTCTGTTTCACATCTTTTATATTCTGGACACCACCTCCAGTTGATAGCCTATTTGAGTTACTGTGTTTCCTTTGGGTTGTTTCATCATATTTGCTTTTTGTTTTTTTTTTTTTTTTTACTTTTTTTAAATTATACTTTAAGTTTTAGGGTACATGTGCACAACGTGCAAGTTTGTTGCATATCTATACATGTGCCATGTTGGTGTGCTGCACCCATTAACTCATCATTTAACATTAGGTATATCTGCTAATGCTATCCTTCTGCCCTCCCCCCACCCCACAACAGGCCCTGGTGTGTGATGTTCCCCTTCCTGTGTCCATGTGTTCTCATTGTTCAATTCCCACCTATGAGTGAGAACATGCAGTGTTTGTTTTTTTGTCCTTGCGATAGTTTGCTGAGAATGATGGTTTCCAGCTTCATCCATGTCCCTACAAAGGACATGAACTCATCATTTTTTATGGCTGCATAGTATTCCATGGTATATATGTGCCACATTTTCTTAATCCAGTCTATCATTGTTGGACATTTGGGCTGGTTCCAAGTCTTTCCTATTGGGAATAGTGCCACAATAAACATACGTGTGCATGTGTCTTTATAGCAGCATGATTTATAATCCTTTGGGTATATACCCAGTAATGGGATGGCTGGGTCAAATGGTATTTCTAGTTCTAGATCCCTGAGGAATCTCCACACTGACTTCCACAATGGTTGAACTAGTTTACAGTCCTACCAACAGTGTAAAAGCGTTCCTATTTCTTCACATCCTCTCCAGCACCTGTTGTTTCCTGACTTTTTAATGATTGCCATTCTAACTGGTGTGAGATGGTATCTCATTGTGGTTTTGATTTGCATTTCTCTGATGGCCGGTGATGATGAGCATTTTTTCATATGTCTTTTGGGTGCATAAATGTCTTCTTTTGAGAAGTGTCTGTTCATATCCTTTGCCCACTTTTTGATGGGGTTGTTTGTTTTTTTCTTGTAAATTTGAGTTCATTGTAGATTCTAGATATTAGACCTTTGTCAGATGAGTAGGTTGCAAAAATGTTCTCCCATTCTGGAGGTTGCCTGTTCACTCTGATGTTAGTTTCTTTTGCTGTGCAGAAGTTCTTTGGTTTCATTAGATCCCATTTGTCAATTTTGGCTTTTGTTGCCATTGCTTTTGGTGTTTTAGACATGAAGTCCTTGCCCATGCCTAAAGAAATGAAGGCAGAAATAAAGATGTTCTTTGAAACCAAAGAGAACAAAGACACAACTTACCAGAATCTCTGGGACACATTCAAAGCAATGTGTAGAGGGAAATTTATAGCACTAAATGCCCACAAGGGAAAGCAGGAAAGATCTAAAATTGACACCCTAACAACACAATGAAAAGAACTAGAGAAGCAAGAGCAAACACATTCAAAAGCTAGCAGAAGACAAGAAATAACTAAGATCAGAGCAGAACTGAAGGAAATAGAAAAACAAAAAACCCTTCAAAAAATCAGTGAATCCAGGAGCTGGTTTTTTGAAAAGATCAACAAAATTGATAGACCGCTAGCAAGACTAATAAAGAAGAAAAGAGAGAAGAATCAAATAGACGCAATAAAAAATGATAAAGGGGATATCACCACCAATCCCACAGAAATACAAACTACCGTCAGAGAATGCTATAAACACCTCTACGCAAATAAACTAGAAAATCTAGAAGAAATGGATAAATTCCTGGACACATACACCCTCCCAAGACTAAACCAGGAAGAAGTTGAATCTCTGAATAGACCAGTAACAGGTTCTGAAATTGAGGCAATAATTAATAGCTTCCCAACCAAAAAATGTCCAGGATCAGATGGATTCACAGCTGAATTCTACCAGAGGTACAAGGAGGAGCTAGTACCATTCCTTCTGAAACTTTTCCAATCAATAGAAAAAGAGGGAATCCTCCCTAACTCATTTTATGAGGCCAACATCATCCTGATACCAAAGCCTGGCAGAGACACAACAAAAAAAGAGAATTTTAGACCAATATCCCTAATGAACATCGATGCAAAAATCCTCAATAAAATACTGGCAAACCGAATCCAGCAGCACATCAACAGCTTATCCACCATGATCAAGTGGGCTTCATCCCTGTGTTGCAAGGCTGGTTCAACATACGCAAATCAATAAACATAATCCAGCATATAAACAGAACCAACGACAAAAACCACATGATTATCTCAATAGATGCAGGAAAGGCCTTTGACAAAATTCAACGACCCTTCATGCTAAAAACTCTCAATAATTTAGGTATTGATGGGACATATCTCAAAATAATAAGAGCTATCTATGACAAACCCACAGCCAATATCATACTGAATGGGCAAAAACTGGAAGCATTTCCTTTGAAAACTGGCAAAAGACAGGGATGCCCTTTCTCACCACTCCTATTCAACATAGTGTTGGAAGTTCTGGCCAGGGCAATCAGGCAGGAGAAGGAAATAAAGGGTATTCAATTAGGAAAAGAGGAAGTCAGATTGTTCCTGTTTGCAGATGACATGATTGTATATCTAGAAAATCCCATCGTCTCAGCCCAAAATCTCCTTAAGCTCATGGGGAACTTCAGCAAAGTCTCAGGATACAAAATCAATGTGCAAAAATCACAAGCCTTCTTATACACCAATAACAAACAGCCAAATCATGAGTGAACTCCCATTCACAATTGCTTCAAAGACAATAAAATACCTAGGAATCCAACTTACAAGGGATGTGAAGGACCTCTTCAAGCAGAACTACAAACCACTGCTCAATGAAATAAAAGAGGATACAAACAAATGGAAGAACATTCCATGCTCATGGACAGGAAGAATCAATATTGTGAAAATGGCCATATTGCCCAAGGTAATTTATAGATTCAATGCCATCCCCATCAAGCTACCAATGACTTTCTTCACAGAATTTGAAAAAACTACTTTAAAGTTCATATAGAACCAAAAAAGAGCCTGCATTGCCAAGTCAATCCTAAGCAAAAGAACAAAGCTGGAGGCATCAGGCTACCTGACTTCAAACTATACTACAAGGCTACAGTAACCAAAACAGCATGGTACTGGTACCAAAACAGAGATATAGACCAATGGAACATAACAGAGCCCTCAGAAATAATGCCACATATCTACAACTATCTGATCTTTGACAAACCTGACAAAAACAAGAAATGGGGAAAGGATTCCCTATGTAAAGATGGTGCTGGGAAAACTGGCTGGCCATATGTAGAAAGCTGAAACTGGATCCCTTCCTTACACCTTATACAAAAATTAATTCAAGATGGATTAAAGACTTAAATATTAGAGCTAAAACCATCATATTTGTAATTGCTTTACTTTTTCAAATTTATGCTGGCTTGTTGTAACACAATATTCCTCTATTTCCGGATAAAATTTATTGTGTGCTTCTTTTCTTGGAGGGAGAAGATAATGCTTTATTTTTTAAAAAATTATGTAGATAATTCTTACATGCATATGTAAGACATCTTTTCTTTAGATTATTAGTACTTGATAAGTTGGATTTTTTGAATCAGTTACTGGCAGAAAGATCTCTTAATTTTCTCTTTTCTTCCTGCCATGAAATCTCCCCACTGTCATCTTCATTGAGTTGTAATTGACAAACAAAAGTTAAATGTATTTAAATTGTACAATGTGGTGTTTTGATACACATATGACACTGAGAATGATTACCGTAATGAAACTAATTAACATATTCATTATCTCACATAGCTACCTTTTTCTGCACGTGTGGTGAGAAATTTTAAGAACTACTCTTAACAAATGGACAATACACTATTTAAGAACTACTCTTAACTAGTGGACAATACAGTATTATTAACTGTAATCATCATGCTATATATTAAATATCCATAACTTATTTATTCTGCATAACTGAAACATTCTACTCTTTGACCAACATCTTCCATTTTTCCCACCCCTAAATTCTCATTCCCAGCATCTGTAAACCACTAGTGTCTGCCTTTGTTAGTTTTTTTAGAATGCACACGTAAGTGAGACAATGCGGCATATGTCATTCTGCGCCTGGCTTATTTACATAGCATAATATCCTCAAGGTCCATCCATGTTATCACAAATGATGGCATTTTTTAAGGCTGAATAATATTCCATTTATATACATACCATATTTTTGAAATACATTCAGCAGTGGGCACAGGCTGATTTCATTTATTGGCTAATGTGCATAATACTGTCATAAACATGAGAATTTGGATATCTCTTTGAGATACTTATTTTCCTTGGATTTATACCAAGAAGTGAAATTGTTGGATCATTCCACTAGTTTGAGGCAATATGGTCTACATTAGAGCTTGAACTTGTTGTAGCACTATGTTATTGTCTGGATGCCGCATAAGTCTTGCATTTCAGATCACTCAGCAAATAAATTGAAGTAATTTTTCCTTTTGTGATGTGAACTGTCTATAAAGCCCAAACAGACCTACCAAGTCGTGTGCCTCTGTCTGACTGATAGGAGCTGGAAGATGTAAGAGCTTGTTGTTTCATTTGAGGGGATGCCCCAGCATGTTGGTAACTGTAGGATAGAAGAGCTGTTTCTCTAGATGTTGTGTATTATTTGATATAAATTGATGTGATTCTATTTTTAATTGTAAATTAAACTTTAAAATTTAACTAATTAAATAAAGTTTAGTTAATATAATTAGTCTATGTTTATTTTTTTGAGGAAACTCCATCATATTTTCCATTATAGTTGTATCATTATACATTCTCATTCACAATATACCAGGCTTCCTTTTTATCCACATTCTCACCAATACTTGTTATTTTTTGCCTCAAAGATTTTTCTTATAGTCCGTTAAAGGTTGCTTTGTATTTGATGAGTTGCTTTTTTTGCACTGCTTTTAAATATCTCTGTTTGTCTTCGACTTTTGAGAATTTGATTATGATATATCCTGGTAAAGATGTCTCCATGTTTAACTTATTTGAAATTTTTTGGGTTTCATGGATCTGGGTTTTCAGATGTTTTTTCTGGGTGTTCTTTCTCCAGATTTGGGGAATTTTCTGTCATTATTTCTTTAAATATCTTTCTTCCACCTTCTTTTTCTCTGGTCTTTCTGGGACCTTCAAATGTGTATACTGTTTTGCTTGATGGTGTGCCATAAATTCCATAGGTTTTCATTATTCTTTTCCATAGATTTTTCTGTTTGTTCTTCTGAGTAATTTCAAATGATGTGTATTCAAGGTCACTGATTGACCCTTGTCTAATTGAGTCTGCTGTTCAATTTCTCTATTGAATTTTTCTGTTATATTCTTCAACTCCAGAATTTTATTCATTTTTATGGTTTCTATTTGTTGAACTTTTAATTTTGTTCATGTATTATTTCCCTGACATTGTTTAGTTGTCTTTCTGTGTTGTACTGCATCTCATTGTGTTGGCTTTAGGACAATTATTTTGAATTCTTTGTCAGGCAGATTATAGACCTCCATTTCTTTATAGTCAGTTACTCGTGCTTTATTTTATTTCTTTTCTTTTGTTTTCTTATGCTTCCCTAATTAACTGATTGTTGCAGACTGGTGTTGGTATCCACACATTTGAAGAACTTTTTCTAGTCTTTAGAAGCTGGCTTCAGCGGTAAAAACCCTTCAGCAGTAAAAACCCTTCATCAGTCAGCCTGTCAGGAGATTCTAGGCAGCTGTCTGGTGGTGTTTGTGAAGTCCACAAGTGGGCTTGCTGCTGGAGTCAATAAGCAGCCTGGCCTGGTGTCTTGGTCAGTAGGTGAACATATCTGACGCCTGGGCTTATGAGGAACTGGCCTGTTAACTAGGTCCATGGGCCAGTCCTGTAATATGTGTCTACTGTGTAAAATGATGCCTGGGTCTATCGTTGCAGGCCTGGATCCTGGGTCTACAGGAGGTAGTCTGAAGTTTGGGTTCACAGGAGCTGATCTGGTGTTGGGGTGGGCCTTGAGACAGTCTATGGAGCCTGGCCTGGCACAGGAATGTGCCTGGAGCCTGCGTCCGCAGAAGTAGGCCTAGAGCCTGGTGCTGAAGGGACTGACCTGGAGCCTGGAGGTGTGGGAGCTTTCTTGTCACTGGGGTGGGCCTCTAGTCCAAGTCTGCCTTGTTATTTCAATTAATATGTTTTTTGAGGGTTTTTATTGTTTTTATTATTTTTCCATTCAACTTGTTTTTCAATATGGCCTTTAGGAACAGAAGTAGGTGGATTAAGATTTATTAGGTTGGTGCAAAAGTAATTGAAGTTCTTGCCATCACATTTTGCCATTAAAAGTGATGGCAAGAACCACAATTACTTTTTCACCAACTTAGTACAACAGTACTAAATCTGAAAAATGTTTTCTTTTTCTACTTTAACATTTTTTTTTTATTTTCAGGATGTATACTTAGCAGTTTGAACATTATATTCCAGACGCTCTTTGTCTTCTTGAATTTTAAAAACTTGAAAAAGTTTTTAGACAATTATAGATACATATTTAGTTGCAAGAAATAATACAGAGAGATTCTACATACATTTCACCGAGTTCCCTCCAATGGTAAAATATTATATAGCAATAATACAATATTACAAACATTATGCATCACAAACAATTATGAATAAAACTTCAACCTTATTTAGATTTAACTAGTTTTACATGTACTTGTCTATGTGTGTATTGAGTTCTATGCAAGTTTATCACATGTAAATATGTGTGACGACTACCACAGTCAATACACAGAACATTTCCATCACAGGGATTCTTCATACTACCCATTTTAGACATAGTTACCTCCTTTCATCTCCCCTCCCTAAACCCTGGAAGCAACTACTATATTCTTTATTTCTATAATTTTGTTATTTTAAGAATGTTAAATTAATTGAATCATATAGTAAGTAAACTTGAGGTTGATTTTAATCACTAAGTAGAGTTAGATTGAGATCCATTCAAATTGCAGTGTATATTGGTAACTGTCTGTTTTTATTGCTGAGTGATATTACATAGTATGAATGTAACACAACTTGTTAAATCATTAATTTTATTCTTTACATATTAAAATATTGTATTATTTTGGGTAAATTTCATGTTCTAATGTTATTTTTATTGTTTGAGTAGAAATTATCTACTTTATTCCATCTTCTAAACTCTGTCTCAAAGGAGATCACTAACTCATTAAATTTTCGCATTTTGACTTTGAGCTTATTTGTTAAAAGTGTTGGTTGCCATGGGATGCCCATGTGCTTTAGGCTTGGAAGCATACTTACATGGTAGTTTTGATAGTTTCATGCTTGTTATGTCCAATAATCTTAGTTTTATGGTTTTCATGGTATGTTGATAAATGTTTTGTTTCATGTGGTAGTATTGTGAAACCAGCCCCAGATTTAGATTTCTGTTGGATAATTTTTTATTGATAGCTATATTTATGCAGAGATAAAACTCTTGTTGTTTTCTGAAGCAAGTCAGCAGATTATTTTTAGCCTGAATTTCATGGAGATGTAAACCTGTACATCCTCATTTTGATAGCTAAGTTATAAAGCTCCAGCTTTATATATAATTGGAAGGAAACTCTATATTGAAGGTAGGAAGAAACAGGTCTAAAAAAAATCAACATTTTTTCTATTAAAGAGACATCTTTTGTATATAAATAGACACACACAAGGTAAGCAGTTAGTGTTTGAAGCAGAATGTAGACAAAAATTTATAAAGATGGAGGTAAGGGCATAAGTGAAAAAAAGAAAAAAAACCCACTATGTTCTTCACTTAGTAGAACTAGGTGGCAGATGTGAATTTCTGCCTGATACCCTTTTCGTTATTCTTAATATTTACCCCCGCAAACCCACCTCCATGTAGTGTGAGGTACTTGGTAATTTTACTCAAAGCAGAGTTTAAAGAACCCTGCCTAACTAAGCTGAACAATTTATCATTTATGATATGTGAACATTTTCTTATTTGATTATTCTGCTGGAACAGCATGAGCAAAATAAAGATGGAGCATGTTTTTGGAAATTGAGGTTGAGACCAGATAAAATCTGATCCCAAAAAGTGAGAGTTTAATTCTGTAGGCAATAGGACTTCATTGATTATTTTTTGAGCCAGGGATTAATATGATCTAATTGTACTTCTGGAAGAAGGCTTGGGCAGAACTGCAGAATTGATTAGAAAAATGTAACTGGAAGCTAAAAAGCCTGTTATAAGTTGTTTCATATATTCTTAAATATAAAATAGATAACTTTGATTAGAGGTAATTTAATATGAACACAAAATAAATTAAAATCGTATCAACTATATTTCAACTAAATGATGCATACAATGTATGACATGTCCAACAATACATGACCATTTAATTTTATACAGTCTATTATGGTTGATCCTTTCTAAATTCCTTCTAATCTCAATACAAGGTCTTCCTCTGACTATTATTATATCTGTGAAAGAACTTGAAGTGGTAATTATGTTGTTGATTTTAAACTTGAGTTATCTTAAGTAATGTTATGATAAATACAGTGACCTTAGAGTATTTCTTCTAAAACAGAAATCTGACCATCTTTAACTTATGACAATGTTAGTGTTGATAGAAAAACATTTTCCCTTTTTATCTGGTATTCTCCACAGTCATATCTGAAAACAATCAGATAATGGAATGGTTGCTAAGTTGAGTGAGTTTAGGAACAACATATGACTTAGTAATTAAAAAAACATAAGTGATCAGAGTATGCGGAGATAAGAAAATTTACATTTTTTTCTTTTTAAGATTTTGTGAAAGCTCACAAAGTGGAAAAATTCTGTAGCTAGACATCTCTACATGAAAAAAATATTTAACTTGCCTACACTATGATATTCAGTTACCAAATAGTTAAATACAGTGGACCAATTACTTGAGTATAAAACTTTATGTCTAAATCAACAAATTCTTATTTTAATCAGAAATATTTCCATAATAATGTACTTTCTCCTGGTCAGAAAATGTCCTCAGCTTTTAAGGACCACATTATTTCTGATTTATTTTTTCTCCTTCCTTTCCACACAACAATCATTACTCTTCTTCGTCAGAATATATTACTATAGAAAAATAGAAAATGCTTCAGTTTCATATATCTACTGATTCTTTTGCTGAATAACGCATTTGATTACAGTTATAGTTACTTTATTTAGAATAAGAGGCAGTATGTGAATTGTCCAAGTAATTAACACCAATGAAATTTAATTTTTTTTGTCGACTTTGCTTGCTATGATAGCTCTCCGTATTTCAGTATAAGTTATCAGTGAAACAGAGTAGTAACCAGGCATTTAGTCTATCTTGGAATCCTGTCAATTGAAACATATGTGGTATTAGTATAAATTATTGGGGAAAGATTAATTTGATACCCATATTGCCAAAATAAAGTCTAGAGTAGAAAAATAGCTCAATAAACATTTGAGTGTATCTGATGAGTGCAATAGGACTTGAGATCCTGATTAAGGACATGATGAGACCTCTGAAAAAATTATCTGAATTGGGCGATAACATCATTCTTCCCTCATAATTCCTTTCCACTTGTAAAGAAATAATGCATTCTAAACACTTGCCACATGCTTCAAACTGCATCAAATATATCATATTTGTTCTTGAGGAAAGCAGGTAAAAGTGACCAGAGTGGAAACCAAAAAATAAGATTAGTAAGTGAGAAGAATGAATAATATGCATAACTTACAGAGGAAGTTATGAGAATTCACCAAAGACAGCACAATCCATGTGTGAAAGGGTAGAGTATAAGATCAGAGTACATTATCAGAGAAGGTATATTATAAGGTTATAAGGGTAGATTTAGGTAACATTTTTTTCACCCTTGATTCTTGGGTCTAGTTAAGAAGGGTGTAGCTGTGTATACATCAGTTGGGTGTGGAAAGGATAATATAAACATACATTACATGTATTATATTATAATTCTGTACTTCCATGGCTATGCACTGAGTATAGGGAATTAGTTTTTGCAAGGGAGAAAATAGTAAGTGGAGACAGAGGAAGTTCAGGTGAAAAATATATTTCAACATATTTCTTTTTTAATGTATATTTCCAACACTCTGTCCAGGGCCTGGTATACCATAGGTGTTTATGATATGACAAGTCAATGAATTAAAATCTCAGACTTAGATTTTCTATTAAGCTTCCTAGTGATAATTACTTGAGAGCTGCAGTAAAATATAAAATGTAGTAGAATCAGGGAAAGTTTATAATTCTCAATCTAACATGATTCGCTGCTACAATATTGCTCATTACAGTCATTTTCTTAACAAATCTTGCAGCTCTGCCTTTATAACGCCCTTTACAACTTCTGTCAATGGAGATTGTTTTTCTATTATATATGTCAGTTATTGACTTTCCATCTATAACTTTTATTATACTCATTCAGTATATTTTTCTTTTTTAATATTTAGTTTTGCAATAAATCCCATGTGAGTTATTTGATCAATATATTTAAAGTGTAATTTATATTAATTAATTATGCTAAAAATAACATGGGTATTTTTCTGCATAACTGGTTGGTCAGTTCCTCAGATAACCATTTCATTGACTTACCCTTATTTGTTCATAGAAATGAATTATTTTCCAGAGCATTCAATAATCATTTTTTTCCAGTCAGCATAGTCATTTAATACAGAGTAAAATCTTACTTATTTATCAGGAAAGTAGATTATTCACATTCAAACCTATATCATACACAGGTAAGCATTATCATTCATTTTTTAAAATTTGATGCCAGATAATCCTCATTTATATCCTGAATGTTTTTTTTTTGCGCCCATAAAAATGCCAATCACCAATATTGTCCTTTCAAAACAACACAACTTGAGAGTGTGTATATTTGCATATAAAATACACACACTAACGAATTCTGCTTTGGAGATATATGTAGTACAATATATATGTAATGCTGATTACTTAATTCATTCATGAAGCTTTGTAGCAGGTGAATAATTACTTGTATAAACTGACCTTAGTGGCTACTGTAAAACAGTCTAATTATTGTGTTCTAAAAGTGGCTGTAATTAATGTAATCTCCAAAGCCATAAGATATTAATATTTCAGGTTACAGATTGTCTGTAACATTTGTTGCACAAGATGGTAGTTTAGTGTGCAGTCTGTGCTATAATTTACTGTTAGTCTTTAAATACTGAGCTTTAAAGTGCCAACTCTTAATATATTGCTGCTGTAGTATCATAGGTTTGAACTCAACTCCAGATAAAAGTGAGCAATTAAATATGCAGCCAAACTGAAACATTAGAAAAAATGCTACTCTTAAAAATGAATGTTAATATCTGTTATATTTCCTAAGTAAGAAATTTAAGCCCTAGATAAGTATTCTAAAAATTTGATAGCTTGAATTTCCGTTGCAACAGCTTATCCAGTCTATGAAATTAATAGAAAGTTGATTTGATTTGAATTTGGACAAAACAATCAAGGGAAACATGATCTATGAAACATATGCTAGAAAATTATTTATATTGTGTATACCATTCAACTGGTGCAAAAATTGTCATTCTCTCTCTCTCTGTATCTCTCTCTCTCTCTGTCTCTCTGTATGTGTGTATATATATATATATATACACACATACGCACACACACACACATATATAAATAAACAACATGGCCCTTTAACCTTGGGACAACAAAAAATGTGCAGGTGTGGAGTGGGTCAATAACTAAATAAAAAGATCTATAGAGTGTTATTTTTGTATCAAAAGTTATGTTAGCCACCAGTGCACCTTGTTCTTGAGTCACTGCTAAGCATGCTTAAAGGATTTGAAACTCCAAAAACTTTTATTAAACTGTAGACTACAGTAAGTATGTTATTAAAAAGTAAAGAACAGACTTCTTTCAACAAAACTGCCCTTGGCATTGGAAGGCCCTTTAGAAACAAACTAAGATTGATCCGTTGAGGCTTTTTCTTTTTTAATTGCTTACTCTTTGTGCTTTGTTTTTGATATTTTTAAAAATAGTGCATTCTCATGACATTTAATAATGACACCAAAACTTTGTATTTTTCTAAAATTTGGACCCTCGTTAATTGAATAGATGCAATGATCATTATGTGATTATTGATTATTGCTATTAAAGTTTCTAAACAAATTAAAATATTAATAATATTTGTTTACAATCTGTATAAATTCCCACTAAAGTATTTAGGTAAACATAGTGCTTACAAAGAAAAATTAAGAGATGAAACATAAATACTAGTTGTGTGTACGTCTTTCTAACTCTTCCTTATCCCCGCCACCAAATTCTCTAGTACTGGCTATATTTATAAATCAAGCACAATGACATCTGACAGAAAAATTGAGAATGAGCACACATCATATTCAGAGGACATGCTATAGACAGCAGTGTAGTAAGTTCAAGTTTGAAGATAGAAATACTGCTTACATTCAAAGAAAATCTCATTTCTCTGAATGACCAGTTTTATCAGTTTTTTAAAATGAGTTTGGATACAATAAAAACTAAATTTGGAGATTTGTCAGTGTAATTTAGGCTTTTGGTGAGAGAAAAAAGAGGACTTATAACAAGAAATATTTTCTTGACATAAATTTGTGGTGAATATAGCTTGACTATGTACACCGAACTATATTTCAATGATATTTTACTCATTGTAGTGGTAATGATTTAAAACTATCTAAATATAGTAATGTTTGATTTATTGGATAACTTATAATATTTCCCACTAAATATTATGTTATCCAATAAGTCAAGCACTGCGAATCATTCCTGAGTGCAATATTTTATTATGCATCATTTTCTAGGTATTGCCTAGGCATAGATACAAACCTTGAATTGTATACTTTCACACACACACACACACGCACACAGAGATTTCTTTATAATATATGCATGTATTTACATAATAGTAAAACTTTTGTCACTGTAATTAACTGTGGTAGGTTTATATACATTTTAGTGTTACAACTGAAAGCATGGATCGGATTATTTTGTAATCAAGCTTAAATATTCCCCTTCCAAATTTTTTTTTCTTTTTTAAGTCTCATTTCATATAGAAATGTGTTTGTGCCTTAAATTTCCCTTTTAGGTATATTAGTTTTATATAGTTTTCAATAAAAAGGATGCCTATTTGAAAACCTGGCATAATAACACTGATAAACTATAAACCATAAATATAAAAACTATGAATGTAAACAAGGTACATATAATCTCAGATTTGAGAATGAGTTTTCTTGTAAAATTTTCCTAGAGTAATATAGCATTGAGTGTAATATATAAAAGCACTCAGAAGGTAAGCCTAATGCTCTTTATATTCACAAGCCTAAGTCATCTTTTTTTATGAATTAGTTCGTTTTAACTCAAGCATATTTAATTGTCATAATGCTTTATCTGTAAAAGATCTTAAAATACTGCATTGAGTTTTAGTGGATCTCTATATGTATGTAAATCAGTTTAAGAGAGCATGCTTTTAACAGTTAAATAAAAGCTTTATTGCATCATTTCAAAATTAAGTTCATATGTAATTTTAGGATACTATCAAAGGTGTTGCTCAGGGATCTTAAAGAGGTATTTGGGGAGGGGTTGGGAATAAAAGCATTCAATTTGAGTTTGTTTAATTAAATGTTGATTTGCTTGATGTCCTAAAAGTCATACTAATATTACTTCAAATTTTCTTTCTGCTGTAAGCTGATTTTAAAACATCATGAGCTAAAATAAAGAATATTATGAGAACTTAAATCCTGTTCAGTTTCTGCCATCATTAACTATTCAGTCTTACGTAAATCAAATAACCCCCTTTGGATGCAATATTTTCATCTTCAAATGAAAGTGTTGGAGTGGTTGAATAAAATATCCTTTTATACAAATCAAGCTGTAGAGATAAAGAAAATTTGAAGACTCTGAAGACTCAGGCTGTTTCTCCGAGGAAAGGACTTTTACATCTTTTGGTTCTAAATGATCATCCTTTCTCTAAAGGTAGCATTCAGACAAATACTAAATTTCAACATTATGCATTACCTAATGTATTTCTATTTCATATATAATGTTTATGCCTTAGTCTGTATAGCATAAGTATAAATATAAAATAGCATAATATAATATACTATTACATGTTTAGATGTAACTTCTGTTATATAGATGGCACATTATTTGCTAATGAAGGGTAAATTACTTAATATTTTATATTTGTACAATTGAATAAAAATTGACAAAAAATAAGAATGAATTTGTTGCTTTATCTAGAGTAAGTGAATATTTGTGCTAAAGAAGAATTTTTTAGGAAATACAACTTAGGCAGATTCCAAATAAACAAAGATTATAATTTCACAATATTATTTAAAATATCTGTATGGCATATTTTCACCAACATTTAAAAAATAAATTTAAACAAATATTTTCAGTGCACATAAACAATAACTATGGATTAATGCCACTACCATCTTAGAGAATTTTACTAATCTATGTGATAAATGATTTATGACTCAATGGGAAAATAGGCAAAGTATACAAAAGTGACAAAAAACAAAGAAGAAATACATATAGACACTGAGCATATAGAAGTATGTTCTTTTTTTAAACATCAAAAGCCTTAAAATTAGGAACTTTTTTTCATCTTTCAAATTGATAAATATTTAAAAATCAGTTACAACTAGTATTGGTGGATGCATAAGAAAATATGCACAGAGAAAAATTTGCCAGTGGGTAGAAAAGCCTAAAAATTCATATCTTGGAATGAAGCAACACCATTTTTACATATATCTCTTAAAGACAAAATTATGCGAATTTTGATGATAGACCCACAAGATTCTCATAGCATCAGTGCTGTTTGTAGTTCCTTGATAATATTTGCCAAAGCCCCAGATATCTCAATGAAGTTTAAGGTCATAATCAAATCAAAATAAGTAAGTTAAGCTGACTAAGCTTTAATGACACATAGTTATGATGCTGTTCAATAAATAAAAATGGCCAAATATTCATTTAAATCACTAAAATTATTATACGCAACATGGTTTAAAGCATTATTGTGGAATGGCATTATTGAGTTTATTTGTTTGCCTGTTTTTTTTTTTTTTTTTTACTTTAGTTTTGCCATTTTAGTTCATGGTAATGGAGCTAATAATGGATCAGTTTTGCCACTTCACATGGTCCCCAAACATGAGGCTTAATGACTGTGATGGTTAATTTTGTAAGTCAATTTGATTAGGCCATGCAGTTTCCAAAAATTTGGTCCAACATCATTGCTGGGTGTGTTTGTGAGAGTGTTTCTGGATGAGATTAGCAGGTGATTTGGAAGACTGAGGAAAGCAGATTGTCCTCCCCATTGTGGTTTAGGATGTCACTAAAGCAGTGTGTGTGTGTGTGTGTGTGTGTGTGTGTGTGTGTGTGTGTGTGTGTGTGTATTTATTTTATTGGTTCTTTTGTTCCTCTGGAGAACGCTGACTAATAAAGTATCAACTCCAATATTTTACTGAATGTGGGACATTTGTTCATTACCATTATTATAAAATTAGTCAAAGAAATAAAAATACATGTAGTTGGAAATACAACAGTCAAAATCTAATATTAATTATGTTTTAAGAATAATTCATTAACAGATATCATACCAAGTAAATATTTATGGAGTAACTCCATTACTTGTATTGTGACTTAAAAAAAGAAAATGTGTTGATGACATGTGTTTTTAAACCGAATGTAAAAACAGATTTAGTTACAAACACACACAATTTTTTTCTTGTTTGAAAAAAAATTATATTGCTTATTTCTGTTTTCTTTTGTTTGGTTAATTGTTCTAAAGGGAAAATATTAAAGCTATCAAAGTTGCTAATGCTTTTTTTTCCTCAAAGTAAATGCTATGTTACCTTTTAAAAATTTTTCCTGAAAACAATTTAGTAAATTTCATATGAGGTATAAATTTATCAAGTCATTTAATTTCAAGAAAGATATGTAATAACAAGTTAACTAAAATAACGTTCATCACATTAGAAATATTTTACTGTGTTGAATGGTGTTAATAGTTCTGCTTTAAGTTCTTTGAGAAATCTTCAACTTTTTTCCACAGTGGCTGAAGGATTTTGCATTGCTACCAACAGGGTATAAATGTCCCCTTTTCAGTACAGACTCACCAGTATCTTTCATTTTTTGACTTTCTAATAACTGCCATTCTGACTGGTGTGAGATGGTATCTTATTACGGTTTTGATTTTGTTTCTCTGATGATTAGTAATGATGAGAATTTTTTCATATTTCTTGACCACTTGTGTGTCTTCTTTCAAGAAGTATCTTTTAATATCATTAGCTTATTTTCAATTGGATTATTTGTTTGTGTATATACCCAAAGGAATATAAATTGTTCTACCAAAAAGACACATGCACTCACATGTTCATCACAGCACAGCACTATTCTCACTAGCAAAGACATGGAATCAACCTAGGTACCCATCAGTGGTAGATTAGATTTTAACTTTTTTGTTTTTATATTTTTTTATTATACTTAAAGTTCAGGGATACATGTACAGAACGTGCACGTTTGTTACATGGGTATACACGTGCCATGGTGGTTTGCTGCACCCATCAACTCATCATCTACATTAGATATTTCTCCTAATGCTATCCCTCCCCTAGCCCACCACTCGCTGACGGGCCCCAGTGTGTGATGTTCCCTTCCCTGTGTCCATGTGTTCTCATTGTTCAACTCCCACTTATGAGTGAGAACAGGCAGTGTTTAGTTTTCTGTTCTGTGTTAGTTTGCTGAGAATGATGGTTTCCAGCTTCTTCCATGTCTCTGCAAAGGACATGAACTCATCGTTTTTTATGGCTGCATAGTATTCCATGATGTATATATGCCACATTTTCTTTATCCAGTCTATCATTGATGGGCATTTGGGTTGCTTCCAAGTCTATGCTATTGTGAACAGTGCCATAGTAAACATACGTGTGCATGTGTCTTTATAGTAGAATGATTTCCAATCCTTTGGGTATATACCCAGTAATGGGATTGCTGGATCAAATGCTATTACTGGTTCTAGATCCTTGAGGAATCACCACACTGTCTTCCACAATGGCTGAATTAATTTACACTCCCACCAACAGTGTAAAAGTGTTCCTGTTTCTTCACATCCTCTCCAACATCAGTTGTTCTCTTTTTAATGATTGTCATTCTAACTGGCATCAGATGGTATTTCATTGTGGTTTTGATTTGCATTTCTCTAACGACAAGTGATGATGAGCTTTTTTTCATATGTTTGTTGACCTCATAAATGTCTTCTTTTGAGAAGTGTCTGTTCATATCCTTCGCCTACTTTTTGATGGGTTGTCTTTTTCTTGTAAATTTGTTTAAGTTCTTTGTAGATTCTGGATATTAGCCCTTTGTCAGATGGATAGATTGCAAAAATTTTCTCCCATTCTGTAGGTTGCCTGTTCACTCTGATAATATTTTCTTTTGCTGTGCAGAAGCTCTTTAGTTTAATTAGATCCCATTTGTCAATGTTGGCTTTTGTTGCCATTGCTTTTGGTGTTTAATCATGAAATCTTTGTCCATGCCTATGTGATACATGGAATACTATGCAGACACAGTAAAGAATGAAATCATGTCTTTTGCAACAACAAGCATGCTAATTGGAAGCCATTATCCTAAGTGAATTAACACAGAAACAGAAAAGCAGATACTGCATGTTCTTACTGAAAATGCGCATGCATGGATATAAGGATGGGAACAAGAGACACTGGGGACTGGTAGAGAGGGGAGGAGAGAGGGGACTGTTGGCTCAAAAAGTATCTATTGGGTGCTATCCTTATTACCTGGGTGATGGGATCATCCATACCCCAGTCCTCAACATCACATGTTATGCTCATATAACAAACCTGCACTCATACCCTGAACCCAAAATAAATTGGAAAAAAATGTGTATGTAAAATATACATGAAAATAGCAATACTAAATCACAATGGTAATTACTATAAACCTGGGCATACACTTTTATATTTTTGATCATTTTATTCCACATTTTTTAAAGCACAGTTGTGTCTTATGTCTGTTAACCTTCGTCCTACCTCTAAAGCAGTGTTATTTTGTTTAACCAACATTGGCAATATGTATATTAATCAGGAGCTAATTCTGAGAAAAGAGTTCCAAATGGGACTTTAGAATTGAATAAATGTTTTACACTTAAGTGTTTTAATGTGAGCACTTTGAATAAAGCAACCTATTTTTCTATAGTTTTGGAATATAAAACCTTTAAAATCTTAGATAAGCATTCAGTTATCCATGTATATATACATATATTTATTTCAGTAAAATACACATACAGAAACAAATACAGGCAGAGACACAGCATAAACCTCATATATGACTTGTTCAAATTGCTCCGTATCTAGAAAAGACTAAGACCTTGTTTCCCAAGCCATATGCCAAGATCTTAAGAAGTTGTGCATAAATTCACAGGGTGGGCACAGTGGGAAATTTTAGTTTTTCAAGAGAACACAGTAGCACCTGTCAAAAACCACACAAATTACTACTCTCAAATTGTTGAGACCTCATTATTCAATACTGAGCTGCTAGGTATTTCTTTTGATCTAGGGGTTTAACTAAAACAAAACAGCAAACAAACAAAAATAAGACATTAAGGGCACCATAAACCAAAAACTTTTCAGAATCTCTGAGACACACAACCACAGACTAGCTATGGTTTACAAGACTGTAGTATGTAAACACTTAGCAGATATATTTAAGTAATAATATATACCCAGGGTTCAGGATTGGAAAGAATATAGAGGTTTCATGTGAAATGTACTATATGCCTGTAACATTCTACCGTACCTTTGCAGAAATTCTTATTTTCACTCACATTTTCTGAGAATGTGCAAAGCACAAACCATAAATACAAAACTTTATGAATTTCCAGAATAAACAAACCTACAGTGCTGAAGCCAAGATCAAGAAATAGATAATGACCAATGTATTAGTCAGAATTTTCCAGAGAAACAGAACTAAATAGATGTGCGTGAATGTGTATGTGTATGTGTGTGTGTGTATATATCCTTATCAAAAATTTTATTATTCATCTTTGTATACACACAGAGAGAGAGAGAGAGAGAGAGAGAGAGAGAAATTAGTATTGGCTGACATGACTATGTAGGCTAGAAAGTCCCAAGATCTGGAGGATGAGTTGGCAAGCTGGAGACCCAGGAAGCTGATAGTTTAAATCCAGTCCAAAGACTGGCAGTCTTGAGACCTAGTATGAGCTGATGCTTTCAGTTCAGGTCCAAAAGCAGGAAAAAAGCTGATTTCTTAGTTCAAAGGTCATCTGACAGGAAAAACTCTCTCTTACTTTGGGTGGGAAGGTCAGTTTTTTTTTATTCTATTCAGTTTTTCAACTAATTGAGGCACACCTATGCTTATGAAGGGCAATCTGTTTTAGTCTCCTCATTCAAATGTTCATCTCATCCAAAAACACCTTCACAGACACACAGTGTAATGTTTGACCAAATACCTGTTTACCCACTGGCTCAGTCACTGATGAAACTGACTACCATAATCAGTAATCCACAAGGTCCCTTGAAATCAGCCAGTCATATTTCCTTTAAAAGTCAACCACCATCTTGTCTTGTTTGCCTTTAGGTTATTGTATTGATGAAAAAGCGTCAAACTTCATAAAATATTTGAAGGAATTCATTCTAAGCCAAATGTGAGTGACCAAGTTCCAAAGCCAGCCTCAAGAGGCCCTCAGAACATGTGCCCAGGGCGATTGGCTTACAGCTTTCTTTTATACGTTTTAGGGAGACATAAGACATCAGTTACTAGGTATCAGGTATACACTGGTTCAGTCCAGAACCATGAAACAACTTGAAGCAGAGGCTTAGTGGTCATAGGTGGAGTGAATGATTTCTGGATTGGCAATTCGTTGAAAGGGTCAAGCTCTGCCTGAAGAGTTGGAGTTAGCAGAGGGAAATGTTTGTCTTTTAGATAAGGGGGGATTGTGGAAGCCAAGGTTCTTGTTATGTAGATGCAGCTTCCAGGTAACAGGATTCAGAGAGAACAGATGGTAAATATCTCTTGTCATACACTAAAAGATGCCATACTCTTAGTTAATTTCTCCTGGATCAGGAAAATATCTGGAAAGGGAAGGGGATTCTCTACAGAATGTGGATTTTCCCCACAAGCCATAGCTTTGTAAGGCCATTTAAAAACATGTCAAATAAGGCCGGGTGCAGTGGCTCACGCCTGTAATCCCAGCACTCTGGGAGGCCGAGGTGGGCGGATCATGAGGTCAGGAGATCGAGACCATCCTGGCTAACACGGTGAAACCCCATCTCTACTAAAAATACAAAAAAATTAGCTGGGCGTGGTGGTGGATGCCTGTAGTCCCAGCTACTCGGGAGGCTGAGGCAGGAGAATGGCGTGAATCTGAGAGGCGGAGCTTGCAGTGAGCTGAGATCACGCCACTGTACTCCAGCCTGGGCGACAGAGCGAGACTCCATCTCAAAAAAAAAAATAAAATAAAAAAAAGTCAAATAAATATATTTTGGGGTAAAATACTTTGATTTCTTTCAGGGCCTGCTAGCTGTCATGTGATGCTATACTAGAGTCAAGTTGGAATTTTGTATCTTATTGTTACGACTTTATTTTGTCCTTCTTAAGATCTCTATTTTAATGTTAATATTGGTAAGTTGTGCCTGAATTGTAAAGGGTGGAGGGTATAAGGAGGTATATCTGACTGTCCCCTTCCCATCATGGCCTGAACTAGTTTTTCAGGTTTACTTTGGAATGCGCTTGGCTGGGAGGAGGCATCTATTCAGTTGACTTTGTGGCTGAAGATTTTATTTTTGGTTTACAGTTGCCTGTTAGTAGATTTATGTATACGGAATCACAGAGTGTGCATTTTTTGGTCTGCTTCTAAAATAGGATATTGTGTTTTTGAGATTCACATATTTTGTATATAGCAATCTTTTTTTTTTTTCCATTTCTATTCCTAGGTAATAATTTATCATATGACCATTGTAACATGTACCTTATACTGTTATACTGCCTTAATCCATTTGGATAGCCTCTATAGCACAACAATTATAAATAGAGAGTCCCTATAAACATTTTAGTAGTTGTTTTTTGGAAAATTTAAAAATACATTTCTATTTCATATATATCCAGGAGAAGAATTGCTAGGTTGCTTTTCAACTTTAGTAGAAAGAAAGAAACCGCTTTTGAAAGTGGTTGGCCGGGCGTGGTGGCTCACGCCTGTAATCCCAGCACTTTGGGAGGCCGAGGCGGGTGGATCATGAGGTCAGGAGATCGAGACCATCCTGGCTAACACAGTGAAACCCCGTCTCTACTAAAAATACAAAAAATTAGCCGGGAGCGGTGGCGGGCTCCTGTAGTCCCAGCTACTTGAGAGGCTGAGGCAGGAGAATGGCGTGAACCCAGGAGGCGGAGCTTGCAGTGAGCCGAGATCGCGCCACTGCACTCCAGCCTGGGCGACAGAGCCAGACGCTGTCTCAAAAAAAAAAAAAAAAAAAAAAAAAGAAAGTGGTTATACCAGTTTATACTCCCATCAACATTCCACTAGTGCTGAAGTTGTTCTACATCCCTGCCAAAAATTTTATTAGTTATCTTCGTAATTTTAACTATTCTGAGGTGTGTGAAGGGTTATCAAATTCATCTCTTGCACTTCAGTTTTACTTTTCATTTCACTAGTGATTAATACAGTTTGACATTTTTATATGTTTATAGGACATTTGGATATCATCTTTGTTAATGCCTGTTCAATGCTCTAGACCAATTTAATTATGTTGTATTTCATTTTTTATTGATTTGTAGCAGTTCCTTACACATTTTCTCTACAAATAATTTGTCAATTGGCACATCAAAACTTTTTTTTTCTCCTTTATGGCTTTTCTTTTTGCTACATATTCAGTAAAAGAGCAATATAAAAAGAATTGTAAACAACATATGTTGGTAAAAATATTAAGCAATTGGGACATTTCTGGTGAGGGTATAAAATCAGTCAGGACAAATAATTTGTGGTTTTTATTGAAAGTTAAACATAGAATCTATTCAATGATTCTATGACTACTTTGCCTCTCTCTGAATGTCTATATTTATAAATGAACTACTGATACCACAAAAAAAACTTTGCTGAGCAAAAGAAGCCAGACACAAAAGCCTACCTACCATGTGATTCCATATATATTATATCATATACTAGGCAAAACTAATCTATTGACAATAGAAACAAGACCATTAGTAACTTGGAAGTGGATGACTGAAAGAGGAGCATGAAGAATCTTAGAAACTTTCTGAGATAGCAGTAAGTTTCTGTGTCTTGACAGTGATATGAGTTAAATGAATGTATGTATTTGTTAAAACAGATTAAACTGTATAATTAAAATTTGTTCATTTTCTATTTGAGAAATATATCTTTACAAAAAATATAAAGAAAAGCAAAATTAGAAGTTGTCAGGCAAGCTAAACATGAGGGAATTTGGCATCATTAATCATGAACTAAAATATTTAGAGACTGTTTCTCAGGCAGGGAAAAAACAATCTCATATGATGGCATGAACAAGAGGGAAAGAATGAAAAACACTAGGAAGGGTACAGGTTTCGTTAGTGAAAGATAAGTGAACAATGATTATTTACAGAAATTACATTTTTTTCTGGGATTTCCTATATATGTACAAGTAAAACTTCTGGCAGCAATAATATAAAAGATAAGAGAATTAAATGTAATTAAACTTTTGTAAGATGAAATTCTATCACTCTGGGGATGTGATATAATAACTAAATTAGACTAATAAATGAATAATATATTTTATAGTGTTTGGAATAACTATAAAAATAATGTGAAAATAGTAAGCTAATGGAAAAATACAGTAGGATAAGAAGTAGTACTTAATAAATCAAAAGAAAAATAAACAAATTAGCAATTAAACAAATAGAAAATATGAAGATATTAGAGGAAAAACTAAACATCATGAATTTTTCCAATGTAAATAGAAAATATTTCCCATTTAAAAAATAAAAACCTCTATGCTGTTTATATAAAACATAAATTAAAGACCCAAAAAGTTAAAATATTTTTATAAAATATACACCATGCTAGCAATCTCATTGTTTAGTAAATATCCAATAAAAACTAGTGCACATATTTACTAAAACCGTAGCATTTTGAAAATGGCAAAAAACAACCAAAAGAAAATTAATGATAGAACAAACATCTAATTGCTATACCCAAAAAATGGAATAGTGCATATCAGTGAAGAATAATAAACTGAAGCTAGCTCCAATAATACTGAAGAATCTGATTCTTCAGTCGAGAGATTAAACAATTAAATATTCAAGAAAAATAAAGCCAATCAATGCTGATGGAATTCAGAGTTGCATTCACCTTTGGAAAGGTAATTGTTGGAGCGAATATGTACTATGTCTTCATTTCAGTGCTGATAAGATAAGCATGCACATGTGAAAACTTTATTCATTCTGTATATTTAAAATGTGTACATTTAAAAGTTTGTTCACTCTGTACACTTACTGCTGTATTCTGTAATGTAATAACCATTTAAACACAATATTATGCCACTACTTGCCCTCAACAATGTTGAAAATTATTAAGACAAATGACCTCAGGTGTTGGTTAGAAACTGGAGAGCTACCAGAGCTCTTATGAATAGTGAGTGTAAAAATTAGTACTATCACTTTGAAAATCTGAATTTGTACGTAACTAGGACCCAACAGTGCTACTTAACTATAAATAGTTACTATACACAGTGTTTTCAAGCTATAAGAAATATATCTTCACAATATGTATTTATAAACATATCATTGCACACTATTTGTAATAACCAAACACTGGGAGAAAAAGAGAAAAAAAATATCCATCAAGAATAGGTGGGATCAAATATTGTGGCACTTGAAACAATAGGATACTGTGCAGCAATAGATATACACAGCCTAAAATAATATGGTTGAAACTTACAAACTGCTATGGATTGGACATTCCTTCCCACCCTGTATCATGTTAAAATTTAATCCCCAGTATGGCAGTGTTGGGATATGGGACCTAGAAGGAAGTGATCCATGAGGGTAGATCCCTGATGAATGGCTTGATGCCATTCACTCTGCAGTGAGTGAGTTCTCATTCTCCTGAGCTTGGATTGGTTCTCAGGGGGAGTGAATTAGTTTCTTCCAGAGGAGGTTGTTATAAAGTCAAGACAACCTTGAGGTTTGGTTGCTCTCTGCACTTGCCTGCTTCCCCTGTGGTCTTTTCCATCATGTTTTGATGCAGCACAGAAGCTCTAACTAGAAGATAAGCAGATCCTGCTGCCATGCTTCTTGGACAGCCTGCAGAACCATGAGCCAAATAAACTTTTCTTTATAAATTGCTCAGCCTCAGGTATTCCCTTATAGAAACACAAAATGGACCAAGATACAAACATAATGTTGAGTGAAAGAAGCCTGTCCTAGAAAAATGCATAACACAGAAATACATTTTTATAAAATAAAAAATGGGCAAAATTAGTCTACTGTATTAGATCAGAGTAGTTGTTATCTTTGAGACAGAGGGAAGAGGTCATGGCACAAAGGGAGCATAAAAGGATTAATGATATCCTACTTATTGAACTGGCTGAGAACTTGTTTTAGCCAATTATTTAGCTATACATTTAAGCCAGAGATGTCCAAACTTTGGGATTCCCTGGACAACATTGGAAGAAGAAAAAATGTCTTGGGCCACACATAAAATATACTAACACTAACAACAGCTGATGAGCCAAAAAATAAACCTCAAGAAAATCTCATAACATTTTAAGAAAGTTTATGAACTTGTGTTGGGCCACATTCAAAGCCATCCTTGACCACATGTGGCCTCTGGGCCAGAGTTGGACAAGCTTGATTTCGGCTTTCACATTTTTCTGTATGTTAGTTATAAAATAGAAACAAATTTTTTTACCTTTTTTTTTTTATTATACTTTAAGTTCTGGGATATGTATGCAGAACACACAGGTTTGTTACATAGTTATACATGTGCCATGGTGGTTTGCTGCACCCATCAACCCATCATCTACATTAGGTGTTTCTCCTAATGCTATCCGTCCCCTAGCCCCCCTACTCCCTGACGGGCCCCAATGTGTGATGTTCCCCTCCATGTGTCCACGTGTTCTCATTGTTCAACTCCCATTTATGAGTGAGAACATGCGGTGTTTGATTTTCTGTTTCTGTGTCAGTTTGCTGAGAATGACGGTTTCCAGCTTCTTCCATGTCCCTGCAAAGGACATGAACTCATCCTTTTTCATGGCTGCATAGTACTCCATGGTGTATATATGCCACATTTTCTTTATCTAGTTTATCACTAGTGGACATTTTGGTTGCTTCCAAGTCTTTGCTATTGTGAATAGTGCTGTAATAATCATACGTGTGCATGTGTCTTTATAGTAGAATGACTTATAATCCTTTGAGTATATACTCAGTAATGAGATTGCTGGGTCAAATGGTATTTCTGGTTCAAGATCCTTGAGGAATCACCACACTGTCTTCCACAATGGTTGAACTAATTTACACTCCCACCAACAGTGTAAAAGCATTCCTGTTTCTCCACATCCTCTCCAGCATCTGTTGTTTCCTGACTTTTTAATGATCACCATTCTAACTGGTGTGAGATAGTATCTCACTGTGTTTTTGATTTGCAAGTGATGATGAGATTCTTTTCATATGTTTTTTGGCTGTGAAATGTCTTCTTTGGAAAAGTGTTTATATCCTTTGCCCACTTTTTGTTTTTTTTTTTTGTAATTTTGTTTAAGTTCCTTGCAGATTCTGGATATTAGCCCTTTGTCAGATGGATAGATTGCAAAATTTTTCTCCCATTCTGTAGGTTGCCTATTCACTCTGATGATAGTTTCTTTTGCTGTGCAGACACTCTTCAATTTAATTAGATCCCATTTGTCAATGTTGGCTTTTGTTGCCATTGCTTTTGGTGTTATAGTCATGAAGTCTTTGCCCATGCATGTGTCCTGAATGGTATTGCCTAGGTTTTCTTCTAGAATTTTTATGGTTTTATGTATTATGTTTAAGTCTTTAATCCATTTTGAGATAATTATTATATAAGGTGTAAGGAAGTGGTCCAGTTTCAGTTTTCTGCATATGGCTAGCCAGTTTTCCCAACACTATTTATTAAATAGGGAATCCTTTCCCCATTGCTTGTTTTTGTCAGGTTTGTCAAAGATCAGATAGTTGTAGATTTGTGGCATTATTTATGAGGCCTCTGTTCTGTTCCATTGCTCTATATCTCTGTTTTGGTACCAGTACCATGCTGTTTTGGTTACTGTAGCCTTGTAGTATAGTTTGAAGTCAGGTAGCATGATGCCTCCAGCTTTGTTTTTCTTGCCCAGGATTGTCTTGGCTATACAGGCTCTTTTTTGGTTCCATATGAAATTTAAAGTAGTTTTTTTTTTTTTTTAATTCTGTGGAGAAAGTTAATGGGAGCTTGATGGGGATAGCATTGAATCTATAAATTACTTTGGGCATATGTCCATGTTAACAATATTGATTCTTCCTCTCCATGAGCATGGAATGTTTTTGCACTTGTTTTTGTCCTCTCTTATTTCCTTGAGCAGTGGTTTGTAATTCTCCTTGAAGAGGTCTTTCATATCCCTTGTAAGTTGTATTCCTAGGTATTTTATTCTCTTTGTAGCAATTGTGAATGGGAGTTCACTCATAATTTGGCTCTCTGTTTGTCTATCATAGTTGTATAAGAATGCTTGTGATTTTTGCACATTGATTTTTAATCCTGAGACTTTGCTGAAGTTGCTTATCAGCTTAAGGAGGTTTGGGACTGAGATGATGGGGTTTTCTAAATATACAATCATGTCATCTGTGAACAGAGATAATTTTACTTCATCTCTTCCTATTTGAATACTCTTTCTTTCTTTCTCTTGCCTGATTGCCCTTGCCAGACTAATAAAGAAGAAAAGAGAGAAGAATCAAATAGACACAATAAAAAATGATAAAGGGGATATCACCACCAATCCCACAGAAATATAAACTACCATTAGAGTTTACTATAAACACCTCTGTACAAATGAACTAGAAAATCTAGAAGAAATGATTAAATTCTTGGACACATACATCCTCCCAAGACTAAACCAGGAAGAAGTCAAATCCTTGAATAGACTAATAACAAGTTCTGAAATTGAGGCAGTAATTAATAGCCTACCCACTAAAAAAAGCCCAGACCCAGGATTCATAGCTGAATTCTACCAGAGATACAAAGAGGAGCTGGTACCATTCCTTCTGAAGCTATTCCAAACAATAGAAAAAAGAAACTTCTCCCTAACTCATTTTATGAGGCCAGCATCATCCTGATACCAAACCTGGCAGAGACACAACAAAAAAAGAAAATTTCAGCCCAATATCCCTGATGAACATTGATGTGAAAATCCTCAATAAAATACTCGGAAACCAAATCCAGCAACACATCTAAAAGCTTATCCACCATGATCAAGTCAGCTTCATCCCTGGGATGCAAGGCTGGATCAACTTACACAAATCAGTAAATGTAATCCATCACATAAACAGAACCAATGACAAATACCACATGATTATCTCAATAGATGCAGAAAAGGGCTTCGATAAAATTCAACACCCTTTCATGCTAAAAACTCTCAATAAACTATGTATTGATGGAACATATCTCCCAATAATAAGAGGAATTTATGACAGACCCACAGCCAGTATCACACTGAATGGGAAAAGCTGGAAGCATTCTCTTTAAAATAGAAAATTTTTAAAAGCTTCCAGTTTAGAATTTCCCTGTTGTGTCCAAAACATAACAACTACACAGATATTGCAGGGGATCTATGAGATTTTAAAACACAAACATAAACACACACACATACACACACACACCTTTTTATTTTGGCATAACGTTAGATTTCCAGAAAATTTCACTCAGCTTCTCCTAATGTTAACACCTTACGAAACCATGATAAATTTATCAAAACTAAGAAATTAAATCAATACAATTTTACTAACTATATTCTTTTCAGGCTTCCTTATTTTGTTTCTCTTCTTGACTTCAGACTTCCAAAAGTCTTCCTCCTCAAAGAGAGTCAGTTTGATGTAGCCTGTCCTGCCATAATTGAGTATTATTATAATGCAACCCTTTTGCTATGACTTTCAGTTATGAAGAGGAAGTGTTGTGGAATCATATTTAAATCTCAGTCTTTTAGTGGGCCTGTGTCTGAACTATGTCAATACAAGTGATCTTCTAGTGGTAGAGCTTCTCTCTCCCACCCTAGGTATGACCACTAAAGCACGCTGTGCCCAAGGAATGCCCTTCTCCAGGTGGAACAATGCTCTGGGAAAGTCTTTTCCCTGGATATTTGGACAGTCTGTGGGGACTAATCCAAGCATATTTCACAGTGATTACTCTTTCCTTCACTCTGCCAGAGTCACGAGAGAAACTTTATTGGAATTTCGCCATGAAAACCTGGTGATGTTCTTAGAACAATTGAAAATGTGGGCTCACACACCAGAGTTGGTATCCAGGAGTTTATCACTCTCAAGTACATCTATATTCAGCCTCTAGCAATTTATAAAAATTACCATTTAAATGTTACTACTAGTTGATGGCTCCAGCACTTTCTGTATCTCGTAAGTTGATTCTGGCCATGAATGTATTCAATGTCTCTGAATTTGGTGGTGGCTTTTTTGTCCTAGAACCTCAGTTCTCTGATAGTTTCTAGGAAAAAAATACATTTATTTTCTGTTTGTTTAACTTTTTATTCTTGTACGAATGAGAATGACACCTTCCAAGTTCTTTATATATTGGGGCCCTAACCAGAAGTAAACATTATTCATTTAGTTGCTTAAACTAAACTTTGAATATAACCTTCTTATTTCTTCCTCCTCTTCTTCTTCTTTTTTTTCTTAATATTTTCTCACTTTCTGGCAGTACAAGATACTCCAGTGTCATAGTGCATGTTTCCTGTTCCTCTGAGAATCAGCCACTTTTCTAAGGAACTCTTGTTCTTTTTGTGGAAATATAATATTTAGAAACCAAAGCATGATCATTGGGTGTTCTTGTTGCTACCGCAGTACTAGAACTTTTCAGCTATAAATCTATGCAGTTTCCATAACACCAAATTTATTTTTTCTGCAAATCGTAGTCTGTGGTTTCTTTTTTCTTTTTAGAAGAGGAAAAAAAAACAGACATAGTGCTACTTAAAGTTTTATATTTTCTGACTACATGTAGAAAGTCTGAGTCAGAGTATCTAGGGATCTGATAAGAGATTATCTCTCCGATATAGTTTGGATGTGTATTTCTGCCCAAATCTCACATTGAAATGTAATCCCCAGTGTTGAAGGTGGGGCCTGAAGAGGGGTGATTGGATCATAGGGGCGGGTTACTCATGAATGTTTTCACCCCCTTGTTATTGTCCTCAGAGTTGTGAGGGAGTTCTTGGGAGATCTGGTAGTTGAAAAGTGTGCGGCACCTCTCCCATTGCTCTCTTGCTCCTGCTCTGGCCATTGACATGCCTGCTCTCCTCTTAGCTTTCCATCATAATTATGGTTTCCTGAGGCTTTCTCAGAAGCTGAGCAGATGCCAGCATGGTGCCTGCAGAACTGTGAGCCAATTAAACTTATTTTTCTTATAAATTACCCAGTCTCAGGTAGTTCTTTATAGCAATGTGAGAATTGACTAATATACTATCTTTGAAACATGCTATAAGTTGTTCCTATATCCTCTAAGGTTAGAAAACTACTATCCTAAAATACTTGATGATTCCTCCACTAACAGAAGCAAGGTGAATATTAATATGTTTGATTTTACTTTATTTCCGGAAGGATTTGAATAAAGTAGAAATATGACCTGAAGAAATTGCCACTATTTTTACCATAGCTATATGGGGAGAGTAATAAACTTGGCAAGCTTGAATTCATATGGTAGATGCTGTATGGCACGCTATGTATTACCCCTACTACCAATTTCAAGATAGAGGTACTTTTTCCCCCTCCTTGCTGAGAATGTTGGTGGCTGAATATCTGTGTTCCTCTCTAGTAATTGCCCTGGCTGAAAGCAGCCTGTGTCAAGACCACACCCTCCACTTCCAGGATAACGTGTATCCTCTGATTGATAATGAGGAGCTATGAAGATCCAGTTCATTTCCCTCAACTGGGGATAACTCCTGACAGCTCCAGAGCCACTTTCAGAGTAGACTTGGCTGCTATTGCAAATGTCTGTAGTTCGAAGTCTTCCTCTGTCCAATTTTGCTTTTTTCAAAGCAAACTAGCTGTATTTGAGAGAGCGCTTTTTAATAAATCTCATTCACAGAAAGCTTATAACTTCTAAGTTTATTTGTGGGGAACCCAACCTATGACAATGTTATGCCCTCATAATGTTTTTTATATGACAAATCAATTAATGACTAATAAAATAATATAAAATTTTTGTCAAGCATTTAGGGTTTGTCATATAGGCTTACTTTTTCCCTTTAACATTTCCAATTATACTTTGAGGTTAGTTTTAAAAAAAAATTTGTCCTAATTATGTCATTATTCAATGTGCATCTGTTTTGAACTTTGATTTCGGGTTGATGTCAGGGTGTTGATTGAGGTACTTTAAATTTAGTAAAAGATGCATCTAAAAGTACCTCTCTTAACTGAAAAAAATCAATAATCTGAAACATTTCTAAATTTTATTCATTCAAAAAGTGTTCACTGAGCACCTAATGTAGGCACACAATGGAGATAGAATAACGAACAAAATGGAAATAATTCTTCTTGTCACTGAGTTAATATTTCAGTAATGCGAAGTAGAAAATAAACCAATACATAGATTGTCAGAAGATGATAAATGTTATGAAGAAGAGTAAATCACAGTAAAAACTGAGTAAGTATAATAGGAGTTAGAGTTTATAAGACTCAAGTTGATATTTACTTTTATAAGAACTAATAGAATTAGGTTACAAATATTTGACTATTTGGGCAAAAAATCTTCTAGCAGAGGGTGAGGCAGTGAGGTGTCTCAGGTGACATGATAGCTGCGGTACTCAAAGGACGTGGAAGCCAGTGTGGTTGACATAGAGGCAGGGAAGGTGGAGGAAAGCAGGCTAGGTTGGAGGGCCAGTGAAACTAGAACTTAAAGTGGCAGTTAGGCTACTGCTAGGCACTACTTTGTTTTTAATTTTGTTTGTTTTGTTTTCTGAGTGAGCTAGGAAGTCATTGGAAGGCTGAGTATGAAGTTTATCTGATTTATATTTTAACCTTAAGGCCTAAACTCTGAATTCAGGAAGTTTACAGAAAGCCAACAAAAACTTTAATGACCGAGAGATTGGCAGAGCTGCTTTTATTTTATTTGCCACTGGGTAAAGAAAAAATGGAAATAATAATTCTTTTTAAATTGTTTTTATTCTCTATATAGTCTCATGACAAATACAGATGATAAAGAAAAAGAAAGCTAAAATAATTGAATCACTGAAATTTTACCACTTAATGTTTTTGTATATTTCTTATGTCTTTTGCTTTAGTTTTAATTGAGCTATGATTATACTGCAGATGTAAATTTGCAGCCATTTATACTTTATAATCAGGCATTTTTATATATTATTAACCTGCCATGAATATTAATTATATTAATAAAATATATTCTAAAATATTTTTAAAAATTCATAATATTTTATTGAATGAATAGTTCACAGTTTAATTAATTTCCCTAGTGTCCTATTTATGTATAAATGTGAATTTTTTCCTATTATAGAAAATCTAAATTATTTTTGTGCACACTTTCATAATATATGATATAATTTTGTTATTGTGTCTCTGAAATAGCATAAGTCAAATAGTATCATTACTAATTTTTATCTTGAAATGTATTACAAAATTTTTATCAAATGTATTTCTAAGTCATTTAAATTGCTACCTAAAATAGAGGATACCTATTTCATCATGTTCTTGCCAGCATTATGTATTCAATATAGAATAATTTTAATAATGAAAATTGTAGTTGATGGATAGGCATTGAATTAATTTAAATGTTAGAGTGGCATAATCTGAATTGTGTTCTGAAATAGTTACACTCTCTAAATTATGCAGAATAGGCTGGGCATGGTGGCACATTCCTGTAATCCCAGCACTTTGGGAGGCCGAGGCGGGCAGATCACGAGGTCAGGAGATTGAGACCATCCTGGCTAACACGGTGAAACCCCGTCTCTACTAAAAATGCAAAAAATTAGCCAGGCGTGGTGGTGCACACCTGTAATCCCAGCTACTCAGGAGGCTGAGGCAGGAGAATCACTTGAACCCGGGAGGCAGAGGTTGTAGTGAGCCAAGATCGCGCCATTGCACTCCAGCTTGGGCAACAAGAGCGAAACTCCGTTCCCCCCCCCCAAAAAAAATTATGCAGAATAGATTAAAGGGGGCAAAATTGGCAGCTTTAAAAAAGCTAGGAACTAGATGAAAAGTGATGGTCTATGTAGCTGGGTGGCAAAGAAAACAGAAATAAATAGGGAGATTCTAGGCGTACTTCTGAGGAAGAATTGATAAGTTGAGGTGATGAAGTTAAAATGGAAGTATGAGAAAGGAGTAGATGCAAAACTTTCACATTTCTGCCTTCATTTTCTAGGTAGGTGGTGGTAAGAACTGGAGAAGAAATGGTGGTGTGCCTGTTTGAGTTTAATGCGTGTGAATGTCTGTGGGGGAGTCGCAAGTGTGTATATGTGAGTATATATGTGTGCAGGTGTGCATGTGTGTGTGGATATGACATTGTAGGGGGCCTGCGGTATACATGTGTATATATGTGAGTATAGGTATGAGTGCATGTGAGTGTGACGTGCATATGTATATATGTGTGTGAATATGTGTGGGGAATGCATGTGTGTCAGTGTCAGTGAGAGAGTATATGTGGTTGTGCATGTAGGCATTGTGCATACTTTTGTATGTGTTTGGTCAATGTCTGCATATGTGAGTGCGTGAGTGTGTTTGAGTGTATGTGCAGAAATATGCATGTGTTTTTTCTATATGTCGGGATGTGCATGTATGCATGGGAACATGTATGTGAGACATGCACATCTGTTTTTTGTATGTGAGTTTACATGTTTGAGGGTGTGCTTGTATTTGCGTTTTTTGAAGGAATATATACTTCCATTTTGAGCATGTTAACTATGAGATGACACTGGAAACTGAGTTGAGATGCTCAGATATCAAAGGAAAAATTAGTATTTAGTACCATTACAGATGCAAAAAGAGGAAAATATTCAGTAAAACAAAACAGTCATTAATAAACTGACAAAATCAACTGAGATACAGAATAAAGTGGAGTTAAAAATAATTATTAGATTATCCAACATGGAATCATTGGTGACCTTGTCCAGATCAATTTTAATCAGAGTACTATCCACATTGAGGGATTTCAAAGACTAATTAGGGACTCTAGAAGAGGAGACTATAAATTCAGACTACTGTTTCAAGAACTGTGGCTATGAAGAGGAACAGAGATATAAGGTTATAGTTCAATGATACTGTAGGGAAATTGAAGGCCGTGTGGGGGTTGTTTTGATTTTAGGATGTAAAATATAATAAATACTTTTTTGTTTACATGAACAATCCATGAGAAATGAAAAAAAAAAGACGCTCATAGGATAAGGTGGAAAGATTGGGATACAGTGGATAATTAGAATGCTCCACTTTGACAGGAGTAGGGACATTTTCTCTTTGGAAATAAAAAGAAAAGAAGGAAGATATGCTTACTGAAGCAGACGGATTTTAAGGACTAGTGAAAAGGGGGTGAGATCTTTTCAGTCTGATGGCTTCTTGGCTCTATATTACCAATAATTTGTAAATGATGTTCTAAATATGACAGAAGTTTTGGCCAAGCAAATAAAAGTTATTTATGAAATAAAATAGGATTGACAGGCTACAGAGAAGATTTGAGTGCCACTTTGACATGAATAGTCTTGAATATTTTGGACACCATCTGAATGTGTAATTTTCAGAAGCTCACTTAATCAGAGGTGAATGTGGACAATGTAGTATACTGAGTTCATTATTATTATGAATTTATTAGCCAACTGCAGCTAAAATAAACAGACTAAGGATTGGAGTTCAGTTGTAAAGCTGTATTTATAATAGTAAACTCTTAAATGTAAACTAGAATGTGAGAAAAAAAGAACTTGAGAAAATGAATTGAAAAATAGTTTGAGGGCATTAGATTGGGTTGTTTGATCGTGTTTCATACCTTTGCCTTTCTTACCTCCTGCAATGAAGTCTATGGCGATTCAGAAGCAAGTGAGCTTAAAGGTCGAATGTGTCATTTGTTATTATTGCAACAAATATTTTAATTCTTATATTTGCCAAATATTATTCTAGGTACTAAGAAACACAGTGTGAAAAGCAATGAAGAAAAAATTATTCACCTCTTTTAACTTAAATCTTAGCATGGGGTGGCAGAAAATAAACAACACAATTATAATATTTTAGCAGGCAATAAATGCTATCAAGAGAAGAAAACAAAATGTAGCTGAAGACTGAGGTCTATGTTCTTAACATTGAGTTGTTTGGATCAACCTATCTAAAAAATTCCCTTTTAAAAAGCAGTTTGGTCACAAGGCAAATTACTGCCCCCAAAATTGGAGATACTGACAGGAAAATAAAAATAATCACAACTTACTAAAGCAGAAACCCATAAGAAACAGCCTCCCTGGCAACCAGTACCAGGGCAAGAAAACCTAAACTGTAATTAGTGAATTCCTGGAAGGACAGTGTGGGAAAATATGAGAGATTTGTCCAGCAGGATACAGTCATTGGCTAGTTCTACGCTTTGTGTTTTACCTCCTAGAGTCTGACTAGATTGTCACAGTGAATATTAGAGGAATAACCTCTCATGATTCCAGCAGAGTTGGGAGAGGGGTAAAGAACCATCTTGAAATATGCCAGCGAATCTTGTTCTTCTTAACAATGTCTGCTGTCATGAGAATCTACTTAATTAGAGCATAACTTGCTGGGATTTTATCAGAGCCTATCTGACCTGGGAGAAGGGAAACACTCAACTTCATCTTTCACTAGCCATTCTGTCCCAGGATGAGGAGGGGAAATGAAAAGCACATATAAAGTTCACAATTCAGATGTACAGACTCAATAAAAGACTGAGACTTAATCATAGGACTATAGAACGCCTCCTTTCCCCCTCATACCTTAACACTTCATTACCAAAGTCTTATTACAACAATTCCTTTTACTCAGTACATAATGCCTGTATACCAAGAAAAAATTACAAGACTTAGTAAAAGGCAAAAAATACAGTTTAAAGACAGAGCAATCATTTGAATCAGATGCAGTTATGTGGGGAAGTTAGAATTATCAGACCAGGAATTTAAAACAACTATGATTTATATGCTAAGGACTCTAATGGATAAAGTAGACAGCATGGGATAGTACATAAGCAAGATATACAGAAAAATAGAAATTCTAAGAAAGAACTAGCAAGGAAAGCCAACAATAAAAAAACACTGTAATAGAAATGAAGAATACTTTTGATGAGCTTATTAGTAGACTGGATAGAAAAGATAATTTCTGATCTTCAGGATATTCTAATGGAAACCTCCAAAGTTGAAAAGAAAAAAAAAGAAAAATGACAGAAAAAAAAAGAATGCAATATTCAAGAAATGAGGGACAATTACAAAATGTGTAACATACACCATCAATATCAGAAGGAGAAGAAAGAGAAAGGAACAGAAGAGAAATATTTGAAATACTAATGACTGAGAATTTGTCCCAAATAAATGTTAAATACCAAAACATAGATCCACAAGTCTCAGAGAACATGCAGCAGAATAAATGCCGGATAAAATTATACCTAGGCATATCATTTGCGAACTGCAGAAAAATCAATGGTGGTTAAATAATTCTGAAAGATCCTGGGATGTGAGAAGAAGGGTGGGGAAGATACATCTTACATATAGAGGAACAAAGATAACAGTTACATACAGTTGCTCCCCAGAAACCATTTGAGAAGAAAAGAGCATAGAGTCAAATATTTAAAGTGTTGAGAATAAAACCACAAACTTAGAATTCTGTACACTGAGAAAGTGAAATAAAGGCATTCTCAGGTAAGTAAAAATTACGAGAATTGTTGCTGCTAGACCCACCTTTCAAAAAATGTTAAAAGAAGTTCTTTAGAGAGGTAGAAAAAAATACATAGATCAGAAACTTGAATCCACATAAAGAAAAGATGAACATCAGAGAAGGAATAAGTAAAGGTAAAATAAAACTTTCATTTTCTTATTGTTAATTTAACAGACAATAGTCTGTTCAAAATAATAGCAACAGTGTACTTAATTATGTATACTTATGTATGCTAATAAACAAATGAAGAAAGACGGCAATGATACAAAGCACAGGAGGAAGGAACTAAGAATATTTTGATATTTAAAGGTACTTGTGGCCGGGCACGGTGGCTCACACCTGTAATCCCAGCACTTTGGGAGGCCAAGGAGGGTGGATCACTTGAGGTCAAGTGTTCGGGAACAGCCTGGCAAACATGATAAAAACCCATCTCTACTAAAACTACAAAAATTAGCCGGGCATGGTGGTGCGCCTGTAATCCCAGCTACTTGGGAGGCTGAGGTGGGAGAATTGGTTGAACCTCAGAGGTGGAGGCTGCAGTGAGCCGAGATTGCTCCACTGCACTCCAGCCTAGGCAACAGAGCAAGATCCTGTCTCAAAAAAATAAGTAAATAAAAAAATAAAAAATAAAAAGTACTTGCACTACCCATGAATTCGTGTAGTGTTATTTGAAAGTGGACCTTAATTAGTTGTAAATGTGTATTGTACACTCTAGAACAACCAAAAAAAGGAGGAAAAAAACTCTTAACTGATGTGTTAAGAAAAAAGATAAAATGGAATCATATAAAATGCTCAGAAAATACCACAAAAGGCAGAAAAAAAAATGGAGGACAAAAATAGGAACAAAGAACAAAAGTAACAAATAAAAAAGACTAATAAATACTGTAGATATTAATCCAATTATATCAGTAATAACTTATATGGTTAGTAGTTTAAATGCACCAACCAAAAGGTAGAGATTATTTTAGTGAATTTAAAAAGATAACTAAATCTATGTTGTCAACAAGAAACTCACTTTAAATATAAAGACATATGTGGATTAAATGTAAATGAATGGAGAAATATTTACTATGGTAACACTAATCACAAGACAGTGGAAGTGGCTATGTTAATGTCAGACAAAACAGACTTTGCAGCAAGAAAATTATCAGGGATAAAGAGAAGAACTATATAATGTTAAAGTGCTCAATTATCCAAGAAAACATAACAATTCTTAATGTATAAGTGCCTAACAAGAGAGGGTGAAGCAAAAACTGCTACAACTCAAGATGAATCCACTATCACAGTTGGAGACTTTAACACCCCTCTATCAGAAATGGACAGACCCAGGAGGCTGAAAATCTGTAAGAGCATTGTTGAATTAAACAACTCCATCAATCAACTGGATATAATGGACATCTATAGACTACTGCATCTAACAACAGAATGCACATTCTTCTCAAGCTCAATGGAACATTCACCACGACGGACCACACACTGTGCTATAAAACACGTTAACAACTTAAAAGAATGGAAATTATACAATGTCTATTCTCAGAACATTGTGGAATTGAACTAAAATGCAATGACAGAAAGATAGCTGGAAAATCCTAAAATAATTGGAGATTAAAAACACACTTCTGAATAACATGAGTCAAAGAAGAAATCTCAAAGGAATTTTAAAATATTTTGAACTAAATGAACATGAAAGCACAACTAATCAAAATTTTTGGGATTCAGTAAACACTGATGAGAGGAAAATGTATAGCATTGAATGTAGATATTAGAAAAGAAGAAACATCTAAAATGAATTGCGTAAGCTTCAAATTTTGAAACTTGAAAAAAAGAGCAAATTAAAGCAAAAGTAAGCAGAAAATAATAATAAAAATAGATTAGAAATCAGTAAAATCAAAAACAAAAAAAGTAGAAAATATCAATATAATCAAAAGCTGCTGTTTAAAAAGGTCAATGAAATCAATAAGCCTCTAGCCAGGCCAAGTAAGAAAAAAAGAGAGAGAGGACACAAACAACTAATATTAGAAATGAAAGAGGGAATGTCACTAAGGATCTCATGGACATTAAAAGGATAATAAAGGAATAATATAAACAACTCCATCCCCACAAAATTTGATAACCTAGATGAAGTGAACCAATTATCTGAAAGACACAATCTGCCAAACCTCACAGAAGAAGAAATTGATAATCTAAAGAGGTCTATATCTATAAAGAAACTGAATCAATAATTAATAACCACCCAAAACAGAAAGTATCAAGTCCATATGGGTTCACTGGTTAATTCCACCAAATATGTAAGAAATAATTTATACTACTTCTTCGCAATCTCTTTCAGAATATTCAGAATACAGAAGCAAAGGGATTTCTTAGTAACTCATCCTAATGAGGCAAATATTATCCTAATAGCAAAACCAAAGATGTTATATGAAAATTAAACTACAGATCAATATTTTCATGAGCTTAGATGCAAGTATACTTAATGAAAATTAGCATATATAATTCAACAATGTAGAAAGACTTACAGATTGATATGTAATGTTTGTGATATATATGTAAAAAAATTATGCATATATACAATAAAAAAGAATTATCTCATGGCCATGGTCAAGTGAGGTTTATTTAACCTATTCAAGGCTAACTCAGCATTGGAGAATAAACTAATATTTTACTGAGCAAAGCAGAGAATCTTCTTCTATGAGGTTTTAGAAGACTTTCAATTTAGCAATTAGTAGACTTTCAAATGCGGGATAGTTTCTGGAAGGGACTGGTAGAATCTCCCATGTAAAAAGAAATGTTTTCAGTTTGCAAAGCAGACCATGAATATTTTTCTAAGAAAATGGGTACTATAAAATTTCACTTATGATTTTGTCAGTAAAATTTTAATGCAGTGGAGATAGCTTAAGTCCTAAAATTAGGCTAGATGTGATAACATGAGGAATTGAAAGGATTAAGTATGTACTATCATTTAGAGTTAATAATTAGAAGAAACAGAAACTTAAAATAAGTATGGCCGGGCGCAGTGGTTCATGCCTGTAATCCCAGCACTTTGGGAGGCCAAGGTCAGGAGTTTGAGACCAGCCTGGCCAACATGACGAAACCTTGTCTGAACTAAAAATACAAAAATTAGCTAGGCCTGGTGGTGGGAGCCTGTAGTCCCATCTACTCAGGAGGCTGAGGCAGAAGCATCGCTTGAACCAGGAGGCAAATGTTGCAGTGAGCTCAGATTGCGCCACTGCACTCTAGCCTGGGCGACAGAGTGAGACTTCATCTCAAAAAAAAAAAAAAAAAAAAAAAACCTAACAAACAAAAAACTGTGAAAGGGGTAGTTAATGGAAAAACCTAATTCTTGTAAGAGATAAGCATGTGTTCAAGAATATACATGAAGGATTATAAAACTGAGAAAAAAGTACACATTTTTTCCTTGAGGAAAAAATAAATGAACATGTAAAAAAATAAGTAATTATTGAGGGGAAGGAAATGTAGAGCATTGCATATTTTCTTAGAAAACCTACTTTCTGAGACTGAAGAATGTTGAGAGTTACATTGGGTTGTATTGGAGAGGTATGGGGAAATTAAAGATAATAAGCCTCATTTAGAGACTAGGATGTGGAGAGCATCCTTTGGTAGGTGAGCCTATCCTCAATTGTAAAATCTCCTTTTTAAAATATAATATAATATGCTTTCTGTTAAAGTATTATTTCACAGCCTTCCAGGGTATTTAACTTTGTAATTCTCACTCATTTGTCAAAACTGGCCACTGACCTACTTCTCCCGAAGGCTCCATTTTAATGTATTTATGAACATATTTATATTTTATATGTTGTTAATTGGTCTTGTAATACCTTTAGTAGGGACCTCATTTATCTTTGTTCCAGGACTTTCATGCAATATTAGGTAGCTTGTAAGGAGTCTGTGAAGACACTTTAGGGGAAAGTTTTTGGTAGGCAGGAATATATTAAAACTTTGTGTCTCATTTGGTTTAAAAACAAAATAAAAATAGTAGCAGCCTTAAGTAGGTGTCAAATTTTTTTTGCTTCAGGAGTATACATTGTTATAAATACTTTGTATTGTTTTTCATATGAGAGAGAATGCCTAATTAAAAACTAGTGACTAAATATAAGTGCTTTCAGATTTTCAAAAATTATTTTAAAATAATTACTAAATAAATTAGTGATCACTCCTTATTTGCTTATGGGAAAGAAGAAATCAGTCGCTTGACTTTCTACCTAATTGTCCTTGGAACTGTGTTTTGGAGGTTAAGCTATCAAAGGCAGGAAAAGACAACAAACTTCAGGAAAGAGAAGTAAAGGTATGCATGCGTATATTTGTAGAACTTATTCAAAAAGGTCTGTGCATAAAACATAGTAACCATAACATGGAATTAAAATATTTGTATTTCAGATTGGTTATTTATAAATACTTCCTACATACTTTAGAGCCATGCAGAGTTTTGACAGATGTTAATTTGCTATTCTTTAGTTTATTCACTAAAATATAATCATGGTCATCCTAGATCCCCAAAGACATGCAAAGATAACAAAGTCTAAATTTAATCTACCACATTGTTTTTTTTTTTTTTTTGCCCCAACTCTCTTAAATATAGAACAAATCACAGAAGCAATGAGAAATTAAAAAGTAGATAATAGACTCTTCAGAAATGTGCAATTTTATGGGTATTTTTCAACTTGACTCTACTTATTGCTGAAGATTCAGGCCACGTTTTCTTCAGCAGAGTCAGAAGACCAAGGCCTAGCTTAATTTATATTTTGTTAGGCAATAAAATGCTCTACATCTAAACAAATAAACCAAGCAAAACACAAACAAGCAAAACAGCCTCGGCATCTTGAGTCTTTGTTCACTTAATGGATATTTGTTGGATAGCTACTCTATGACTCATTGGGCAACATGCAAACTTTATATGACATGCTGTGGTATGTTAAAATACAGCATTTAAAAAAATGCTTAATGACTGTATCAAGTATTTTTGTTACATTGTACAAGTAAATATAGAATTGAAATACAAACAAGTAATAGACTATTAGCTTATATAATCTTTTCCAAAGCTTTACATGAGAATGCCTTTAAAAAAGAGAAATGAAAGAGGAATAGATCCAAACCTAAGAGTGAGAGCACTGAAAGAGTACCCTAAAGGAAAATGCCACACTCACCACCAGCTTTCTTATTGTCTACCCCAGTGAATTTAGATGGTAATAGCTTCATAAGTATCCATCTTTGCCAAATAATAGTGCAGAATTATGGGGAAAAACAAAATAACATAACACGCCAGCTTTGCCTTTTTTGGAACAGATGATTGTTTCTAATATGCTTGCTTCTACTATGGAGTAGATTTGAGGAAGGCCAACATAAGAGTGTAATTTCTGTTACTTCATATAATTGTACATTGTTCAGACTTTCACATAATGAATTTGTGAATGTTCTAAAATTATAAATATTACTTTAAAAAGCATGAAACATATTCAGGATGTATCACTGTCTGTACAAACATACAGGTAATGATAAATGATGGGGTAATATAAATACTTACATCATTTTTAATGATAAACGATGGGTAATAGAAATACTCTGAAATCATTTCTGTTTTAAAACCAGTTAAAGTTTAAAACAGAAAAGTAGCAAATGAAATGGCCCTTTCAGATAAGCTAAAAATAAAAGCCTGAATATGTTTTTATCACATTAAAATAAACGTAATAATGTTGAGAAAATCTACTAAAAATCTACTAACAATGGAGAAGTGTAATGCACTAAAACACGTTCTGGTCTTCCGCCTTTTGTTGTAAAATATCCCACAAGTTTTGTATTATGTTATCTTTTATTAGATTTCTGTAGTAACCAGAATTTAATATCTGAAACTTGTTTGCCAAAGCCTGTCACTATTCTTTATGAACCTGGCATCAATCTCAAGAGATATTCATGTTTCAGATCTTAGTATTCTTTGAGATGAAAGAAGGATTGTATAATTTCTGAATGGGTTATATTCCTTTCTTACATAATTCTCTGGTTACAAAAAAAGTATAAATCTTTTATTTGACCAGGAGTGTATCTAATTTTTAAAGAATTAGTAGTTAAGAACTGGTCCTCTTTAATTTTCTTGTAGGAACTGACAAAAAAAAAAAAGTATCATATCCCCCAGTTTTAGTAAACAGTCTTTATTTCTTTATATATTAAGTATGGCTCGATTTTAAAAAATTATCTTAGAATTCAACTTTGTGTACGTTCCTGATGTATTCATCTCATATGCAAAGATCTATTTTTTCTTTGATTTGTCATAGTTTATGGTACCTGAATTAAAATTTGTCAGTTTATCTAGCTCTACCTTTCATTGTGATTACATATGGCATTTGTATGTTTTATTTATATATTTCAATTTTAGCTGTTTGAGGGTTCCCATATTGAGTCTAAAATTAAAGGTTTTTTTTTTTTTTTTTTTTTTTTTTTGAGACTGAGTCTTGCTCTTGTCACTCAGGCTGGAGTACAATGGTGCGATCTCCACTCACTGCAATCTCCGCCTGCCGGGCTCAAGCCTCCCTAGTAGCTAGGATTATAAGCACACACCACCATGCCCAGCTAATTTTTGTATTTTTAGTACAGAAGGGGATTCACCATGTTGGCCAGGCTGGTTTCGAACTCCTGACCTCCAGTGATCCGCCACCACCCCCCGCCCCACCTTGGCCTCCCAATGTACTGGCATTACAGACGTGAGCCACCGTGCTGGGTCCTAAAGTTAAAATTTATAGATAAATAGTATGCATGTAAGAGGTAATCTATTAGGCTGGGTGTGGTGGCTCACGCCTGTAATCCCAGCACTTTGGGAGGCCGAGGCAGGCGGATCACGAGGTCAGGAGATTGAGACGATCCTGGCTAACATGGTGAAACCCCGTCTCTACTAAAAATACAAAAAAATTAGCCGGGCGTAGTGGCGGGCGCCTGTAGTCCCAGCTACTTGGGAGGCTGAGGCAGGAGAATGGCGTGTACCCGGGAGGCGGAGCTTGCAGTGAGCCGAGATCCCGCCACTGCACTCCAGCCTGGGCGACAGAGCGAGACTCCGTCTCAAAAAAAAAAAAAAAAAAAAAAAAAAAAATTAGCTGGACGTGGTGGCGGGCACCTGTAGTCCCAAATACTTGGGAGGCTGAGTCAGGAGAATGGCGTGAAACCGGGAGGCAGAGCTTGCAGTGAGCTGAAATCACGCCACTGCACTCCAGCCTGGGCGACAGAGCCAGACTCTGTCTCAAAAAAAAAAAAAAAAAAAAAAAATCTATTAAAATATTTTGAGAGGTTAGATGTTAGATGGGGAGAAGATAATTGTATTCACCAGTTAAATTATTTTTTCTCAAAATTTATTTGACATGAGAAACAACCCTTAATGAAGGGGTGTAATAGAAAGAATTTATATTTTATATGGACGAAATCCAGCTCTTATTTCTGGACAGCTACATGTATGCTGAAGGCTAAACTTTTTTTCTTTAAAATTAATATAATTAGAGCTTCTTTAGCTTAAAAGATGATTTTCTGATTACTGATGGACTATTTGAAAGACTAATTATGTTAGAACAGGACTGAAGAAGATAGTTGACTGCCCAGATGCACATAGCTTTTTCCTATATTTTATGTTTGCACATAAGCCATTAGAATTGTTTTATTTGATTAAATACCAATAACTCCTTCTCACAATTGCCTGGTTATTTTCATAGTTCAACATTATAGTTATAGAAGAGTAATATTAAAATAAAGGATAGTAACATTATTCTGTATTGGCTTAAAAACTTTTTTCCTGGGTCTTTTATCACACAGAAGAGTATATAATAAAAGTGAGATATCAAGTAGCCTCAAATTTCTGGGACAAAATTTTAGGTGTGATTTCTGATACTATTGTTTGGAAATCAGCTAAAATTGAGTCCGTTCTTGAATGTTTTCCTAATGAATTTAAGACTGAAATGACAACTTATATATTTAGTATATACTATATTTATCTTATCCAATGAATGATGTGACGTGTTTGAAAACAGCAGCTTTTCATCTGTAAAATGCAATAGAATCTTCTCTTATCAACTAGACTTCTTTTCTATTTTGTAAAAATTGGTAGACTTAGGAAATTCATCAAAATATCCAATTCCTGATGAGAAGAAAATTTCACCATCTTATTCATTAGCTTATGTAAATATCTCTTTTAATGAAACATGGTGTTTTTCAATTAAATTGATCAGTTTTTTAAATAAAATTTATTTAACATAATGTTACAATAACAAAATTTATTTCAGTAGAATATTTTGCTTAAAATATTTTAATGTTTCCACCTTTTCTAACACAATTCCTTTTAAGAAATATTCTTCATTTGAAGTAATAATCTGTGTAAATATATTTAACTGATTGTAAAATATTAACCATTTATTTGAATTTGCCATGGTCATTCTGTAATCATTCTGTCAAATGCTGAAATTGTATTTTATTGAAGAGATAAATTACTTTATCCTTTTTTGGGCAGAAGAAAATGCAGGCAAGTAATGTTTAAAAAACACATTTTGGCCAGGCATGGTGGCTCATACCTGTAATCCCAGCATTCTGGGAGGCCAAGATGGGTGGATCACGTGAGGTCAGGAGTTCAAGACCAGCCTGGCCAACATGGTGAAACCCCGTCTCTATTAAAAATATAAAAAAATTAGCCAGGCGTGGTCGCAGGCACCTGTAATCCCAGTTACTAGGGAGGCTGAGGCAGGAGAATTACTTGAACCCTGGAGGCGGAGCCTGCAGTGAGCCCAGATTGTGCCATTGCACTCCAGCCTGGGTGACAGAGCAAAACTCAGTCTCAAGAACAAAAATAAATAAATAAGTAAATAAACCACATTTTGCCAAAACTAAACGGTTAATGGTACAGAAACTATGCCCAAAGAAAAGTTTATTTTCTCACTTTTAGACTATTCTTGTGTGATTTGAAAAAAAGTACTTTTTTCACAGGAGAAAAGCAGGTAGTTAATGAGGAGGGACAGAGCTTCAGTCTGTAAAATGAACAAAGCTCTTTTTTTTTCACACTTTAAGTTTACAGTTATTTGTGAATAGGTAGTTAGTGAACATTTGCTGAGATGGTCTGGCTTTGTGCCTCCACCCAAATTTCACCTTTAATTGTAATAGTTCCCACATGTCAAGGGCAGGGTCAGGTGAAGATAATTGAATCACGTGGGTGTTTTCCCTCATACTGTTCTTGTGATAGTGAATGTCTCACAGGTTCTGATGGTTTTATAAATGGGAGATCCCCTGCACAAGCTCTTTTGCCTGCTACCAGGTAAGAGGTGACTTTGTTCCTCATTTGTCACCATGATTGTGAGGCCTCCCCAGCCATGTGGAATTGTGAGTTAATTAAACCTCTTTCCTTTGTAAATTACCCAATCAGACTAATACATTTGCCTTATGCCTTACATAAACGTATACCATGTATTTCTCTCATAAAGAAAGGTTTTTATTTAAGTATGTTTAAATACAACTTCGCATTTTCGATGTACTGTCAAGATCATTTGACCTGTATACTACAAACATCTAATTCAAAGTCTTTTCCTTTTAGGCATAATAATATTATCAAACTAAAAAGAAAATGTTGTAAAAAAAAAAATATTATTAGGTTAGACATTTGTCCTAAAACTCTTTTTTGGGTATATGAAAAAGGGACACCAAAATAAACAAAAATGAGACAAAAAAAGAGACAAAGATATAAAACAAAATTATGAAAAATGAGTCAAAAATATGAAAAAAGACAAGAATTACCAAATTAAAAATGCTCATCTTCCATGACATGTTTTCTTTTTACCCATTTATTGAATAGAAAAACAAGACTCATGAATTAGTTCTTATAAGATATTTAAATCATTAGCGTTTTAACAAAATTTATAAAAATTAGTTTCTTTTATTTTTACACTTATTCTCACTTAATTTAAATTTTTTAATAGTTACAGACTAAACTGAAGCCAATACTAAAAGTCTACTTGAAATAAAAGAATAATACATAAAAGAAAGGTGTTGTTCATTTCCAAAATTTAGAGGTTTGATGCTTTTCAGTTTTGGATGACTAGTCAACTTTATAGTGCCATTACTTTCTTTCACATCTATAGTGTCTCTACATTCTGCCATGATATCTCTTTAATACGTGGAGGATATTGTAGAAGGATAATTGAAGACAGTATATTTTATTTTCTGTATATATGAAGAGCAAATGCTTTAGCATTTGGGAAGACACTTATACTTGTAACTAAAATTTATTTTTATTTAAATACTAAATAGAAACAGAATAACTTCTGAATTTATAGTTCTCTCTGTCTGGGTTATGGTAGCAACAATTATTTTGTTGGTTGTTCTGTTTATGCATTTATTCAGCAAATATTTATTTATTCATAATATTTGAGGCAGTGTTTTAGGACTTAAATATAAAAAGGTGAATTGATGACACAGTCTTCAAGAAATACCATTCTTGGTGCAGAATCATGACAATTCATTTGTATCATCTGTGTCTGTTATAACCTCCACCCACTTTCTCTTTCTCTTTAACTCTGTCTTACTCAGACACATACCCTAGTTGGAAAAATTTTATAACATGAATGAAACTAACTTGTAAAGAGAAATAAAGACAAAAGTTTTCAAGCAAGGAGTTTAATTAAATAACTGAGATGATTTAAATCAATGAAACTATTTTGGTTCATTATTAATCAATCATGTCTTTTGGAAGCTTGAATATTCCTACCTTACAATGGTTCAAGTTATGATTTTTTGACTTTGCTGTGGTGCAAAAGTGATACACATTTAATGGAAACCATATTTGGAGTACTGATACAAATATTCTGTTTTTCACTTTCAATAATGTTTTTAGCAAATTACATAAGATATTCAACACTTTATTATAAAGTAGGCTTTGTGTTAGATGATTTTGCCCAACTATAGGCTAATGTAAGGGTTCTGAGTATACAAAGGTAGGCCAGGTGATCTTTGACAAATTTGCTGTATTAAGTGAATCTTCAACTTACTGTATTTTCAACTGATGATGGATTTGTTGGGATGTAACTCCAGTGTAAATCGAGGAACATCTATATCACTTTGAAGGATAAAATATTTGCAACACTGCTGAGTTGAAAGATAAAAAGTTGAAATTTTAACATTTTGCCTAGAATCTACAAACTACCAATGGGAGTGACCATGATTATTTTCCATATTCAAGGAAAATAAATGGAAAACCAAATTTTACATTTTTACTTAGGGAAGTATTTGGCAGCTGGTGGAATGAGTGTGTAACTAAGAAGTCAGATACAAAGTTGAATAATTCAAAAGATGAAGTCACTCTAAGTCAAAATATAATAAAAATAAGAAAATTGCAGATTCTTAAATTCCTTTGAGGAATTAGTCAGTTTCCATTGTTGTTATGTTCCTGGCTCCAAATATGTATACTAATTGCAACAATTCATTGAGTTAAATCACCCAATTACTCTCCACTTTTACAGATATAGCAAAAGTTGGGAACATGTATACATACATATCGTTATCAAAAAATTCAATATGTATTTGTACTCATTGTATGTATATTTTCTACCAGTAAATTGCAAATACAGCCTTCCTAGTAGACAAAAACTTTATCTATTTTTGTGTGTGTGTGTCACCACATCCCCAGAAAAAGAGAACCAATAGGATTTATAGATGTGCATATATATATATACACACACATATATATTATGTATATATATATATACACATAAAATATATATATACACACATATATATAGTATTTTATGTGTATATATATATTTGGAGAGCAAGAGAGAGAGAGAGAAAGAGAAAGAAAGGGAGAGAAAGAGAAAGAGATATTAAGGAATTGGCTCATGCAATTATGGAGCTGGTAAGTCTAATGTTTTCAGGGCAGGAATTGGCTCACGCAATTATGGAGCTGGTAAGTCTAATGTTTTTAGGGCAGGTCAGCAGGTTGGAGATCCAGGAAAGAGTTGATGTTGCAACTTAAGTCAAAGGCAAAATCCCTTTTTTCTCAGGGGAGGTAAGTCTTTGTTCTGTTAAGGCCTTCAGCTAAGAAAAAAGCCCATCCACATTATGGAGGGTAATCTGCTTTTCTCAAAGTCTACTGATTTAAATGTTAATCTCATCTCAAAAATACCTTCCTGTAGCACCATGTAGACTGTTGTTTGACCAAATATCTGGGTGCTAAGGCCTAGACAAGCTAACGTCTCAAATGAATCATCACATTGGCTGAGTAATCTTGGATCTTCCGATTTTCAAATGCAAAGGGAAGAATGAAAACCATTTTTGCACAGTAATTATCTTCATTCAGTAAGTTTTCTTTGGCATTGCATTGGATACTTTTATTAGGAGAAAGAATATTTGATTCACAGTTTCTGTAGCTAGAATATTTGTGAAGAAGCATCTGCAACAATGAAAGAAAGCAAACATGAACGTACAGTTATTTCCTTGATAATTTACTTCTACTCATTCAGAACTTACTCATCATCCAGAAAGATGTTCGTCAAATTTCACATTTATGGACTGCATTTCCCTGATTAGACTGGAAGATACCACATAACTAGATTTAACTTATAGAGTTTTGTGTATATATTAATACTAGAATATTCATTACACCTAGAACAGTGTGACACACAGTAAACACAATTTGTTTTAAGAACAAAAGTAGGAATTAGTCATATTATAAGCCACTGAATACAGCACTACTCATGCCTGCATTCTTATGAAACATCCATAATGTTATATCATTATGCAAATCAAGGGGCTGTCGCCCATTACTTTTCCCCTAACATTCTCAACTTTTATGTTCATTGCTTTAACATTTCTCTAAATAGACTACTCCTATTTGATTAATTTACTCCAAATGCTTGTTCCTTCTATTACATTATTCTCAAACAAAAAGTGAACCCTTTTCTGATGGATTTCAAGTACAACCTACTACCTCAATTGATTCTAAAATGCACTCTATACAAACAGAAACACATGGAGTAGTTAAGCAAAAACACGGGACCCTTCTTTAAGTATAAGGTAGAGATTTTAAGAACTTTCAAATACTCAATTACTGCGTTGTTAACTGTGAATTGTGGCCAGAGAAGAAAGAAATGGGAACAAACATCTCCTCTGATGAAAGCTATTTCTATTCATTAAGAAATCCTCTGAAATGTTTTTTCCCCAAGACCAGTGTACTCCTGACAGTACGACTAACAAATTGTATATTCCTCACCATTTATTTTCATGAACTTAATTGACCATTTTAGGAAAGAAATGGCCTTTTATGATAACAACAAGATAAAAGCTGGTAATTGACTGAAATGCTTGAGTACAGCTAGCTAAAACCACTTTTCGACTAATGGAGACCTGAATGAAAGGAATGAAAGTTTCAGCCAATTGTGGAGAAGGTCACAAGACTTTTTTTATCCTCTTCTTTTGAAACTCATAAGAAAACAAAATGTTTTGGTAATGCGTCAACTTTAAAAAGGTATGAAAGAAAAGAGAAAAGATCACATCAAAAATTGTTTTGTAGGGCACCTGATTGTCATGCACTATGCATGATGTATTATGGAAAATTGATATTATTTTTAAAGCCTTTTTTCAGTATTATTATGCTGTCAGCACACGGTTATTTCATGTGCATAAGACCAAGCATATTCATTAGTGTTTTCAGAAGTTGGAACAAAATATTCTATGAAGCAAGTGTTTGATAATCTAAATAAGAAAATTATGAGAGGTTTTTTTAAATAAATAGTCTCATAAATTATTAAAGACTTTAAATTGATTAACTACAAGGTAACAGGTAAAATAATTTAAGGTACATTTTATAATTATTTATATGTTAACTTTATAATAGCAAAAATTATGTTATTACATGATTTAATTTATAATATATTTTATATCAAAACATATTATGGCTAGTAATATATTCTCTCACTAGGGAAAATACATATTTATTAGATTGCAACTCCTGATGGTTATACTACTCTGTGTAGGCATTTAACAGGGCTTTATCTTTTTACTATTTGTAGAAATTGGGAGACTACCAAAGTCATCAGGGTCCTGATAAAAAATCACTCAAGAGGTGCACATTAATGAATATTTCTGCTAATTATTTCAAGTGGATAAGCTTAATGGGCCATTAGAAATTATGATGATTGATTTGTTTTGCCCATCTTCTTTCTTCATTTTTCATTTTATATGAGAATATGTTGTTTTATTAACAACAACAAAGAAGTATTTTAAAAAGCATACGTGCTTTTGAAGAAAATTCTAGAAAAAAAGGCGTAATAGTAGAAAATAAAGTATTATATGCCTATTGATTTACTGCATCCTTAGAAGTGAGAATAAAACATTGGGTTTTTTTTTTTTTTTGCTGCTCTTTCCCTAGGCCTCAAAAATACAACTCATGTTCTAAGAAATGTAGAAAACACAAAATATTTTTCTAAAAATCTCCATTTATTAATTTGTTTTGCTTTCTACTGTGGCAAATTAGAGTAAAGAGTCTATGTTCAATAAAATTCTATGTTCCCTTTACTTATAAAAATAAATCACAGGCAAGGAACAGAATTTCTGTTTTCTTGAAGTTTAATTGTTTCCTATTAATTGTAACATCAAGTGGATTTCTCTCCCACTTATTCTTCAAGGCAGTTTATAGCACTGGATACTGCTGATCATATGTTCTTCTTGATCATCTGTTTCCTCTGGCTGAAAATAATTCTATTTTTACTGTCATTTCTATGACCTTTTCTTTCCTGGGCTTCCACAGTCAGTAGAGCCTATGCTTCCATTTTCTCCTTAATCACAACTGCTTAAACGCACTCTCAAGTCCAGATTTCTCTCTTTTTTACTGGGTATTCACTAGAAGAATTACATAGAGAGCTTTGTCAGTTATCTGACTCATAGGCTGAAAGAAAAGGATCCATTTTCCTTTAATGAAAACCTTATACTAAAGAACTTCAGAAATCCTCTGCTGTGTAGGTTAATGGTTAATGCATTCTTCATTAGCTTCTTTGAACATTCATCAAGTGATATTTTATTGAAGAGAATAATTGTCCTCAGTGATGTTCATTTTAAAGATTAGAAGTATACTGCAAATACACCAAGTCTTCTACAGTAATATGTTATCTTCTGAAATGAATGCTACTACTGAAGGCTATGACTTAATTTAATTTTTCAGTCAGTTGTGTAAACTGATCTTTTCTTACATTGAGCTCTGAAAGTATTGACATGTAGAACTGTCTGATTAAAGCATATATTCATGTTTATAAACCTTGGTGGGAAGAATTTTAATATAATCAAGTCCATAATTAAATTGAAATCTTTCTCTCATTGACTGCTTCCATGAAGTGAGTCCTGAAACTTAAAAAAAAAAAAGTAGAAAATTTCGAAGTGTATGTTGACTATTCTGGCCATGTTATGATTAACATATTAGTTTGTTAGAAGACCAAGTTCAGTTGGGAGATATGGTTTCTTCTAATGCCTTTTTCCTTGACTTGCAGATAGCTGCTTCCTCATTGGGTCCTACATGTTTTTGGTTTTGTTTTGTTTTCAGTTTTGGGGGGGGGGGGCGGCGGGAGGGGGGCTGTGCATCCCTGGTGTCTCTTTATATATCCAAATTGTATTTTCTTATTCAGGGCCTCAGTCAGATTGGATTGGGGTCCACACTAACATTTTATGTCATGACTTCTTTAAAGGACCTATTTCGAAAACAGTTACATCTGAGATATTGGGGGTTATGATTTTGACATATGATTTGAGAGGACACAATTCAGCCCACAACACTGCTGTCAGCACCTCCAAAATTCATGTCTTTTTCTCATGCAAAATATTTTTACCTCCATCCCAACAGCCCAAAAGTCTTACCTAATTCAAGCATCAATTCTAAGACTCAAATTTCGTCTATTTATACATTAACTCAAGTGTGGATAAGACTTGCAGTATGATTTACCCTGAGGCTAAATTCTTCTCCAGCTGTGAACCTGTGAATCAGACAAGTTATTCACTTCAAAAATACAATGGTGGAACTGGCATAGGATAGATGTATCCATTTCAAATAGGAGAAGTAGGAAAAAAAACAGAGGCCATAGGTCCTCAGGAAGTCCAACACCCGGCAGGGCAAATTCCAACATATTTTAATGCTCAAGAATAATTATCTTTGCCTCTGTGCCTCTATGTTCTATCCTCTATGCCCACCAGGGTACAGTAGTGTCACCCCCATTGGTCTTGGGCAGTACTTTGGCTCACTGAAACAGAAGTGGTAGCCCTGATCTCTGAAACCAATGAGAAGACAGCCTTGCCTCATGGACTTGTGGCTTCTAGGTCAGTGGTGGCAGTGGCAGTCCTGATTCACCTTCAGGGTCATTCTTCCCTCTTCACAAAGGATAATGCACATTCACATACAGATAGCTCTGTTGTCCCATCCTGTAGAATCCTAGATGTCAACAGCGTGCCTTCATTTTACTTGTATCTGTCCAATTTAGTCCAAGCTAACATTGTTTCTGCTTGTGTAACTTCACCTCCATTCCTGGCTTCTGCTAAGATGGTCGATTAGATCCAGGAGTCATACCTGTAATCCCTTTTATCAAATGATTGAATCCAAGAGTCATACCATAATCTCTTTCTCAAATGAACACAAGCTTGTTGTTCTCTCCAGAACATACATTCTTATTTTTTGCAATAAGGGAGAAGGTGAGAATTTTCCAAATCTTCAATTTCTGGCTCCATTTTACTTAATTCTTTCTTCAATTGTTATATCTCTCCTGTCACATTTTACCATAAACAGGAAGAGAAACAAGGCTGCATCTTCAAAACTTTGCTGAGTAATCTCCTCAGCAAAATATCCAAGTGCACTCTTTATAAATACTACTTTCCACAAAACAGTAGAGCATAGTTCAGCCAAATTTTTGGCCAGTTTATAACAAGAATCACCTTTCTTCTAGCATTCAGTAACGTTTCTCATTTCCACTGGAGACTTCACCAGAAAGACTAATATTTCTACCAATAATCTCCTCATGGCAATATAAGCTTGTTCAAACATGCATCTGAAAACTCTTCCAGCCTGTACCCATTATCCAGTGCCAAAGCCACTTCCATAAATTTGGGTATTTATTACAGCAGCACCCAGTTACCTAGATGTATATTTGGTACAGCTGTACCACCCAATCCTGAAATCTATGTTAGTGATCGTGCTTCAGAGAATCAATCAGCAGGAAGAGTGTGTGCAGATAGATACAGATATAGCAAGAGAGAGGGAGGGAGAGAAAGACAGAGAGAGTGATATTTTAAGGAATTGGTTCATAGGATGGTAGAGGCTTGGCAAATCCCAAATCTATAGAGTAGTTGGCAGCCTGGAGACCCAAGAAAGAGTTGCAGTTTGAGTCCAAAGGTAGTTTGCTGGCAGAATTGATTTTTGCTCAGGGGAGGTCAGTCTGTGGTCAATAAAGGACATCAACTGATAATGTGACTTACCCACATTTGCTTTACTCAAAGTCTGCTTATTTAAAAGTGAATTTTATCCAGAAAACACCTTCACAGAAACATTAAAAATGATTTTTGATAAAATAGCTGGTCACTATGGCTCAGCCAAGTTGACACATAAAAAAATTAGCTATCACGATTTTCCTGAGTTTTTAGTTTGTAATACCCTATTGGAAGATATCTAGGATTTAACTGACACTTAACTTTGGAAATGTATTGATGTCTTTGAATCTCCTTAGCCTACATATAGAACTATTTATAATTAACTTCTAATACATGTGCAGAATCATAGATAACATCTATACATGGTGGAATCTAAATGAATTTGTCCCAAATGATTAGTTAATAGTTTATGCTCCCATTTAATTTTTTTCCAGCCTGTGTTATATCAAACCCTGCATGGAGAAATCATTAAGTACTTTTTATCACTTACTATTCTTATGATTAGTCTCAATCTTTACTTAGCCAGTTTGGCTCCAGTCCATGTGGACAATAAGGTGAACTGGCCACAGAAGTTCCAACCAATTCTGTTTTCTTTCTTTTTATTCAATTTAAGTATTTAGCATATTCAGATGAATCATACATGTTTACTTTAGTGTATTGGGGATTTTTAAAGTTTCAGTCATAATTATATACTAAATGTAAGTAAAGTATCTAAAAGAAGACACAAACAATAAAATAGGTCTCATCATATTCAGGTGAAATATGTGCCATTTATTAATTAATATAGAAACAATCAATTGTAGTATTTAATTTTATAAGCTTCCAAACAAACGAATTCATATAGAATTGGCTTAACAAAGAGCTATGAAACTATACATGCACTATATAGATTATGCCCTTTCACATCATTGGATCCACAAAAAACTCCTGCTTACAAGGAAATAAGACAAACAGAACAATATCTTGATGATTTCAGATTTCTAAAGTGTTACACCAACAAGATCTGCATAAGTGTGTGCTGCATATAAACAGCATGTGTGCACTTATATTGCTTTATAATTTTATACTGTCAAAAGATGCTGATGTACCTCCGATAAAACCTGTCAGAATCTGTGAGCATATGTAATCAAATCATTCTAGGTAACAGTGATGCCAGTCTCATCAAAACATAATTTTTCCTGTGCTTTTTTCCCGTAAAAGACCTCAATTCTTCTTGACTGAGAAAATCATACATAAATGGAGGCCTATTTCAGGATTTCAGGTATAATGTTTGCAAATAGGTAGTGATGTCTGACATAATTTCTTCATGATGCACGCACACCTATGTAGGTTCAACTAGTCTGTTGATTTATTTTTTATTATCTCTGGAACAGATTTTCTTCTACTGCCTGAGATCTTTCATGAGCAGATACTAGCAAAGAAAAGCAAGATAAAAGCTTGAGAAATTATGTTTGGCATCTTTTCTCTGATTCTGTGCATTGATAATAGCCCTAGATCAGATACAGTGAACAGCAAAACATGCTATAGGTATTTCCATGTAAATTCACTAGACAAGACATCTCATTTACTTTTCTTTTATACCAATTAAATATTCCCCTGCAGTATTACAGAAAACAAGTCCTTGGAGGAAAAGATTTGAAATAAAATTTGTGCTCGTTGAAACAGCCACTTGTTTCAGTGATTGTATATATTTTTTTATGGCAGTATTGAGGAGAAGTGCTGACATGGCACAAATGTGATGAGTTTAAGAGGAAAACAAAATAGCAAAGAATCTAGAGCCCAAAAGTCTTAAAGAGAGACAATGCTGCAATATGTTATTTTTGTTTGGCAAAATGGTGCAGAAATTATATGGCCCTATCTATCCTTGGCTGTCATACTGTCCAAGAAGAGAAATATTTATATTTTTAGCTCTATTTTGTAGGTGTTATAACAATTTTGTCAAAGGGAAACTTGGGCTCACTGATATCCTCACTACATCAATCATTTATGGTCATGCTGATTTGCCTATTATGTAATAATCAGAATATTTATACTTTTAAGATAAATAATTCATAAGTTTGTTGAGGACAGGAATTCTCGTGTGTGTGTGTAAGTGTATGTTTTTGCTTTTTAAAAAAATCACAACATTTTGTATAGTGCTAGGCATGTGAAAATTAATCAATATATATCTTGTTATAGATTACAGATTAGCATTTGAATAGATAATTCTACATCTATAGTGTCTCTGTTTTAAAGAAAAATACACAAAGTAAAATCAAAAGGAAGATAAAAAGAAATTCAAGGATGGTATTTAACATTTGAAAGGATTCTATTAAATAGTACATTCAATAGTATGTTACTAAAGGAAATTACTTAGCATGTTTATTTATGAATAGGTTTTTGTCCAATTTACAAAAATTATATCATCATGCCTAAAGAGATGATGATTTGGGATTTTTTTTTTTTTTTACAGAAAGTAAAAGTCTGTATTTTGTTTCTGATTAATGTAGTAAAAATTCTAGCAAAAATAGCACCATTAATGCTGGTCTTAAATTCTGCTTTCACACCAACAACATAAATAAAATATATGAGAGGCATGTTTTATCACAATTAAAAAGGCACAGCTATAGTGAAACACAAAATGAATATGTCGTGAGCAGAAAAACAAAGTAATTAGGGTCTGAAACAAAGAACCTATTGTGTTCTAAGAGAGTAAGTAATCATAGGTCTCAGGGAGTTTGACTGCCATAGAGTAATGGAGACTAAATTAACACAGATGGTAGATGACCACAGTATGTGTCAATCAGTGAAGCTAGGGGCTAGAGAAGATCTAAAAAAAATAGAGAAGTACTAACAAAGGTGGACCTGTGTATAAAGTTGCATGCTTAAGATGATGAAAATCAATGGAGAAACCTAGCAATATGACAATTTGATGCGTTACCCATAGGTCTGTGACTGTATTTTCAATAAACTCAATATCATCTTGGACCAAAAACTCTTTTCAAGAATGAACAAAAGGAAGGAACAAAGGAAAAAAGAAAGGAAGGAGGGAAGGAGGGAGGGAGGGAGGGAGGAAGGAAAGAAGGAAGGAAGGAAGGAAGGAAGGAAGGAAGTTTGCACTTAGACTTTGGACACAGTAATGCAACCATAGAAGGATGGTGAGAGAGAAAACAACAAAATGACAATAACAAAACCTCCCGCTCCAGATAAGCATGCAAAGGCACTATACTATCCTTTGCTCCAGACAACCGTTTTTACGATGTTTGTATAATGAAGAGTCATGGAAGATACAGAAAATGTCTCCCTCTGGCACAAAGGCCAAGCATACTCATTTGCTCATTGCTGATAATTACAGAGTCTGGTCCTCTCCTGTAATTCTAACCACTGCAAGTGCAGGCATCTATCTAGGCCCATTCACCTTGCCCTTGTGATATTTGGGTACAAGGGAAACTGACACAAATATGCTGATGTTCATACACTGTGTTGTGTCATAAGTAATGAAGGTCTTTTCTTTGACCCAGGAGTCTCATAGATTTTTGTCAGCATGCATGAAACTGGGTCAGGCTAATTTTTCTCATTGCAAATAAAACCCAAAGCACAACATGGTAGTAAGTTCAAGACATCTTGCCATGTATATTCAAGAGTGAATGTTGAAGAAGCCAGAATGATGTCAAAGGACACAGACAAAAACAAAGCCTAAAAAAATACATTTTCTCTAGCCAAAGACCAACAAAGATGCAGCCAAGCAAGAGATAAAATATTTACACAATAATTACTTCACTCCAGCTGAACAACACAGAAAATATTGTAGCCCTACACCCACCCATGTCAAAATAGACTGAATGGGAAACCATAGAGCTTCATGTAGGTGTAGAAAGGTGCCCCAACTCCCTGTCAGGGTCATGCAGATAAAGCCAAGTAGGAAATCAGGACTTTCATTCCTGCTGGGTAGTGACAGGCCTCCATCCCAGCACTAACAATATAGATCACATGAGAAGCTTGGACTTCCGTACAACCTGCAAGTAATAAGTTATTTGCAAACCCTTCTGCCAGATTGTCTAATGTTAGTTTTCTTGCACTTTTTCTTCTACATCTTTTTCTTCATCATCTGGCACTGGTTTGGAAGCACTCATCCCTATCAAGTCATCTTCTGTTAATTCTTCTGGTGTATGGTCTGTTAATACTTGAATTTCTCCAAAATCCATATCTTAAAACCCTTCACCACCCCCAATCTTTCTTGCTGTATTGACAATTTCTTTCATAATTTATTTGGCTCTGTTGTAAATCCTGTGATGTCATGCACAACATCTGGACAGTCTTCTCCAGTAGGAATTTATTGTTTTGGGATTGATGGTTTTCACAACTTTTTCCTATAATAGTAACAGTATCTTCAATCATACAATCTTTACTTCCTGACTTCAGGGACAAAGCATCAATGGAACCAACTCAGAAAAAGACTTCTCATTGTCCACACCTTCTTCTTGTACAACCAAATGTTTATCTTTTCCCTTCCAGGCTTGGAGTTTAGCAGCTGTATAGAGAAGGGCAGTCTTGATCATGTACCAAATTGCATTTGCAACAAACAATAGAGTTGATCTATCCATTCCTGCCTCAATTCCTGGTCCTTGCTTCTCTTTCTTACTAATAAGTGTCTTTGTGGACATTCTTTGTTCACTATAGGACATTTTAATCTGCCTTAAAAACCTGTTTAGGAATATATCCTTTCTCTTCAATGATTTTTTAATGAAAACTGGAAATTTATCTGTTGCCTCTTGGTTAGCAGAAGCTGTTTCTCCTGTTTTCTTGACATTTGTTAAGTCACAACATTTTTAAAATTATCAAACCATCTTTTGCTGGCATTAAGTTCTCCAGCTTTAGGTCTTTCATCTTCTTTTTGCTTTAACTTGTTATATAATGACTTTGCTTTTCTTGAATCATATTAGAGTTTATAGGTATGCCTTTCTTATAACAATCCTGCACCCACATAAAAGCTGCAGTTTCAATAGGAGATAAAAGAGGTATTTCCCCAAAAAACGCAAGGATTTTGTGCCTGCTTATGTAATTGTAGCGACAGTTTCACAAATTTCCTATCCTTGTTTCTTTTCTTTTTTTTTTTACAGTGGTCCTTACACTGTATTCATTTATTTTGAAATAATTCCAGTTGTGGAACTCAATCTACGGTACATATCAAGCAATTTAACTTTCTCTTATAATGTCATGGCTTTTCTCTTCTTCTTGGGAGTACTTTTAGCATCACTAGTGGCCCTTTGTATGGGTCCCATGGTATTATTCATGGTTTACAGTATTGTACTAAACATGATGGAAAAAATGTGCAACAACTGCAAGAGATCATTTTTTATTGCAATACTGAATTTACTGGAGAGACAAACTATCCACATAATGATGATTAGCTTCATAAGGTGTTTTTATTGGATACTCAGAATACTTTGAGTTTACCACAAGCAACAAGAAGTGGCTACAAAATTATTACAGTAGTATAGTAGGTACTAGAATTAATTTTATGCAGTTATAATTTAATACTGTATCTTTACATTCATTTACATTTCTTTCAACTGTAAACAGCACCATGTATAGTCCGTAGGTGTTTATGTGCTTAGTTTTAATAAATTCTAACTTTTCGTCACGAATATGTTTCTATTTCATGGTAGTGAATGATAAAGTAGACTAATATCTACATCTATTTTATGCATTCATGGCATATAAAACTTTTTCTTAATTTTAACATGTTTCTGGGCTATATGATTTGTCTTTAAATTTTCAAATTGCCACAGATCTCTCCCAAACTTTTCAATATACTTATTGAAAAAAAATCCACATATAGTTGTACCCACATAGTTCAAACTCACATTGTTCAAGGGTGAACTGGACAGTATAAATATTATTATTCCTCAACTAAACTCTGGAATATTAATATTCTACAGACTTTTCTCCAAGACTCTTTTGTTTTGTTACCTTACTTAAGTTCCCTGTGTGATAATACTCACACCTTAAATTCTGGGCATCTACAAGTTGATGACCACCAAGCATATATCATTGGATAAAATGATTTCTCTAACATTTTGAATAACGGTAGTATATACACAATTTCCTGCGTATCTACACATTTGATAAACTCAGTATCTTCAAAAGTGTATTTTTCTTCCTTTTAAATTCTACTAATTTTTCTGATTTTTTATCTCATTTAATGGCTTCACTATCTATCACTTTGTTTAAGCTAGACAATTGGGAGTCATCTTAGAGTTTTCTTTTTTTCTTACTTCCCATAGCCTAACAGTTAGTAAGTCTCATCAATTTCCCCTAACATATATTACTGCTAGTCATTGACCTTTCTCTGTTCCTGACATTTTGGTTCAGACGCTCATCCTTTATCATTTGGATACTTGTGAGAGCTTGCTACTTTTACCCTGTGAGCTCACCCTCAATACTCCTATTTAAAACTTATGAATAGTACCGTCCTAACAAAGAATGATATTCTGTGTTAGAAGAGTATATGAGGTCTTTTCCAATGTTTATTATCCTATCCTTGTTACAAATTCTCATCTCAATTGACCCAGTACTTATTTGGGGCTTCTGAGGTTTCTGAGGAACTTGTACGAATGCTCTTTCACAGCAATGTGATCACCGACGTGCCCCCAACACCCTGTTTTCTTGACTAACTCTGTTTATTCTTCAGGGCTCATCATAAACATTAGCGTTTACCTTTCCTTATACCTGCAAAGGGAATTAAGTGTCCTTCTTGTATACTGCATTCACATTCTCACTATCTTATTATAAATATTTTCACACTATTTAAAATGTTCTTGTTTTTTTTTTTAGTTGCCTGATACTTTAAAAAGACTGTGGTTATTTAAGGCAAGAGTTGTGTTTTATATATATTTGTATTTCAAATTTCTAGCAGAGTGCCTCCCACAACTAGGAGTTTAATTATTGTTCAATGAATAAATGAATGAATACACAAATAAGTTAATTTGGTTGTGAAGAATGTCCAAATTGTTTGCCTTTAGACTTCTTTATTTTGACGCACGTTAAAAAAGTTATTTTTCACTCTGATTCTTGAACCATAGCCCACTTTATACTTTTCTTTTTCTGAGCAAATGGAGTTTAATTCAAAAACTGTATATGTGGCATCAGTTTTAAGCTGTATCTCTTTCCAGAGAACAGGACAGTAAATCATCTGAAGGGCGTCCTCAGTCCTCTCTCTCTCTTCTTAACCCTCACTGCCACCCTTAACCTGAGAAGCTATGAACTTAGGAAGTCTGGCATTTTTTCCTTAAAGAGGACTGACCTGTAAGTCATACTTTTCACAAGGTTGGAGGTGAACACTCTTCATCAAACAATTTAACAGATTCCATCTTCAAGTTTCTTCCAAGGGCCTATATTCAACAAATGGTACTAGAAGTGATGTTCAAACCAGACTTCAATAGTACACTTTCAATTCAATTTTAGTCCTCTTTCAAGTATAGAATTATGAAATTGGTGTATTAGTTCAGATGCTTGAAATGAAGACACGAAGTTACAATAGGAGAATAAAGAAGGAACTTTATGGAGGTGAAGAATAAAGGGCTGGGATGAAAGAAGTAGGTAAAGAGAGCCCATAGACTTCTGTGCAGGTACCACATTTATGAAAGAAGGGCATAGGGAAGTGGCTTACATAGGCAGAGTCAGACTTCTGGGCTTCTAAAGAGTCAGACTTCTGAGCAATCTGGGCAATGGCTCCAGCCTGATAGACAGCCCTCAAGATGAAGGTGCCTATTAGAGGAGTACTTATATCCATACCTTGCATAGTAATTGGCAAGGGGCAATATGACCTCAGGCCAAAGGTGGTGATGAACTCTCGTAAGAGGCAGCTGGGGCTGTCAGTCAGCTGTGCTCTGTGCAGCAGATGATCTGTGCAGCACATTTTCATGGCAGCCACACTTGGGTCTGAGTGGAATGTATAGAATTGTGTCTTTCCAAATAATCATTTTTGACAATTATTACTGCATTTTTATACTCTAGGAAAATAAAGATCTTTCTAATCATTTCAAGATTGAAATCATCTTTGGTCATCAAACATTATGTGAAAGGACATTACATTTAAAGAACACAGTATCATCATTTTCTCTGCAGTATCCATTACTTTTAACAACGTATGATCTGAAAGTATTTGCCTAAAATGTCCTTGAGTGCGTGTTAGAGTATCTGGAACAATCTTTCATCATAATTCAAATGTTATTTGTTCACATCATATTTGTATTTAATTGCTTCAAATTAAAAATATAAAAAGTCATTTAAAAGATAAAAAATATCTAATTTAATTATTTAAGTATTTTATACATAATAGACTTGGTCAATATTTTGACAAAATTAACTCCCATTATTACTTAATTTGAAGTGGTGTACACTACTGGGAAGCACTGTATTAGGTTGGAGCAAAAGTAATTGTGATTTTTGCCATAATAGTAGTAAATAGAGCTTAGATTTTTGAGTTAGAATTAAATAAAATACTACTGTTCCTCATAAGGACTTAAATATCTCTGAGTCTGTTAACTATTAAATAGAAAAAGTAATACAATCTTTGAAATATTTTTGAGGGTCAGTTGAGATAAAGTTTCTAGGGACTTTCACACAGTGCTGAACATATAGGAAGTACTCAATAAAAAAGCATATACGTGAGAGTCCAAGAAAGTTAATATTTATACAAGATAATGTAGCTCAAAGATAAAATTAGACAAAATGTTAACTTAATAAGTGTCTCTAATTTATTTTCTTATCTTCCAAATGAAGATAATAGGGTTTATTTTATAGATTGCCATGAGAATTGCATATGAAAGCAGAAATAACTTGTATATATTTACCTATCCTTTTATCAGTCATCTAAGTTTATAGTATATAACCAGCACCCCCAAAATCTTACCTATTGTCATCCTTATTGTTTCATCTTGATAATCCTCATCTTCCTCTTCCCTTGATGTCATTATCAACATCAAGTTCCATGAGGGGTAACTTTGTATTATATAGCAAAATATCTACCAGGTAGAAAATAGTTAGTATTTGTTTTATGGAGGACAGTGAGCTGAAAACAAACATAACTGTTGGGGGGATTCATAAAGAACGAATAACCATTTGAAAGAGGTATATAAGAAAGTGAAACAGAGGGCAACTGCTTTCTAATTCTGCTTGATTCGTTTCACATTTTATTATGCTTAATAAACAACATAAATAAAATTATATGGCAAAAGTTGAAAGGAAGAAGCAGAATTTTAAGATAGACCGGAGTAAAGTCTTGATATGTTGCGCTCATTGTTTAGTTTAGTGTATTATCAGTTTTCTTTTATTTCACAAGGGGTAATAGCCTAGAGAAAAAAAAAGTGTTGAATTGAAGCAGCATCAAGAGAACAAAGTAATGAATTATCAATTTGAGGTGGCTTGAGAGAAATTAAAGTATTAGAAGTAATAAAATTCAAATGAACACAATAAAAAAGCCCCTAACGTGCTTTAAAAAGCATAGATCCCTATGTACATGTTTGATGCAATTACTGCTAATTTTAATATATGATAGAAATCATTATCACTAGCAGTTAAGTTTATAATATGAAGATATATGACATTCACATATATTCAAAATTTCTCCTTTCTTGATCTCTTAATCTTCCTTTTGTGATGCTAATAGGATGAAGAGACTGGGAAATGTTGATATCCTGGAATGTCCTGAGTAAATGTATTTCAGTACAAAGTAAAAGATTATAAAATTTGCTTTCCACATCTATTTTGCATCTTGAAAAGTATTTCATAAGAGTATTACAAAAAGAGAAATGATGAGGAGAATCTATGTTTCTGCATTGTAGGACCACAGAATGTAGTATAACATGTGGTTAGTTTTTATGGATTCAAAAATTTATTTGCTGTTGTAATTTTTCATGTGAAACCATTCTCTCAAAAACAAGTATACTTTTTTGCTGTGGTGGGAATAGATAACATGAGATCCATTATCTTAAAGCTTTAATTATACAGTTACAGTAATGTAAACTATAAGCACAGTATTGTACAGCAGATTTCTAAAACGCACTCGTCTTGCCTTAACTTAAATGTTACAGCCATTGAACAGGGTAAGATCATTTATAGTTAACAATGATAACTCTGTTTTTTTCTTTTCACTCACAAATTTACTTACTCAGGTTGTGGTACTAGGGCCTGGTAGTGGGAATTTTAATACACAGTCACTGTAATTCTGTTTGAGAGCCACTGCCATAACTTCTAACCAATATTATCTAGGGAAAATTAAGTCATTTTTACCTGCTGGCTCCAGTTATTATTGTTAAGGCAACTGCCTTTGAATTAATTTTCATGGTTTAGGTAGAAATTGACAAATTAGTGATGTTTTGCTACTGAAATATCCCTAGATTTGTTGTAAGATTAATTATATTTATTCTTAAGACTTAAAAGTTTTATTGTTTTAAGAGAATCTGGAAGATTCAAACAGGATAACCTTGTAAATAAGACTATAAACAGAAGATTTTATGATCTCTTCCTTATGTCTTTCATAGCAGTCCTCAGCTAGACTAAGCTTCTGAACCTTCTATGAGTCAAAAAGGAACAAGAGATAGTGATAAATTATCAGATAATATTATTTCCAGTAATTTCAGATACTGGAGGAAATGACAGACCAAATATAAACCTGCTGCTTTAGATAAAATCTGTGTTAGCTTGTGTTAATTTGGTTCAGTGAGCTTACTCTTGGTAGATTTGAGCAATTACAGAATTTAAAAACTTCATCTAATGTGGTATATTTAATACTGTGGAAAAACAATATTGGTGAGGTTTGTTTACATATTAGCAATAGTGTTAGAAATTTAAGAAACATGATAGTTTCTGTGGGAGTGAAGTTATAAATGTTTGGAGATTATGAACATTTGTTGTGCTTGCATGTGTGTGTTTAACAGCCTGACTGGCTGACTCTGAGGCTCATGATGGCCAAAAGTTTTGAAGGATAATGTTTGGAAAATCCAATTCCAAATAACATCCTGAAATTTTTAGGAAAAAAAAATTGAAAACTTTTTACACAGTGGTTTAGAAAGAAAATTATTTTCTTTAAATTTTTCTGAATACTAATTAGATTTTTGAGGGGGGGGGATGAACAAAGAATGGCTTACAAAAAATTATTTGACTCTGCTTACTGTGGCATTTTTCTCTCTAAATGTTGACATCTGGCCATTCTTTACTTCTGAGTTCTAGTTTCCTAGGTTGAATTTATTTATGGTCTCCTTTAGGGTAACTTCAAAATTATGTTGAGATTCCACATAAAGTTTTTTTTTTAAATAATATTCACATAGGTTTAGAACAAGAACATTTCCCATTACTCTTGTTCATATTTCACTTGTAATTTTAGACTGGTGATGAAGCTTTTATTTTCTTATAGTTCTATTTGGTTAAGTTCCTAGGTTAAAAAAGTTAAAAGTTAAACTTTGTATTTTGGTTTTGAAACTGGGAATCTCCCAGAATTCTTATATTAATAGCTTTTCCGTAAATTACTAATTCTTGAGAAAAATCAGATGATACAGAGCATATGCCTGCTAATGATTAATTATTTTACTTTGTCTTTCTGATATGTATTTTTTTCTTTGTCGTTGCGTGACAAAGGCTTTCTCAAACCTAGCCATGCATTAGAATCAGTAAGGGATCTTTTAATATTTACTAATATATGAGACTGATCTATATATTAACTTTTCATTCCTGCCATAACAAATTACCAAATGAACTGCAACAACAACAACAACAACAACAACAACAACAACAAAGCAGTAACATGTTGGATACAGCATGCCTCAGCTTATTACTCTGCTCCAGATTTCAAAAGACCAAAATCGAGGTGTGGACAAAACTGCATTTTTTATTGGAAATCTAGGGAAGCGTCTATCGCCGAGCCCATTGAGGTTGGCGGAATTGGTTTCTTGTGACTATAGGACTGAAGTTCCTGCTTCTCTACTGGCCATCAGCCAGGGGCTACCCTTACCTCCTAGGGACTTGTCTCTGATCCTTACATGTGGCTCCCTACATCTCAGAGATAGTAACAGTGCATCGAATCTTCTCACTGGAAATTCCTCAGACTTCACCTTCTGCATCCATCATCTCTTCAGGCTGCCTCTGGAGAAAGTTCTCTGCTTTTAGGGATTCATGTGATTAGGTTGGACCAAACTCTAAAATCCAGGATAATCTCAAAATTTTAAGATCTATAACCTTAATTACATCAGCAAAGTCTCTTTTTCCCTGTTATGTACCATATTTACAGGTTCCAGGGATTTGGAAGTAGACATCTTTGGGCAGATATTATTCTATCTCCAACATCCCAGAATCAAAATTATTGAAAATATTTGATTTATACTATTTTTATACATTTGCATTGGTTGCTTAGACTATAAAATTGAGCTCAATTTGTATCAATTTGTTTTACATTAAGGTTACTCGTTGCTTTCTTTTTATTTCTGACTTTGACAACACAGATTATGCAGCTTTTGGCTTTATTCTGTGCAGTATTTAAAGCACAAACAAAGTTTTAATCACACTAATGTACTTCTCAAATGAATGTCTCTTCCTTTCAATCAGACTTAAATATTTGATCTTAACATTCAATTTTCTTGAGATTATCAAATTTTCCTCTGGTGGTAACAACAGTCAGATCCAATTTTGTTCTTTCTTCTACTTGGTGAACAGAAAAAAAAAAAAAAGTTTTAGTCTAGTCTCCCACCCATATCCCTGGTTTCTTGCAAACAATGTTTATTCAGCACTTAGTTTATCTAGCTAGGCAGCACCTTTGGCACCAAGGATGCACATTTCAAAGACACAAGTATCATATTTAAGATTTTTCACCAAACAGGAAAAATTTAAGGTTTATATCACTCTTCTTACTACTTTGAGGCCTGTGAACATATCAGAATAAATATATGGAAATCTATTTCCACTGCTGCCCTCTTACATAATTTGCCCATTCCTGTTAGATTGTAGCATTGCTTTTATGTAAACCTAAACAGTTCTTGAGAAAGGGAGAGAAACTCTAAATTCTGTAAATTCCGCTGGTATTTATGGATGAAATCTTATTTTGTAGATTATATATTGCATTTTACCAGATGTATATATAATTAAAATAGTCATTATTAGTTTAGCCTTTTGGTAGATCTTTGAATTCACTGGAATATGTGGGTTTGACAAATGTGAGGATTTTTATTAGTGAAATTATTACAAGGGCATTTTTACTCAGTTTCACATTTCGAATTAAAAGCATTTTATAGGCATACTTAAATGAAGTTCTATCCTAGAATTATAGTGTGCATTTATTCAGCAGGGTTTGTTTTACATTTATCTGCTCATTTGTTCCAGTTGCTTCTCCAACACTAATGTGCAGAGGAATTACCTGGGGGTCTGTTTATAATGCAGATTCTGATTCAGTCGTCTAAGGTCACAGCTTTTCTACATGACTAACAAGCTCCTCAGTGATACTGAGGCTGTTCCTCCAGGGACAGTACTTTGAAGAGCAAAGCCTTAAAAAAAAAAAAAAATTAAACCGAATCAGGAAATGTAAACTTTAGTCTCAGTTCTCATTATTCAGGTAAATCAAATTGCTTTACCTCCCGGAAGAGTCTTTTCCTTTATAAAGGAAAGATATTTGAGTTATTACTATCCATGATTCTACATGTTTATATAATTTTTTAATAATTAAGAAACAAGAAACTACTGATCACTGAGGTGAAGTCAGATATTTCTCAAATTCACACAGTAGTGGCAACTCCTAGTTGCTGACTTTAGGTTTTCTGATCGTAATTTGAAGCTTCTCTTCACTTTACCATACCAGCAACAAAACTTGAACCCATTTATATAGAGCATCATGTCTGAAAATAAGAGAAATCATGCAGAGCTATTTTACAAGATACCTTGAGAAATTTTAGCAAATTGAACTGTCGTTACTTTAATGGATTTTATATTTTTCATACTGTACCAATAGTTTTCTCTCTATTTTATTCATTTCCGCTCTTCATTACCTTTATTCCCTAGCCCTTTCTCCTGCTCTTAAGCAACCCTTGACCAACTGATAGCATCACCTTTAAGCAAAGTGATTCTTCACAGCAGTCTTACATCAATGCCAGCTGTGATTTCATTTCTATTGAATCACTGTAATTCCTGAAACAATTTATGAAGTTGTTCTGCAATCCTGATTTAAACTTATATTTTCATGAAATAAAGGCACAAGAGACTATATTCATCTGTGTTTTTCTACTTTTCCATTTTTTTAAGAAAGTTGGACTTGTGGATGTAAACTTATTGCCTTCATTGACTAGTAGAGACATCGTTCTAAAGCAAGTATAGATATAAATCTGAATATGCTTACTTGCAGGTGTAATAGATATCTCACTGGCAGTGTTGCACTTATTGCTTCTCTCAGCCTACACAACACTGTTTGGGCATGGATAAACAGGTGCACACTGGCGAAGGACCAGATCAACCCCAAAACACAAGTGACCGATGTGCTTCTACATATTTAGGCCAACTGGTAGCTTTTTATTGACTGCAGATGGTTACTGAGTATGCAATAAAAAACTTCCAGTTGACTAATCACATTCTTAAATAACCCTAAAGATTTTTTTTAAATGTTTTTCCTGGTGGCTAGGAGGCCCAATTTGTACTGAAAAATAACAAGCAAGGTAAATTTGAGCCCACACGACAGCCTTACAGCTCAGATGTGTATGCCCTTGAAGCCAATGGAGATCTCAAGCCTCATTTCCAGACTCAGGTTGATTTTGATATTTTAAGAATCTGAAGAAATGAGCCAATTTCAACCTTCTCATCTTTCCCTAAAATCTTCCCATGTTTATAAATATGTTCTTCCTGGGGCCCAATTGAAAACACTGAAGGAGATCCACAGTCAAAATATATGTGTAAATTATTTCATATTTGGGGCATATCTTGCAATATCTTAGCTGAGAAGGTGCTTCATCAAATGCAGCAAATGTCTTTTAGGTGTCAACTGTATCTACTACACTAAGTTACTTGATGTGGGAGACATACATACATATACATACATATACATTAATGTATAGGTTTTACTCTCCAGTGTTCTATAGTCATGACAATTCATATGAATAAACAGCAAGAAAGAATTGAATAGAATTAAAATAACTCTATGAAATACTATATGAATTTGTTTATATAGTATTTATGTCCATATAATACTATATGAATATGTTCATATAATACTATGTAAAAAGTATTAAAAATACACGACAGCGTGGGCAATACTCATCCTGATATGGAAATGGAGTCAGGAGGAGAGGAAAAAAGTCCTGACTTTTGCCTCAAGTATAACTCTTGGGAGCAAAGTTGGCATGGAAAAAGTTAGCAAAGTAAAATGGACAGTGGCATATGGAAATACATGAACTGGTTTCTAGGTCATATTTGTGAATCTGTTATCTAATAAGACCTTGGCTGATTCACTTGCCCCCTACCTTGGGTGGCAATATCCTTATCTGTAAAATGAAGAGCTTGTATCCAATAATCTCTGGACTTCCTAGGAGATCCTAAAAATCTGTAACAATGTTAAAAATAATTTTGAGGAAAATTGAAAGTATTTTTACTGCCCTCCCCCTTAAATCTCTACTTCCTGTGTGCTTTCTCTATTTTATCTTTAAAGCATATTATCATTAATAAGATAAATTTATTTTCTTACTGTGTATATGTCCTAATCACTAAAAATAAACTCCATTTGAACAAGTTTTTGTTTAATTCACTATTATATTCTCAGAGATTATAATACTGGCATGTAGTACACATTTAGTAAATAGTCATTTAATTGAGACTGGGCACAGTGGCTCATTCCTATGATTCCAGCCTTCTGGGAGGCCAAGGTAGGACAATTGCTTGAGGCCTGGACTTTGAGATCAGCCTGGGCAATGTAGCAAGATCCTGTTCCTCCAAAATATAAAAAATAAAACACTAGCTAGGTGTATTCATCAGGGTTCTCTAGAGGGACAGAACTAATTAGGATAGACATATATATAAAGGGGAGTTTATTAAGGAGTATTGACTCACACAATCCAAGATGAGGTCCCACAGTACGTTGTCTGCAAGCTGAGGAGCAAGAAATCCAGTCCGAGTCCCCAAACCTCAAAAGTAGGGAAGCCAACAGTTCAGCCTTCAGTCTGTGGTCAAAGGTCCAAGAGTCCCAAAGCTGAAGAAATTGGAGTCCGATGTTTGAGGGCAGGAAACATCCAGCACAGGAGAAAGTTGTAGGCTGGAAGACTAAGCCAGCCTACATTCATCTGCCTGCTTTTATCCTAGCCATACTGGCAGCTGATTAGATGGTGCCCACCCAGATTGAGGATGGGTCTGCCTTTCCCAGTCTACTGACTCAAATATTAATCTTCTTTGGCAACATCCTCACAGACACACTCAGGAACAATACTTTGCATCCTTCGATTCAATCAGGTTTACACTCAATATTAACCATCACACTAGTTGTGGTGGTGTGCCCTATAGTCTACTTGAAGGATCACTTGAGCCCAGGAGTTCAAGGCTGCAATAAACTATGATTGTGCTACTGCACTCCAGCCTTGGCAACAGACCAGAACTATCTCAAAAAAAGAAAAGAAAAATTTATTTATTGAATAATTAACAAAATTAGCAAATATATTTAAATGAATAAAAATATAAAATGAACAAAATATCTATATAAAAGGAAACTAACAATGTTATTCGGTTTTATCCTGAAATACCTTCCCAAATGTAAGAATCCTATTATACAATTTGAATTGTATCTAGTTAAAAAGAATAAATTAGAATCCAAAGGGTCAAATAATGACTCAGTGTGCATCAGACAGAGTGCTATGTCCTTTTCAATGCTAGAATCTCTCTTTCTTTTATGCTGACAAGTTGATAGGGAGCAAACTGATAATTCTTATTATAATAAAACCTTGTTTTCAAAATAATACAATAGAATCACAATTTTACAAGATAAAATGTTTATTAGTGGAATAGGTTTTTTTTTGTTTTTCCTTTTTTTTAAGCCTAAAGCCTACTAGAAATACTGTAAGACATCAAACTTTTTTTTTAATTGGAGAAAAATGGTCTTATAATCTGATGTTTCTTGTGGAATAAATTCTATATTAAGAACTACTGATCAGAGATCATTAAATTCCTACAAGTAAAAATACATATGAATGAGATAAATAGCAAATGATATAAAACTAAACATCGAATATAAAAAGATTAATGTTAAAACATTGAAGTGTTAAATTTAAAAATTGAATATAAAACAATTCAATATGGAAATTAAAGTAGGTTCTCTGAAATAGGTATATATAGAATTGGAATATTTTATATGTATCTTCTAGAAAGTGTAAATCAAAATAAAAAACATAACTATTAATAAACAATGTTGGTTAGAGCCCTTTCAGTGTTTATCATAAAATATTTTGGCCACATTTGAATTAGTGTTGTATAGTCACACATATTGAAACTAGCTAATATAATCAGCTAGTGAAATTCTTGATAATTTATTTAACCAAATAATAATTAAAATCATGTTAAATTCCAGCTGCAAGCAAACACACAAATATAATAAGCTATCATTGACTTCAAAGACAAAGCTTTCTAAGACATAAAATATTTTCGATAATGTAGCACATAATAATGGGGGGAAATTAAGACCAGTTAAACATATAGTATATCCAGCCAGAACCGAATTATGTTAAAAACCCAGAAGCAGAGCCATAGAAAAGAATACATTTGTTGAAAGAAAATCAATATTACAATGACTATAATGAAATGCATAGGTGAACAATTGATTTCCTAGAATTCATTTCTGAGAAATTAAAATATGAAACAAAATATGTAATATATAAAGTTTAATTTTTATCTCATATGCCAATTATCATCAAGTAGTTTAGCCACTAAATGTCTAAATACTATAAATAGAAATATATTTCTTTAATTGATATTAATGTTGTATGGCAGGTCACTTCTAACATAGCCCTGTGGGTGTCTACCTCCTAGCCCTTATGCATTTATGTAATCCCCAACCCTTAAGTGTGGGTGGGACTTGTGACATCTTTCTAGCCAATGCAACACTGCAAAGGTGATAGGACATTATGTCTATCATTACTTTACATAAAGAAAGCCACCATAATGGGAAGACCACATGGCAAGGAACTAAGGGCTTCCTGCAGTCAACAGCCAGCAAGAAGCTGAGGGCCCCAGGCTAACAGTCCTCCAGGAATTCAATCCTGCCAATAACAACACAAACTTGGAAGTGGATCCTGCCACAGTAGGGTCTTAAGCTCTGATTCCTGAATTCCGTTCTTATGAGAGACCCTGAAGCAGAGGACCCCGTTGAGCTGTGCTCAGACAGAAAGTGAACCACAGAAAATGTGAAATAACTAATGTATGTTTTTTTAAGCTGCTAAATTTGTGATAATTTGTTATACAACAATAGATAACCAATATACAGGAACTATTAACAACACAGTAATGACACAAGTATTAATTTCAGAAATGGTAGAAAAAGATGACATTAGAAATACGGAAAATGTCATAATTTTTCAACTTGTTTTCTTTCACTTTGTTTAATGCAAGTTAAAGTATAAATTTAAAAGAATATAATGCATTCTTTTTAGGTATACAGATCCATGAGTTTTGATTAGTGTTTGCAACATGATAGAGATATAGAATATTTTCATCACTCCAAGTTTCCTTTGTGTGATTACTTTCTTCTCCTAAACACTGTTACTTTCAATACTTACCTGATTTCTGACCCTATTGTTTATCCTTTTTCAGAATACCCTATGCATTAAATCATACAGGATATAGCCTTTTGCTTCTGGCTTCTTTTAATTCATATAATTTAGTAGTAGTAGTAGTAGTAGTAGTAGTAGTAGTAGTAGTAGTAGTAGTAGTAGCAGCAGTGGTAGTAGTATTTTAGAGACAGGCTCTGTGATAGTTAATACTGAGTGTCAACTTTATTGGATTGATGATGCAAAGTATTGATCCTGAGTATGTCTGTGAGTGTGTTGCCAAAGGGGATTAGCATTTGAGTCAGTGGGCTGGGGAAGGCAGACCCATCCTTAATCTGGTGGGCACAACCTAATCAGCTGCCAGCACGGCTAGAATATAGAGCAGGCAGATAAATGTGAAAAGACTAGACTGGACTAGACTCTCAGCCTACATCTTTCTCCATGCTGGATGCTACCTGCCCTTGAACACTGGACCCCTAGTTCTTCAGTTTTGGGACACGAACTGACTCTCCTTTTTCCTCAGCTTGCAGATAGCCTATTGGGGACCTTGTGATCATGTGAGTCAATACTTAATAAAATCCCCTTGAATAAAGGGGAGGCCAGGTTCCCTTGTGGATGGAACTCACTACATTACCATGAGTTAATACTTAATAAAATCCCCTTGAACAAAGGGGAGGCCGGGTTCCCTTGAGGAAGGAACTCACTACATTACTGACAATTTATACAGTGAATCTTTCTCCCATCCTTCCCCAAGGAGACCTCTGGCCTTTTACCAGGGTAACTCTGCACTGGGGAAAGAGAAATGATCAGACATTTTAGAGACTACTGAACACCGGTTTTGAGCTGATGTTGATTCCAGGAGACCCAAAATGTAAATGTGGTCCTCCAGTTAAAGTAGGGGGTTATGGAGGTCAGGTAATTAATAACATATTAGCTCAGGTCTGACTTACACTGGGTCCAGTAGGTCCCAAGACTCATCTTGTGGTTATTTCTCCAGTGCCAGAATCCATAATTGGCATAGACAAACAGCAGCTGGCAGAGACCCCACATTGGCTCCCTGACTGGTAGAATGGGGCTACTATGGTGGGAAAGGCCAATGGAAGCCCTTAGAGCTGCCTCTACCTAGAAAAATAGTAAATCAAAAACAATATCACACCCCTGGAGGGATTGCAAGATTAGTACCACCATCAAGGACTTGAAAGACCCGGGGTGGGGATTCCCACCACATCCCCATTCAACTCTCACATTTGGCCTGTGCAGAAGACAAATGGATCTTGGAGAACAACAGTGGATTATCATAAGCTTAACCAAGTGCTGATCGCAATTGCAGCTACTGTACCAGATGTAGTTTCATTGCTTGAGCAAATTAACACATCTCCTGGTACCTGGTATGCAGCCATTGGCTTGGCAAATGTCTTTTTCTCCATTCCTGTCCATTAGGCCCACCAGAAGCAATTTACCTTCAGATGGCAAAGGCAGCAATATAGCTTTACTATCCTACCTCAGAGGTATATCAGTTCTCTGGCCTCATGTCATAATCTTATTTGGAGAGATCTTGATCACTTATCACTTCTGAAAGACATCACACTGGTCCATTATATTGATGACATTATGCTGACTGGATCCAGTGAGCAAGAAGTAGCAAACACACTGGACTTATTGATGAAACATTTGCAAGCCTGAGAATGGGAAATAACCTGACTTCTACCTCATTAAAATTTCTAGGAGTCCAATGGCGTGGGGCCTGTCGAGATATTCCTTCTAAGGTGAAGGATAAGTTGCTGAATTTGTCCCCTCCTACAACCAAGAAAGAAGCTCAATGCCTAGTGGGACTATTTGGATTTTGGAGGCAACACATTCCTCATCTGTGTGTGTTACTCCAGCCCATTTATTGAGTGACCTGAAAGGCTGCCATTTTTGAGTGGGGTCCAGAACAGAAGGCTCTCCAACAGGTCCAGTCTGCTGTGCAAGCTGCTCTGCCACTTGGGCTATATGACTCAGCAGATCCGATGGTGCTTGAGGTGTCAGTGGCAGATAGGGATGCTGTTTGGAGCCTTTGGCAAGCTCCCATAGGTAAATCAAGCAGAGGCCTCTAGGATTCTGAAGCAAGGCCCTGCCATCTTCTGCAGATAACTACTCTCCTTTTGAGAGACAGCTCTTGGCATGTTACTGGGCTTTGATGGAAACTGAATGTTTGACTATGGGTAATCAAGTCACCATGCGGCCTGAACTACTTATTATAAACTGGGTGCTTTCTGACCCATCTAGCCATAAAGTGGGTCATACACAGCAGCATTCTGTCATTAAATGGAAGTGGTATATACGTGATCAGGCTAAAGGAGGTCCTGAAGGCAGAAGTAAGTTACATGAGGAAGTGGCTCAAATTTCCATGGTCTCCACTCCTGCTACCCTACCTTCTCTCCTCCAGCCTGCACTGATGGCCTCATGGGGAGTTCCCTATGATCAGTTGACAAAGAAAGATAAGACTAGGGCCTGGTTCACAGATGGTTCTGTAGGCCCTACCTGAAAGTGGACAGCTGCAGCACTACAGCCCCTTTCTAGGACATCCCTGAAGGACAGCGGTGAGGGGAAATCTTCCCAGTGGGCAGAATTTCAAGCAGTGCACCTGATTGCACACTTTGCATAGAAGGAGAAATGACCAGATATGTGATTATATACTGATTCATGGGCTGTAGCCAATGGTTTGGCTGGATGGTCAGGGACTTGGAAGAAGCATGGTTGGAAAATTGGTGACAAAGAAATTTGGGGAAGAGGTATGTGGACAGACCCCTCTGAGTGGTCAAAAACTGAAGATATTTGCATGCCGTGTGAGTGTTCACCAACGGGTGACCTCAGCAGAGGAAGATTTTAATAATCAAGCAGATAGGATGACCCGTTCTGTGGACGCCACTCAGGCTTTTTCCTCAGCCACCCCGTATTATGTATTATGTTAGGCATAATTATGACCTTATTATTGTCTTTATTTGAATATTATCTGTGATCTCAAGAGATGTGTATGGTTTCAAGTTGACAACGGATGGACTTGTGATGGTTAATATTGAGTGTCAACTTGATTGGATTGAAGATGCAAAGTATTGATCCTGGACGTGTCTGTGAGGGTGTTGCCAAAAGAGATTAACATTTGAGTCAGTGGGCTGGGAAAGGCACAGCCACCCTTAATCTGGGTGGGCACCATCTAATCAGCTGCCAGAGCGGCTAGAATGTAAAGCAGGCAGAAAAAAGCCTCCCAGCCTACATCTTTCTCCATGCTGGATGCTTCCTGCCCTCAAACATTGGACCCCCTCCTTCAGTTTTGGGACTCAGACTGGCTCTCCTTGCTTCTCCACTTGAAGAAGGCCTATTGTGGGACCTTGTGATCATGTGAGTTAATACTTATTAAACTCCCCTTTATATATATCTATCTTAGTTCTGTTTCTTTAGAGAATCCTAATACAAGGTCTCATTCTGTTGCCCAGGCTGGAGTGCTGTGGTGCAATCATAGCTCACTGCAGCCTTGAACTCCTGGGCTCAAGTGTTCTTCCTACGTCAGCCTCTTAAGTAGCTCAGACTTCAGGTGAGTGACACCACACCTTGCTAAGTTCTTAATTTTTTGTAGAGATGAGGTCTTGCTATGTCAGCCAGGCTGGTGTTGAACTACCGGTATCAAGCAATCCTCCTACCTCAGCCTCCCAAATTACTAGGATTGCATGCGTGAGCCACCACACTCATCCTGCATAGTGTTTTTGAGAGTCAGCATAATGTTTCATTTATCTATACTCATTTATTTTTATTGTTGAGTAACAGTTCATTGTATAAATATTCAATATTTCTTTGTGGATAGTTAGGTTTTTCTAGGGTTTGGCTACTTGAATAAAGCTCCCGTCAACATTAACATATAGAAATATAGTGTTGACATATGTTTCTTTTTTTCTCTTAAGAAAACACCTAAGGGGGAGATTACTGGTTCATATAGTCTGACTTTCATATAGTCTTAACTTTCATATAGTTCATATAGTCTTAACTTTCTAGGAGAACATCAGCTGAGCTTCCGGATGAGTACTCATCCTGGGTTGACACCTTAATTTTAGCTTTGTAGATAACCCAGCTAAGTCATTTCCAGAGGCTTGACCCACAGAAAGTATGAGATAATAAATGTGTGTCATGTGCTGTGTTTGTGGCTGTTTGTTATGCAGCATAGAAGTCTAACACTGTGGTTGACCTATCTTTGTTGTTATCCTCTGTGTACCATAGATCTCAGATTCTTCCAGCAATGGGCTTCTCTTCCCTGAGCATTCTTTGTGCTCCTGTTCTACTTCAAATTTCTGCAGACCCTACATGCCTGCACCTCCAAGAGGGCCTGTAAGCCTCTGAAACTGAAAATTGCACTTTTGCCACCTTCCTGTCTCTCCTCCCACCCATGGAAGCCAATATCTGCCTTGTATCTGTAGTGGATCTTGGACAGGCAACAGTTTAGTTTCCTGCCCACCGCCAGTGGTAGATCTTTGCCTTTTATGAATGCAGATTCTGGGTTCAAGACATTTTCCTGCTCACTTCTGTGGGCAGAGAGCATTTGTTCGGCTCCTTCCCCAGAAGCAGTGGATCATTGCTGGTTCTTGGGAGTTGAGAGGGATGTTTTCTATTCCTCCTTTAGAGACAGACGGTTTTGTTTCTACCTTCCCCCAGCAGATTGGTGTGTGGTAAGAGGTTATGATACCCCTATTGAGGCAGTTTGGGGTTTTTACTTTGTAAGAGAGGAGGATTTAAGGAAGTGGGCAGTATTTTGTGTCACTATTTGAGGAGCAGCTGGTCACCTCTTACATGTCTGCTCCTGCCATTAACAGGGGCTCTTTCCAGTCTCTTTTCCTGCTTACAATGTTTTTATTAGCACCTGGCAGAGATCCATGGAGACAGCTTATTATTGGGAGTGAACTCTTCTGTGTCTAGAGCTCTGAGTTATTCTAATCTGACACAATAATCCATACTCACTCTAGGAATTCAATAAATTTTTGTCTCAACTTTAATTCATTCACTTCTATGGTAACCTCTTTCTCCTGTATTTTAGCAAAGAGAAATGAATATGCATTCTGTTTTGTCACTGGATAGAATTTATGTCGCTTAGTTGCTGTATGTCCTCTGCTCTCTGATGGGTTCAAGGAAACTTATTTTGTAGGACACTGGCTATTTTTATTGTTAGTATAGGAGCAATGTTATCTTGCAGATTTCTACATCTTAAATGAAGCCAGAAATTCTGCTTTATTTCTATATCTGTATTCCACAATCAGAATTAATTAATATAGTGTAATAAAAAAACTTAGTTTAATAAAGTATAATAGCTTTCCTAAATTGGATCAATTTTCTTAAAATCAGTGTGAGACCTTGTATTTTCTGGGAAAATGCCATTCAAAGTATCCCTGAGAAAACAAGATATCACCAAGATTAGGGCAGTGTTAAAAGGTAAAATTCGGCTTTGTAAAACCGTTTATGTAGTAAAGCTCTCCTTTCTCATAACACACACACACACACACACACACATAAAACCACATAAAGTTTTCTATAATAATGAAGTTGACTTTCATTTGTGGAAACTCTCAATATTGTATGAGCCATAAAGATTATTGCACTGAGTAGGCAAAATGCTTTAGACACCCTGAAACAAATGTCTCTGCTTTATAGTGATGAAAACAACAAGGTCTGTTAGAAATTGGTTGCCATTACTATCTGGACTTTGGAACATTATTAAAAAAATCTGCTTCTTTGTTTAATTTGTCATCCAGGTAAAAGAGAAATTCCAGAGTACATATGCATATATGTATGAATTTTTCGCTTCAGAATTAGAAGCGTGATTTTGTTGACTTATATATTGAGAAGAAACATTATTTATGGTAGAATTTGCTGTATCTAGGAAAAATTTGGTTTGTGAATTTTTATTATTCAGTATTG